>NT_167245.2:2114228-2414228 GCF_000001405.40 Homo sapiens
GGCCAAGCATGGTGGCTCATACCTGTAATCCTAGCACTGTGGGAAGCCAAAGCGGATGATTGCTTGAGCTCAGGAGTTCGAGACCAGCTTGGACAATGTGGTAAAACCCCGTCTCTACCAAAAATACAAAAATTAGCCAGGCATAGTGGCACACGCCTGTAATCGTAGCTACTGGGAGGCTGAGGAAGGAGGATCACTGGAGCCCAAGAAGTCAAGGCTGCAGTGAGCCATGATCATACCACTGCACTCCAGCCTTGGAGACGCAGCAAGACCCTGTCTCAAAAAAATAAAATAAAAATAAAATAAATAACATTTGAGGCTTCTTCACTTACTTTGTGCCATTTACAGGCCAGCTGCTCCTGGTGAGAATGGAGGTGTGTAGTGATCTCTCACTTCCCACTGTGTGCTTTGTGGCAGAAACTGCTGTTGTCCCCAAGTATCCATTCTCCTCTTCTTCCTTACTAATGAGACTCCCAAATTTTTGCTGGACTTGTGGCCATCCTGAATCAAGACTACATTTCCCAGTATCACATGCTGTGGGACTAGCTTTTGGCCAACATGATCTGAATCAAATGATGTGAGCAACCTTTTGTTCTGCCCTCAAATGGCAGGGGTGATGGCAAAAATTCTGGCAGCAAAAATGGATGATGTGGCCAGGCATGCTGGCTCACACCTATAATCCCAGCACTTTGGGAGGCTGAGATGGGTGGATCATCTGAGGTCAGGAGTTTGAGACCACCCTGGCCAACATGGTGAAACCCCATATCTACTAAAAATACAAAAATGAGCCAGATGTGGTGGCACCCACCTGTAGTACCAGCTACTCAGGAGGCTGAGGCAAGAGAATCACTTGAACTCAGGAGGCGGAGGTGGCAGTGAGAAGAGATTATGCCACTGCACTCTAGCCTGGGCAACAAAGCGAGACTCTGTCTCGAAAAAAAAAAAAAAAAACGATGGTGAAGGCCTATATATTAGTCTGTTTTCATGCTGCTGATAAAGACATGCCTGAGACTGGGTCATTTATAAAGAAAAAGGGGTTTAATGGACTCACAGTTCCATGTGGCAGGGGAGGCCTCACAAGCATGGCAGAAGGCAAAAGGCACATCTTACATGGTGGCAGACAAGAAGAGAATGAGAGACCAAGTGAAAGGGATTTCCCCTTATAAAACTATCCGATCTTGTGGGACTTACTACCACAAAAACAGTATGGGGGAAACCACTCCCTGTGATTCAATTATCTCCCATCAGGTCCCTCCCACAACACATGGGAATTATGGGAACTACAACTCAAGATGAGATTTGGGTGGGGACACAGCCCAACCATATCATTCTGCCCCAGCCCCTCCCAAATCTCATGTCCTCACATTTCAAAACCAATCATGCCTTCCCAACAGTCTTAACTCATTTCAGCATAAACTTAAAAGTCCACAGTCCAAAGTCTCATCTGAGACAAGGCAAGTCCCTTCCAACTATGAGGCTGCAAAATCAAAAGCAAGTTAGTTACTTCCTAGATATAGTGGGGGTATAGGCATTGGGTAAATACAGCTATTCCAAATGGGAGAAATTGGCCAAAACAAAGGGGCTACAGTCCCCATGCAAGTCCAAAATCCAGTGGGGCAGTCAAATCTTAAAGCTCCAAAATTATCTCCATTGACTCCATGTCTCACATCCAGGTAACACTGATACAAGAGATGGGTTCCCATGGCCTTGGGCAGCTCTGCCCCTGTGGCTTTACATGGTACAGCCCCTCTTCTGGCTGCTTTCATGGGCTGGTGTTGAGTGTCTGTTGTTTTTCCAGGCACACAGTGCAAGCTGTGGGCGGATCTACCATTCTGGGGTCTGGAGGATGGTGGCCCTCTTCTCACAGCTCCACTAGGCAGTGCCCCAGTGGAGACCCTGCATGGGGGCTTCAACCTCCCATTTTCCTCCCGCAGTGCCCTAGCAGAGGTCCTCCGTGAGAGCTCCACCGCTGCAGCAAACTTCTGCCTGGACATCCAGGTGAAATCTAGTTGGAGGTTCCCAAACCTCAATTCTTGACTTCAGTGCACCCACAGGCTCAACACCATGTGGAAGCTGCCAAGGCTTGGGGCTTGCACCCTCTGAAGCCATGACCCAAGCTGTACCTTGGCCCCTTTTAGCCATGGCTGGGATGCAGGCACCAAGTCTCCAGGCTGCACACAGCAGGGGGGCCCTAGGCCTGGCCCACAAAACCATTTTTTCTCCCTAGTCTCCAGGTCTGTGATGGGAGGGGCTGCTGCAAAGGTCTCTGACACGCCCTGGAGACATTTACCCCATTGTCTTGGTGATTAACATTTGACTCTTCATTACTTATGCAAACTTCTTCAGCTGGCTCGAATTTCTCCTCAGAAAATGATTTTTTTGGCTGGGCGTGGCGGCTCAGGCCTGTAATCCCAGCACTTTGGGAGGCTGAGGCAGGTGGATCACTTGAGTTCAGGAGTTCGAGACGAGCCTGGGCAAAACCCCATCTCTACAAAAAATACAAAAATTAGCTGGGCACGGTGGCTCACGCCTGTAATCCCAACACTTTGGGAGGCCACGGCAGGCAGATCACTTGAGGTCAGTAGTTCAAGACCAGCCTGGTCAGCCAACATGATGAAACCCTGTCTCTACTAAAAATACAAAATTAGCTGGACGTGGTGGCATGTGCCTGTAATTCCAGTTACTTGGGAGGCTGAGGCAGGAGAATTGCTTGAACCTGGGAGGCAGAGGTTGCAGTGAGCCAAGATCATGCCACTGCACTACAGCCTGGGTGACAGAGCTAGACTCCATCTCAAAAACAAACAAACAAAAAAGAAATGGGTTTTTATTTTCTATCACATCGTCAGGCTGCAAGTTTTCTGAACTTTTATGCTGTGTTTCAGTTTTAAAACTGAATGCTTTTAACAGCACCTACATCACCTCTTGAATGCTTTGCTGCTTAGAAATTTCTTCTGCCAGATACCCTAAATCATCTCCCTCAAGTTCAATGTTCCACAAATCTCTAGGTCAGGGGCAAAATGCCACCAGTCTTTGTGGTAAAACATAGCAAGAGTCACCTTTACTCCAGTTCCCAACAAGTTCCTCATCTCCATTTGAGACCACCTCAGCCTGTATTTCATTGTCCATATCATTATCAGGATTTTGGTCAAAGCCATTCAACAAGTCTCTAGGAAGTTCCATACTTTCCCACACTTTCCTGTCTTCTGAGCCCTCCAAACTGTTCCAGTCGCTACCTGTTACCCAGTTCCAAAGTTGCTTCCACATTTTTGGGTTACTTTACAGCAGCATCTCACTCCCATTACCAATGTACTGTATTAGTCCCTTTTCATGCTACTGATAAAAACATACCCAAGACTGGGTAATTTATAAAGAAAAAGAAGAGATTTAATGGACTCACAGTTCCACATGGCTGGGGAGGCCTCACAATCACAATTGAAGGCAAAAGCCATGTCTTACATGGTGGCAGACAAGAACAGAATGAGAGACTAAGTGAAAGGGGTTTCCCCTTATAAAACCATCAGATCTCATGAGACTTATTCACTACCATGAAAACAGTATAGGGGAAACCACCCCTGTGATTCAGTTATCTCCCACCAGGTCCCTCCTGCAACACATGGGAATTATAGGAGCTACAATTCAAGATGAGATTTGGCTGGGGACACAGCCAAACCATATCAGTTTATAATCCCAGCACTTTGGGAGGCCAAGACAGGATTATCACTTGAGGCCAGAAGTTGGAGACTTACTTGGGCAACATAGGGAGACTTCCTCTCTAAAAGCAAACAAAAAACCAAGTTATCCAGGCATGGTGGCATGTTCCTGTAGTCCTAGCTGTTCCAGAGGCTGAGTTGGAAAGATCACTTGAGCCCAGGAGTTCAAGGCTGCAGTGAACCGTGATTGTGCCACTGTACTCCAGCCTAGGCAACAGAGCGAGGCCCTCTTTCTCTCTCTCTCTTTTTTTAAACAAGGAAGAAAAAAGAAAAGAAAATAGGGTGGTGAGGAGGCTGGCCAAAGTGGTGATAACCTCGTGCACTAGGTCCTAGCAGCTGGTAGCAGGGGAGCCAGGAGGTGTAGCACTCTGCCTGGTAAAGCAGTCTGTCAGGGTCTGTTTGCCTGAGAGTTGACAGGCTGCAAGCACAAAAATATAAAAGGGGGCCAGGGACTTGCTAATCTTGCCGGAGAGTCGGCGCAGCTCAGTGCAAGGACTTGGGAAGGCAGGGAACTTTGAGAGAAGGTAAAAAGGAGGTGGATTCATGGAGAGGGAAGGGGAAAGTTGAGGGTTGGGGAGGTGTGGTGAGGAGCTGAGATCTTGGAGAGACATTCTTCGTTGGCCTAGGGACACCACATAAACACCTCTGTGCATGGTGGGAGGGACCAGCTCCTCCCCAAACACTGTTTAGATTTTGGCCTTGAAAACCATGACTACTAACGTTCCTTGGGTTTTCTGTGAGTGTGACCAGTCTCCTCAGCTCCCAGCTGGCACATAAAGGAGATGTGTTCTTTTCTTGCCGATGTGAGGCTACAGGATCTCATGAGGAACATCCCATGAACAAACAGTACGGCTGAGCCCTCACCTGCGTCTCATCCTAATCTTGGTCCTCCCCCAGCACACTCCCAGCTCTATCGCCTGGAGTTACAGACAAACCCGCAGACCAATGTGAAAAGCCAATTGCCCAGAGAAACCCAGCAGAGTCTTCAGCTACGCCTGACAGTCATCCGGGGTTAAACACCAGCCTGGAATTTTAGCTTCCTGTCCAGGAAAAACCAAATACATAAATCACTTCTCTCTCTCTCTCTTTTTTTTAATGGAGTCTTGCTCTGTCACCCAGGCTAGAGTGCAGTGGTGTGAGCTCAGCTTACTGCAACCTCTGCCTCCCAGGTTCAAGCGATTCTCCTGCCTCAGCTTCCTGAGTAGCTGGGATTACAGGCGCGCACCACCATGCCTGGCTAATTTTTGCATTTTTAGTAGAGACAGGGTTTCACCACGTTGGTCAGGCTGGTCTGGAACTACTGGCCTCGTGATCCACCTGCCTTGGCCTCCCAAAGTGCTGGGATTACAGGTGTGAACCACCACGCCCGGCCTAATAATTCATCTTACTACTAGAATTTCAGGCTTCCTTTTTAATTTGCTTGCTTTCTTGTTGGTCTGTGTCTTGGAACATAGGAACTTTCAATCCCTCCAATATGGGCTCCATCCAAATCTCAAGTTGAACTGTAATTCCCAGTGTTGGAGTGTTGGAGGAGAGGCCTGGTGGGAGGTGATTGGATCATTGGGGCAGATTTCCCCCTTGCTGTTCTCGTGATAGTGAGTGAGTTCCCACGAGATCTGGTTGTTTGAAAGTGTGTAGTAGAGCCGGGCGTGGTGGCTCACGCCTGTAATCCCAGCATGTTGGGAGGCTGAGGTAGGCGGATCACCTGAGGTCGGGAGTTCGAGACCAGCCTGACCAATATGGAGAAACCCCGTCTCTACTAAATACAAATTTAGCCGGCATGGTGGCACATGCCTATAATCCCAGCTACTTGGGAGGCTGAGGCAGGAGAATCACTTGAACCTGAGAGATGGAGGTTGCTGTGAGCCGAGATCACGCCATTGCACTCCAGCCTGGGCAACAAGAGCAAAACTCTGACTCAAAAAACAAACAAACAAACAAAACAAAACAAAAAAACAAAGTGTGTAGTACCTCCCCCTTCACTTTCCCTCTCTCCCACTCCACCGTGTGAAGAAGGTGTTTGCTTCCCCTTGCCCTTCTGCCCAGATTGTAAGTTTCCTGAGGCCTCCCCAAGCATGATTCTTGTACAGCCTGTGGAACTGTGAGCCAATTAAACTTCCTTTCTTCATAAATTACCCAGTCTCAGGTAGTTCTTTATAGCAGTGCTAATACACCCTGTTACAGGACTAATACACCTTCCCTCTGCTAAGTGTCTATTGATCTGAAAACACATGCTATGAAACATTAAAACGCTACCTGAGACCATGTGTTTCTTTTATCAAGTGAGAGATTCCTTTATAATTTGGATAATTTCACTCCGTTTGCAAGTAGGATGCTCTAGAACTGATGTTATAAAGTCAGTTTAATGATTTAAATCCCATTGTGGAGAAAATAGATCTCTGCAGAAAAGTACATCCCTGCCCTTTCCCAGCTCCCCAGTCAAGGGGGGGCTTCCTGCTGAGCCTGGAGAATGCCTCTAAGAAGGTGACTAATGTACCATATCTGGCCCCTAGTGTGGGCAGCAGGCAAGTAGTCAGGTGCCTTCTCAAGTGGAGAAAGTTGAACGCTATTTTCCAGAGACATTGGATGTGAGGGTGATCTGGCTATGACATCTGTCACCCCAGTGATTGCCACTGTTGATTCTGCTGATCTAGCTGGCTAGGTGGTGTCCCCTTCTTCCCTCACCACTCCATGTGCATCCCTCCTGAAGCTGTGTGCTCAGTTGAAGAGGAGGACCATCCCCAATAGAGGAGGACCAGTCTTCGGCTAAGGGTATACGAGTAGCTGCGCTCCCCTGCTAGAATCTCCAAACAAGCTCTCAAGGTCCAGAGACAAGATGTGAACTTCATGTCTCAATTGATGATCACGTGGTTGTGTGGTGGTGCAGATTGTGTTTTTGATGTGCAGCAGGATTTGGGCAGTACAGAGGATGATGTCAGCATATCACCATCATCCTCAGGTGGGGCAGATCATTATGAAGTCCTTGCCTCTGGTTTCCCTGGAGTCTAGGTGAGAGGTGCATGAGATATCCCTTGGGTACCTCCCTCCTCCCCTCAAGGTGAATGTTTCATCAACAAAATCAAGCTAATAGAAGTCTCAGGTTGTCACTTTTGGTGTCTTGAATAGGATATTTGTGTGAGAGCCCCTTTGATTAACCCATTGCCAGCCCCCTCCCACCCTGACCTCTGAACCTTCACAATATCCATCCCTTACCCTCCCCGCTGACCAAGTGGCTCTGGATCCCAGTCAGGCGCTAAAAATCTGCTATTTGTGCTTAGGTTAGCTTTACCCATAGCTGAATGGCTCTGAGGTTCACGGTGGAAGATCTCTAAGGGGGACAGTTTTGCTGCTCCTGGGATGGAATAGGTATGATGGTGATCCATCCACCTGCAAGTTCTGGTTTCCCAGTACGTATATGATTTAGAATTAGAAGCACATAATACATAGCCTTGTTACTGGCACCCCTTCCCCTAATCTTGCTTTCCCTTTGTATTAGGCCATTCTTGCACTGCTATAAAGAAATACTTGAGACTGGGTAATTTGTAAGAAAAGAGGTTTAATTGGCTCACGGTTCTGTAGGCTGTACAGGAAGCATAGCAGCATCTCTTTCTGGGGAGGCCCCAGGAAGCTTTCAATCACGGTGGAAGGTGAAGGGGGAGCAGGGATCTCACATGGCGGGAGCAGGAGTGAGAGAGAGTGATGGTAAAGGTGCTACACCTTTTTAAATGACCATATATCACAGGAACTCACTCACTATGGTGAGTACAGTGCTAAAGGGGATGGTACTAGACCATTTATGAGAAATCTGCCCCCACGATCCAATCACCTCCCACAAGAACCCACCTCCAACATTGGGGATTACATTTCAATATAAGATTTGGGCAGGGACACGGATTCAAACTGTATCACCCTTCATATCATCCTTTATAATACTATGCCAATCTGATCATGGCCAGGTTCAACTTCTTTTTTAAAGGCTTCCCAGAGACTACTGAATCTTATGACCCAAATCTCTTTGCATGGCAGACAACTTGCTGAAGAAAGCCTGTCTGGCTGGGTTCAGTGGCTCACACCTGTAATCACAGCACTTTGGGAGGCCTATTCAGTTTGCGCCTAGGAGTTCAAGACCAGCCAGGGCAACAAAGAGAGACCACTGTTTAAAAAAAAAAAAAATTAGCCAGGCATTGGGGTACATGCCTATAGTCCCAGCTACTGAGGAGGCTGAGGTGAGGGGATCACTTGAGCCCAGGAGGTTGAGGCTGCAGTGAGCTGAGATCACATCACTGTACTCCAGCCTTAGTGTCAGAGTGATACCCTGTCTTGGAAAAAAAAATAAAAAAGAAAGAAAGCCTGTCTGATTTCACGAAAGGTTTTTGCAGGACACGCTTTTAGTTTCCACAAAACAGCCACCCTCTACTTCCTTACTGGCAAAGCTTTCATGAATATTATTTATTTGCCATTTCAGTGCTGCTTTCTCAGATATAGGCATACCTTGGAGATATTGCGGGCCCAGTTCCAGTTCATCACAATAAAGGGAATATCTCGGTAAAGTAAGTCACTAAGTTTTTGTTTTCCTAGTGCACATAAAAGTTATGCTTACACTATATTATGGTCTATTACGTGTGCAATAGCATTATGTCTTAAAGAAGTACATACCTTAATTTTAAAATACTTTATTGCTAAAAAATGATAATGATTATCTGAGCCTTCGGAGAGTTATAATCCTTTTGTGGGTGGAAGGTGTGTTGCTGTCTGATCAGAGTGGGGGCTGCTGAAGCTTAAGTGGCTATGGCAATTTCTTAAATTAAGACAACAACGAAGTTTGCCACATCGATTCACTCTTCCTTTTGTGAGAGATTTCTCTGTAGCATGTGATGCTGTTTGATACATGTTACCCACAGTAAAACTTCTTTTGAAATTGGAGTCAATTCTCTCAGACCCTGCTGCTTCTTTATTAACTAAGTTTATGTAATATTCTAAGTCCTTTGTTGTCATTTCAACAATGTTCATAGCATCTTCAACAGGAGTAGATTCCGTCTCAAGAAACCACTTTCTTTGCTCATCCACAAGAAGCACTTCCTCATCTATTCAAATTTTATCATGAGATTGCAGCAATTCAGTCACATCTTCAGGCTCCACTTCTAGTTCTCTGGCTTTTTCTACCACATCTGCAGTTACCGAAGTCAGGAACCCCTCAAAAGTCATTCATGAAGGTTTGCACCAAACTTCTTCCAAACTTTTGTAAATGTTGATATTTTGACCTCCTCCCGTGAATCACAAGTGTTCTTTTTTTTTCTTTCTCTCTCTCTCTTTTTTTTTTTTTTTTTTTTTTTTTTGAGACAGAGTCTTACTCTTGTTGCCCAGGCTGGAGTGCAGTGGTGCGATATCAGCTCACTGCAACCTCTGCCTCCCAGATTCAAGCAATTCTCCTGCCTCAGCCTCCCAAGTAGCTGGGATTACAGGCCTCTGCCACCAGGCCTAGCTAATTTTTGTATTTTTAGTAGAAATGGGGTTTCACCATGTTGGCCAGGCTGGTTTCAAACTCCTGACCTCAGGTGATCCACCTGCCTCGGCCTCCCAAAGTGCTAGGATTATAGGAGTGTGTCACCATGCCTGGCTAATTTTATATTTTTAGTAGAGATGGGGTTTCACCATGTTGGCCAGGCTGGTCTGGAACTCCTAACCTCAGGTGATCCACCCACATCGGCCTCCCAAAGTGCTGGGATTACAGGTGTGAGCTACCGTGCTCAGCTCACAAGTGTTCTTAATGGCATCTAGAATGATGAATGCTTTCCAAAAGATTTTCAATGTATTTTGCCCAGATATGTCAGAAAAATCACTATCCATTGCAGCTATAACCTTACAAAATTTATTCTTAAATAATAAGACTTGAAAGTTGAAATCACTCCTTGATCCATAGGCTGCAGAATGGACACTGTGTTACCAAGCATGAAAACAACATTTATCTCCTTGTATCTCTGCATCAGAGCTCTTGGGTGGCCAACTACATTGTCAATGAGCAGTAATATTTTGAAAGAAATCTTTTTTTTCCTGAGCAGTAGGTCTCTCAACAGTGGGCTTAAAATATTCAACAAACCATGCTGTAAACAGATATGCTGTCATCCAAGCTTTGTTGTTCCATTTATAAAACACAGGCAGAGTAGATTTAGCATAATTCTTAAGAGCCAGAGGGTTTTCAGAGTGGTAAATGAGGATTAGCTTCAACTTAAAGCCATCAGCTATATTAGCCTCTAACAAGAGAGTCAGACTGTCCTTTGAAGCTTTGAAGCCAGGCAGGCATTGACTTTTCCTCTGTAGCTATGAATGTCCTAGATGGCCTCTTCTTCCAATATAAAGCTATTTTATCTACATGGAAAATCTGTTGTTTAGTGTAGTCACCTTCACCAATTATCTTGGCTAGATCTTCTGGATAACTTGATGCAGCTTCTTCATCATCACTTGCTGCTTCACCTCGCACTTTTATGTTATGGAGCTGGCCTTCTTTGGTTTGGGTGGCAAGGAGAGAAGGTTGGGGTTTGTTTTTGACATACAAATCACTTTTTAAAACTTCAACAATAACAAATTAATACTGTGTTTGTGTGTGTATGTATGTGTGTGTGTATGTGTTTAAGAGAGATAGAAAATAAATGTTTCTTATTGTTTGAAGCTACTTACTTTTGGGGCAATTTATTATGCAGCAATAGATAACAAACACAATGGATTTTCACCAAATTTTAAGGTTTGTTTTTTTTTAATTAAAAAATGACTTAAAATATATGCTATGTGGCATACAGCGTATCTAATTTAGTGGTTCTGTGGTATCACCTCAAAGAAATTAGCAGTTTTACACCAGAGCAAATTAAAGTGATGTATAATGTGAGGCTTGGAAAGATAGTCTATGCCTTTTAAGATATTGTGAATATAGAAAACAAACAGAAATTGCAAGTAGGAACCTTATATAGGAAGTTATAACTGTGAGCACTTCAAATTACAATAACTAATTTGCCATCCGGCTGCTTCTTACATGGGCAACTCCATAGAACCATTCTTAAGGCTCATTACAAACATACTTATTTATGTCAGTTGGTAACCGGGAACAACATAGGGTTCAGCTAGTCTTTGACACAAAAATATCATTAATTTGTTGTGGGAAGTCAGGGACCCTGAATGGAGGGACCAGCTGGAGCCAAGGCAGAAGAACATAAATTGTGAAGATTTCATGGACATTTAGCAGTTCCCCAAATTAATACTTTTATAATTTCTTACACCTGTCTTTACTGCAATCTCTGAACATAAATTGTGAAGATTTCATGGATATTTATCACTTCCCTAATACTCTTATAATTTCTTATGCCTGTCTTTAATCTCTTAATCCTATTATCTTCATAAACTGAGAATGTACGTCACCTCAGGACCACTATTGTACAAATTGGTTGTAGAACATGTGTGTTTGAACAATATGAAATCTGATTGTAAAACATGTGGGTTTGAACAATATGAAATCAGTGCACTCTGAAAAAGAACAAAGTAACAGCAATTTTCAGGTAACAAGAAAAGATAACCATAAAGTCTGACTGCTTGCAGGGTTGGGCAGAATAGAGCCATATTTTTCTTCTTGCAGAAAGCCTATAAACAGATGTGCGAGGAGAAATATCGCTGAATTCTTTTCCCAGGAAGGAATAACCCTGGGGAAGGAATGCATTCCTCGGGGGAGGTCTGTAGATGGCTGCTCTGGGAGTGTCTGTCTTATGTGGTTGAGATAAGGACTGAAATATGCCCTGGTCTCCTGCAGTACCCTCAGGCTTACTAGGATTGGGAAATTCCAGCCTGGTAAATTCTAGTCAGACCGGTTCTTTGGTCTCGAACCCTGTTTCCTGTTAAGATGTTTATCAAAACAATACGTGCACAGCGGGACATAGACCCTCATCAGTAATTCTAATTTTGCCTTCGCTTTGTGATCTTTATTGCCCTTCGAAGCATGTGATCCTTGTGGCTTACTCCCTGTTCGTACATCCCCTCCCCTTTTAAAATCCCTAATAAAAACCTGCTGGTTTTGCAGCTCGGGGTTGTCATCACGGTCCTACCAGTATGTGATGTCACCGCTGGAGGCCCAGTTGTAAAATTTCTCTCTTTGTACTGTTTCTCTTTATTTCTCAGACCAGCCGACACTAAGGGAAAATAGAAAAGAACCTACATTGAAATATTGGGGGCTGGCTCCCTCTATAATTTGTCTTCATACTTCATGGGGTTTTATGAAGGTCAAAGTAAATAATGTGAGGTTTTGGCAACACAAAAGAACTATACAGATGTATCACTGTGATTATATATCAATCAAGAAAGGTCAGCCAGGCGTGGTGGCTCACGCCTGTAATCACAGCGCTTTGGGAGGCTGAGGCAGGCAGATCACGAGGTCAGGAGATCGAGACCATCCTGGCTAACACGATGAAACCCTGTCTCTACTAAAAATACAAAAAATTAGCTGGATGTGGTGGCACGTGCCTGTAATCTCAGCTACTTAGCAGGCTGAGGCAGGAGAATTGCTTGAACCTGGGAGGCGGAGGTTGCAGTGAGCCGAGATCATGCCACTGCACTCCAGCCTGGCAACAGAGCGAGACTCTGTCACAAAAAAAAAAAAAAAAAAGTCAAGTTTTGCCATGGTTAAAAAAATCTTTACTTTTTTTTTTGAGACAGAGTCTCACTCTGTCTCTCAGACTGGAGTGCAGTGGCATGATCTTGGCTCACTGCAACTTCTGCCTCCTGGGTTCAAGCAACTCTCCTGCCTCAGCCTCCTGAGTAGCTGGGATCACAGGCACCTGCCACCACCCCCAGCTAATTTTTGTATTTTTAGTAGAGATGGGTTTTCACTATATTGGCCAGGCTAGTCTTGAACCCCTGACCTCAAGTGATCTACCTGCCTCAGACTTCCAGAGTACTGGGATTACAGGCTTCAGCCACCATGCCTGGCCAAAAATCTTAAGATGTTTACAACATCCAAGATTTATTTTTGCTCATGCTATATGTATTCATTGCAGGTTGGCTATGGCCCTGTCCATGTCATCTCACACCAGGACCCAGATGGCAGAGCTGGAGCAGTGACAGGTGTCATGAGAGGAGAAAGAGTCATGGAGAACCACACACTGGCCTTTGAAGCTATTTCCTGGAAGTGATATATGTTGCTTCTGCTCACATTTGATTGGCCACAGAAGGTCACATAGCCAAACCTGATGCCAAGGAGTGAAATAATGTAATCTTCCCATATTTTTGCATTTTCTATTGTTCTTTCTTTCTTCCTGATGCTCCAAGATTTCTTCTTTATCCTCTCCTGTTTGTCTCAAGAGTTCCTTTTAGGCTAGGTGTGGTGGCTTACACCTGCAGTCCCAGCACTTTGGGAGGCTGAGACAGGAAGATCACCTGAGGCCAGGAGTTTGAGAGTAGCCTGGGCAGCATGGTGAGATCCTGCTTCTACACGCACACATGCACACACACACACACATACAGAAAAGAAAGAAAGAAAGAGAAAGAAAGAAAGAAAGAAAGAAAGAAAGAAAGAAAGAATTTCTTTTAGCCATTCTTTTAGGGTAGGTCTGCTGATGACAAATTCTTTTCATTTTCCTTCTCCTAAGAATGTCTTGATTTCCCCTTCATTCATGAAGGGTATTTTTGATGGCTACAGGATACTGGGCTGACAGTTATTTTCCTTTGGCACTTGAAAAAAATGTCATTTCCTTTTGGTTTTCATGGTTTCTGAAAAGCAATCTTCTGTCATTTGGATTGTTTTTCCTCTACAAATACTGTGTCATTTCTGATTGGTTTCAAGATTTTTTAGTTTCCAGAAGTTTAATTATGATGTGCCTCTGCATGGATTTCTTTGGGTTTATTCTGTTTGGGATTTGCTTAGCATCTTGAATCTGTTATGTTTTTTCCCCCTAAATTTAGGAAAATTTTTAGCCATTATTCCTTTCAATTCTTTTTCAGCTCCATCCTGTTTCTCCTCTCCTTCTGGGACCCCAATAACATGAATGCTAGATCTTTTGTTACAGTCACATAGTTATGTTCATTGTGGTCTGAGGTTACGTTCATTTTTTTCCTATCTATTTTCTCCCTGTTGTTCAGATTGGATGAATTCTGTTGTTCTATCTTCAAGTTTACTGAGTCTTTTCTCTGTCCTCTCCATTCTGCTGTTGTGCCCATTCGGTGAATTTTAAATTTTTATTATGGCATTTTTCAGTTCTAAAATTTCCATTTGATTCTTCTTTATATCTTCTATTTCTTTTCTGAGACTTCTCCCTTTTTTATTTGTTTCAATCATATTTACAATGACTTGTTGAAACATTTTTTATGACGGCTGCTTCCTTGTCAGATAATTGCAACATCTGTGTTATCGTGATATTGACATCTGTTGTCTTTTCTTATTCTGGTTGAGATTTTCCTGGTTCTTGGTATGGCAAGTGATTTTCAATTGCATCCTGGACATTTGGATATTATGTTATGAGACTCTGGATCCTATTTATTAATTTATTTTGAGACAAGGTATCACTCTGTCACCCAGTCTGGAGGAGTGTAGTAGTGCAATCTTGGCTCACTGAAATCTCTGCCTCCTAGCTCAGGTGATCCTTCCGCCTCAGCCCCCCAAGTGGCTGGGACTACAGGCATGTGCCACCACACCTGGTTAATTTTTGTATTTTTTGTAGAGACAGGGTTTTACCATGTTGTCCAGGCTGTTCTCAAACTCTTGAGCCCAAGTGATCCACCCAACTTGGCCTCCTAGAGTGTTGGGACTACAGGTGTGAGCCATTGCACCCAGCCTCTGGATCCTATTTAAATCTTCTATTTTATCAAGCCTCCTTGATACCACACTAACAGAAGGGTGTGTGTGTGTGTGTGTGTGTGTGTGTGTGTGTGTGTGTGTTAGGGGGTGTTGTCTGGTTCCTGCTGAGTGAGAGGTGAAGGCTTAGGTTCCTCACTTGGCTTCCATTGGTGGGGGTAGGAAACCTCAGTCCTGCTGGGTGCAGATGAGTTTTTGGGCTACTCTCTAGGCCTCTGCTGATATCATTCTGGCTAGGAGCGGGAGGGGTACCACTAGCCATGTGGTTGCCACTGATAACCTGGGGGTAAGGTGGAGGGACAGAGGCTTTATCACCACTGGATGATGGTACAAGTTCCAGCTTTCCTCTTGGCTTCCTCTACTCAGAAGGAGTGAGAGGAACACCTCACTACCACTGAGGGTGAAGAGGAAATCCAGGACCCCATGTTACCTCCACTGACACTGTGGGGTATGCTTTTCACCGTTAGTGTGAATAAATGTCTGGGCTTTTGAGATATCTTTTCAGATTTTTTTCTATGTCTGACGACTTATGGCTCCAACTGGATCCTCCAACTGCTCCTGTGGCCCCACCCAGAAGTGACTCAGCATGTATGAGGACCATTTCCCACACCCCTATGATTGCAACCAATCAGCAGCAAGCACCCATTGCCTAGCTACTCCCCTTCTTCCCCCAAACTATCCTTGGAAAACCCTAGTCTCAGAATTTTTTCTAAGAGGCTGATTTGAGCATAATAAGACTCCAGTCTTCTCCTTCGCCAGCTCTACATGTGAAAAACTCTTTCTCTACTGCAATTCCCCTGCCTTTATAAATTGGCTCTATCTGGGCAGCAGGCAAGAAGAACCCATTGGACACTTACAGTCCCAACAGTTTTAAGTTCCACTTCTCCCAACAGTAAGTAATCTGCTCATTAACACACGCTTTATTGGCTCTTCTCCCTTCCCTGTCTCACTCTTCCCAGCCCTTCACTCAGTGCCCCTCCTAAATAAACTACTTATATCCAAGTACTTGTCCCAGGATGTGCTTTTGGAGAAACCTAAAATAAAACAGTAATTTTTGTGGCTATTCATACCTATTAATGGACATTTAACTACTTACCTTTCCTTTTCTTATTTATTTATTTCTGTATTTATTTACTCATTTTTGAGACACAGTCTCACTCTGTGGTCCAGCCTGGAGTACAGTGGTATGGCTCACTGCAACCTCCATCTCTCAGGCTCAAATGATCCTCTCACCTCAGATGCCTGAGTAGCTGCGATCACAGATGTGCACCACTACACCTGGCTAATTTTCGTATTTTTTTGCAGAGACGGGGCTTCACCATGTTGCTCAGGCTGTTCTCAAACTCCTGGCCTCAAGTGATTTGCCTACCTTGGCCTCCCAAAATGCTAGGATTGTCAGAGGCGTGTGAACCACAGCAATCCCATCTTAAATAAGAGCTGGGTAAAATAAGGCTGAAACCTACTGGGCTGCATTCCCACATGGTTAAGGTATTCTAAGTCACAGGATGAGACAGCAGGCCAGCACAAAATATAGGTCATAAAGACATTGCTGATAAAGCAGTTTTCAATAAAGGAGCCAGCCAAAACCCACCAAAACCAAAATGGCGATGAGAGTGACCTCTGGTCATCCTCACTGCTACACTCCCACCAGCGCCATGACAGTTTACAAATGCCATGGCAATGTCAGCAAGTTACCCTATATGGTCTAAAAAGGGGGGCTGGGTGCCCTGGCTCACGTCTGTAATCCCAGCACTTTGGGAGGCCGAGGTAGGCAAATCACTTGAGGCCAGGAGTTCGAGACCAGCCTGGCCAACATGGTGAAACCTTGTCTCTACTAAAAAAAAATACAAAAATTAGCCAGGCCTGGTGGTGCACGCCTGTAATTCCAGCTACTCAGGGGGCTGAGGCAGAAGAATCACTTGAACCTGGGAGGTGGAGGTGGCAGTAAGCTGAGATCTCACCACTGCACTCCAGCCTGGGCAGCAAGAGTGAAACTCCATCTCAAAAATAAATAAATAAATAAAATAAAAAATAAAAAGGGGAGGCATGAATAATCCAGCCCTTGTTTAGCATATCATCAAGAAATAACCACAAAAACGGGCAACCAGCCGCCCTCAGGGCTGCTCCATGGAGCAGCCGTTCTTGTAATCCTTTACTTTCTTAATAAACTTGCTTTTACTTTGCACTGAGGACTCACCCAGAATTCTTTCTTGTGCGAAATCCAACAACCCTCTCTTGGGGTCTGGATTGAGACCCCTTTCCTGTAACAGGATTACAGCCGTGCGCCACCTCACCTGGCCTTTTTTTTTTTTTTTTGAGATGGAGTCTTGCTCTGTCGCCCAGGCTGGAGTGCAGTGGTGCGGTCTTGGCTCACTGCAAGCTCCGCCTCCCCGGTTCACGCCATCCTGCCGCTTCAGCCTCCTGAGTAGCTGGGACTACAGGGGCCCGCCACCACGCCCGGCTCGTTTTTTTGTATTTTTAGTAGAGACGAGGTTTCACCGTGTTAGCCAGGATGGTCTCGATCTCCTGACCTCGTGATCCGCCCACCTCGCCCTCCCAGAGTGCTGGGATTACAGGTGTGAGCCAGGGCGCCTGGCCTCACCTGGCCAATTCTTGATTCTATCCTGTAAACTGTCCTTGGAGTTTTCCCCAGGTGACTGCCCTCTGACTTCTTCACTTTGTGAATCAGTCCTTCACATCTTCCTCTCTTAGTAGCCCAGAAACCCCAGGTTCTAACTTCCTTGTGACACAGGAGTTAAGAAGAAATTACTTAGGTAGACAGTGAGGTTACCGAAGTTCTTGGTAAGGTTTCTCTTTTAATGGAAAGCAGGCCCAAATCATTTTTCCTTCTAACAAAGAGCAGCCTGTAAAATCGGGCTGCAGACATAGATGACGGCAGTTGTGCCAATCATGTTCAAAATGGCGGCCCCATCATCCCTTCTCTGTCAGCCACAGGTGCAGTAAGGAGCCGACAAAATGGCACCCTCCGAGAGAGTTCATTTGCATAATAAGCTTAGGGTGGGGCGGCCAGCCTTCCCAGCTATGTAAACAAACACCTGATCAAACCAATCTGTGAGTCCTAAGTAAATCAGACGCCGCCTCCTCAAGCTGGACTATAAATTCGGCTCATCTGCCTCCAGCTGCCCCTTTTCTCTCGGAAGTCCCCTCTCTCACTAGAGAGAGAGCTGTTTTCCTTTCTCTTTCTTTTGCCTATTAAACCTTCCCTCTTAAACTCCTCGCGACTCCTCGCGTGTGTCCGTGTCCTACATTTTCCTGGCATGGGATGGCAAACCCCGGGTATTTACCCCAGACAACTGGCTGCTTCACTTGCACTGGATCTTGAGGGTCGGGGAGATTTTTGACCTTTAACAGGGACTCCATCATTGCAAGTTTTCCTTGGAGACTCTTGATGGCCCAGGTTTAGTTTATACCTACTGTGAGAGCAAGAACTTGAGTAATGTATGGATGGACCTTTTTGGAAGGAAAACAATTTTCATGGACTTAAATTATTTTTATAATTTAAATGTGTGGAAACACAACTAACTATGAATTCCTTATGCTTCAGTAGTTAAGCAGTTATAAAACCAAAGCAAAGTAGCCATAGGTACAAACAAAAGTATAAAGACAAGTTTAACATTAATGTAATAAATAGTGTTTTTCTGAAATGAAGTTGCTGCTGGCAACAGACCATGTACTGCCTGATGAAGGTTCTTCCGCACTTGGCACAATATTCCACTGTGTGCCTGGCGATGACTCAATTCTTCCCCTTCTCATGTCTGTTCAAATTACTAAGAAATCTTTGTTAGAACTTGTCTCCTGGCCTTCACTTGGTACAAATGCGACCAAGACAATTAAAGCTATAAATAGGTAAATGCAAATGCAGGTACTCACAAGCAGGGCCAGGATCAGTTACAAATGACCCAAAACATGCTTATAACACTTTTCAAATGCTACTAAGGAAAGTTAGACATGGAACTTAATAGTTTTCACAGGTATTCACGAGTCCTCAGGAGTCCAGAGACCTCAGTTTGAGAACACTATCCTAGCACTGACCTTGACTTCCAGGGTGACCTTGAGGTAAGCATTTACCATTTTTGGATCTCTGTACATTTTTTGTACACAAGAATAATTTGGGCCACCAGTGTTCTTGGGAGATAAAAGAAGTTAGAGGAGTTAATGACAATGTTCCAAGATGTTCAAGGACTAGAGAGAAAGGATAAGAATGTATTATAGACCTCTAGAGTTGGAAAAAGAATGGTGGCTGAGATCCTCCAGCCTAGCTTTGGCTCTGTAATCAAAAAGACTCAGATTTGGGCCAAGCATTGTGGCACACGCCTGTAATCTCATTACACTGGGAGGCTGTGGCAGAAGGATCGCTTGAGGCCAGGAGTTTGAGACTAGCCTACGTAACATGGTGAGACCCTATCTCTACCAATCTCTACATACAAACAAAAAATGGCTGGGCGTGGTGGCTCATGCCTGTAATCCCAGCACTTTGGGAGGCGGAGGCGGGCGGATCACGAGGTCAGGAGTTCAAGATCAGCCTGGCCAACATGGTGAAATCCTGTCTCTACTAAAAATACAAAAATTAGCTGGGTGTGGTGGCGGGCACGTATAATCCCAGCTACTCTCAAGGCTGAGGCAGGAGAATCGTTTGAACCCGGGAGGCAGAGGTTGCAGTGAGCCGAGAGCGTGCCATTGCACTCCAGCCTGGGCAACAGGGCGAGACTCTGTCTCAAAAAAATAAAAATAAAAAATAACAGGACATGATGGTGCCTGAGCCCCAGCTATTTGGGAGGCTGAGGTGGGAGGATGGCTTGAGAGGTTGCATTGAGTTATAATTGTACCCCTGCACTCCAGCCTGGGTGACAGAGAGCTTGTCTCTATAAAACAAATAAACAAACAACTGAGATCTGAATTCCAGATCTGCCATTTACTGTGTGTGTATGGGGGATGGGGATGGAGAGCAACTTTTCTAACTCTCAGTTTCTACCCTAAGTGGGCATGTTTCAAAATGCCACATCACAGAACTGCTGTGTGGGCCAAATGAGATGGCTCTGGAAAGCGCTGAGAGCAGAGCCTGGCTCACAGCAAGGCTCAGGGATCCTAAGACGCTGCTGAGAATTCCACAGGCTTTTTAGCAAAGGACAATAGAAAAGAGAAAGTGAAGATTCTAACATTCTGCCTATAAATGACAACATCTCCTATATGTGCAAATTAGGTCATTGTACCCTAAATAGCCCCGCAGCTGCCCTGGGCTTCCAGTCAGCCTTTCTGACCTCTCTCTTGGGTCTGCTGCTTTGGGGTGCTTCCTGCCATTCCCTGCCCAAGCCTGAATCTCTTTCCTGGCCGCTTTCACTTTCCTTCCATTTTCCAGTAATTGGAGTTGGTCACCTGTGCAGCAAGCGCCCCCAAGTGGCCTTCCTGTTCACTGTCCGGACCATAAGGCCTAAAGAATACTCCGATAAGTTTATCAAGGCCGGGCTTCCGCAGAGGCAGGACTCACCAGGCTTAGCGGTCGGTCCAGGGTCGGTCCAGTCTGGAGGCCCAGGGAGCCATTCTACATCCCCCTTTCCATTTTGGAAGACTGAGATGGAGGAATCCAGGGGAAGTTCTGGGTAGGAAGCAGCCACTTGCCATTAAGTGGCAATTAAATTGCTATTGCAATTTAAGGTAAATCGCAGCCCCTCTGGGCCTAGTTTTCTTTTTTCTCACTCTTTTTTTGGCGATAGAGTCTTGCTCCGTCACCCAGGCTGGAGTGTAGTGGTGTGATCATAGTTACTGTTACCTCGAACTCTGGGGCTCAAGCCATCCTCCTGCCTCAGCTTCTGGGTAGGTGGGATTACAAGGTTTTCTTTTTATGAGAGCCCTGCCCCACTCATGTCAGAGGGCCCTGAGGAGGCAAACACAGGATGGTTGAAAATGCTAGTAAAACACCTAGGATGTGCACTGCTGTCCTGGCTGGAGGCTTAGGGGGAGCACCATGGGACGTACACAGGATAAAGTGGGATTAACTCCTCCCTCCCCTCAGCCATTACTCTGAACTCTGCATCCCACATGCTGCTGCCAAAAACCACTTTTAAAAGAACACAAATCTAAACATGTCATTTCCCAGCTCAAAACCCCAAGGTTCTTTCTCCTCACCTTCAGAATAAGCCAAACTACTCAATGATAGGTTCCAAATCTGCCTTTCTGGTTTCACTCATGGGATGGACCCTTCTTCCAGGTGAGGCTGCATTTGGACATAGCCATATTCACGCCTCCCTGCCTTGGCTCCTCCGCTTCTCTGGCCAGGAATGGCCTTGCCTCATCTCTGCAAATCTTAGCATGACTTAAGGCCCAGTTCAAGCTCCAGCTCCTCCCTGAGGTCTTCCTGAGTCTTGTCTCCTGTCCCACTCAGGAGGACCTGGCCTCCTCCTTCCCTGGGTTCCCATGACCCTTTCCAGCTCTGCCTGTAGCACGGTGTTCTGTCTTCTGTGACTACATATATACGCCTAACACTCTCTAGATTGTAAAGG
This sequence comes from Homo sapiens, assembly GCF_000001405.40. NCBI lineage: Eukaryota > Metazoa > Chordata > Mammalia > Primates > Hominidae > Homo > Homo sapiens. The sequence goes on from NT_167245.2 coordinate 2,135,282, forward strand.
CCTGGAAGGTGGGGAGTGGGTTCCATTACTGAATGCATCTTTCATAGCTCTCGCTGTCAGAGCCCTGCCCTATGCAAACTCTTTTATTTTTATTTATTTATTTATTTATTTATTTATTTATTTATTTATTTTGAGAGGGACTTTCACTCTTGTCTCCCAGGCTGGAGTGCAATGGCGCATTCTCAGCTCACTGCAACCTCCACCTCTCGGGTTCAAGCGATTCTCCTGCCTCAGCCTCCCAAGTAGCTGGGATTACAGGTAACCGCCACCATGCCTGGCTGATTTTTTTGCATTTTTAGTAGAGACAGGGTTTCACCACGTTGGTCGGGCTGGTCTCGAACTCCTGACTTCAGGTGATCTGCCTGACTCGGGCCTCCCAAAGTGCTGGGATGATAGGCATGAGCCACTGCACCTGGTGCCCTATGCAAACTCTTATTTTATTATTATTATTTTTTGAGACAGAGTCTCCCTCTGTCACCCAGGCTGGAGTGCAGTGGTGTGATCTTGGCTCACTGCAACCTCCACCTCTCAGGTGCAAACAATTCTCCTGCTTCAGCCTCCCAAGTAGCTGGGGTTACAGACGCGCACCACCACACCCAGCTAATTTTTTTCTATTTTTAGTAGAGATGGGGTTTCACCATGTTGGCTAGGCTGATCTCAAACTCCTGACCTCAGGTGATCCACCCACCTCGGCCTCTCAAAGCAAACTCTTAATAACAACTGTTGTGGAATGACTTGGGAGGTGGCACTCAGAGATCCCAAGTGACACATGAGAAGTCCACAGAGAGAGATCATGTTTAGTGGAGTTTGGATGGTTGCTTTTATCAGTGGGCCTGTACCTTACAGATGCTATCTCATTATCTTCTAAACAGACTCTGGGCCAGTGACCATTATCTCCCTCTTACTGATGTAGACTCAGCCAAGAGAAGCCAGATGTTGAGTCGGAACCTTAACTCTCCCTCTCAGACGCAGAGCCCTGCTTTCTCCCCTCCCATTTGATACTCTGCTTCCTCTTGCATGCTGTGAGAGGCGGCCTCATTACTCCTCTTCCCTCCTCCAGTCCCTCCAAGCCTAATTCATCACCTTTGGCTTTGGGATCATAGTTTCCAAACCAAGGATTGTCTGAACATTGTCTGACAATGCCCTTTTTTTTTTTTTTTTTAGGCAGGGTCTTGCTCTGTTGCCCAGGCTGGAGTGCAGTGGTGCAATCATGGCACACTGCAGCCTTGACCTCCTGGGCTCAGGTGATCCTCCCACCCAGCCTCCTGGTGCGCATCACCACATCCAGCTAATTTTGGTATTTTTTGTAGAGATGGGGTTGTGCCATGTTGCCCAAGCTGGTCTCGAACTTCTGGGCTCAAGCGATCAGCCCTCCTTGGCCTCCCAAAGTGCTGGGATTATAGGCATGAGCCACCGCAACTGGCACCATTGCCATTGGTATTTAAGAGGTGATGGTTTAGGCTTTGAAATTGGGGTTGTTTGTGAAAACCGAGAGCACCTTTTGTTTTCAGATATTTCCTATGGCCATTGGTGTAATTGGAGGGAAGCTCTCGCCATATATAATATTTTTGAGACAGCCAACTAAGAAACTGGGATTCTGGTTCTCTCCAGGGTGCAAAATCCTGGGAGAAGGAAGTGAATTCTCAGGGGCCCAGAAGGAGTCTCTAAAGGACCTCTGCCAGTCAATTCTAATCTCTCTTCTCCCCTGCAAATCAGCCCCTGCTTCTGCCTCTTTCTCCGCCTCTCCTAGATTCTCCCCCTCTGGAGGGCCTGAGCTCCCGGCCACCACCCCCAATGCCGCTTTCTGTTTCCTCTGCCTCCCTTCATCTCCTTTTGTCTGGGGTTTCTTTGTCTGGGGTCTCCCTTTGGTTCTGTTTCACAGTTCTCAGCCTCCCCTCCCTTTCTCCACAGCCAGGCTGCTCAGTCCCTCTCTGCGGGGGCCTAGAGGCTCGGTGAGGGGAGCGGGACTTGGTTGCCATGGTCACATTGAAGCCAGCCGCAGCTGGCCCGGGCAGCTGCTCCTCCTGGGCCCGGGGCCCCGGACGCTCGGACAAAGCCAGGCAGCGTTGGCAGCCCCAGACCCGACCCCAAAGGCCTGAGACTGGGGTGACTGGGACCTAAGAGAATCCTGAGCTGGAGGTGAGAGGGGGGAAGCCAGAGATGAACTGGGAGGGCAGGAGTGGGCACTGGAGCTGGGCCCTCCCCTTGTGGGCAGGGACCAGGCGGTCCCCGGCTGGAGGCTGGAGGTGTGTTGGGAGGAGGGGAGCGGCCCAGAGCCTGGCAGGGAGGAGGGGAAAGAGAGGGAATAGAGTTGGGTGCCATGGTGTGGTGAATGGGCTGAGGGACTAGGGTGTCCCCAATGGGGGACCGTTGTCCAGAAACAGGTTAGATTCTCTCTTTGGTCCTCATGTCCCCATCTGTCCCGCAGGTGCCTCTTCCTTTCTCAGCCTTTTATACTTCTCATCTCCCCGTGTCCCTTAGCTTCACACTCTGCGCCCCAGTCTCCCTCCTCTTTCCCTCCACTCTCTGTTTCACTCCAGCCCCTTCTTCCCTTGTCCTTGCTTCTTGTCCCCTTGATCTGTCTGCCCAGCTCTCAAGCCTCCTCAGTTCCCTGCCTTCCTCTCTTAGGAGTTTGTTTCCAACACTGTTTCCTTCCCGAGTCCACTTCAGTTCCTTCATCCAGTTCAGCCCTTTTCTTCCCAAACTTCAGTCTCCTCCTCTGAGCCCCTGGGGCTTCCCACCTTTTGCTGTGTGTGCCCTGTCTTCATCCTCCTTTTCCTCTCTCAGACCTGTCTCCTTGGCCTTGACCTCAGTCCATCTCCGTCTCTCTGGGAATTCTCTCACCATTGTCCCCATCTGACCATCAGCCTCCTCTCCCTCTTCTGGTCCCTTGCCCTTTTCTTCCCCAACCACAGCTGAGCTGTTTCATCTCTCTCCCAGAGCTACGTCATCTCAATCTCCTCCTTCGCTCCCTGGCCTCAGTTTCCAGTTTATTCAGTGGCATCAGGTCTGACTCACACCCAAAGCCTTGTACACTCCTTCACCCTGCCCCCCACCCATCGCTTCTTACTCTCCCCAGCTGCTGACCCAGCCTGCTCCTCCAGAGGCAGCTGCAGCTCCCGGAAGGGGACTGCAGCTAGTGTATGTGTGGGGGCCCATCTGGTCCGTCCTCTCGCTCGCTGGTCGTGCTGGGCTTCCCTCCTGTGGCCAGGTGGTCTGCAGGCCTGAAGCTGCCTTCTCCCCTCTCCTACGTGCCTCTCCTCACATTTTTTCAGCTGTTTCCCATCCTCTCCTTCCTGGGCAGCAGGCTGCCACTGGCTTGAAGGGGAGGGAAGCCCAGGATGGGAGGGGATGGTAGAGGGTCATTTGGGGGTTCTCGGGGACACAGGGGGCCTCTGGGGTTCGGAGTGATGCAGGAGATGTGGAACGGGCTCTGGGGACCACGGATGGGTAATCAGGCCCTCTTGGTCTTTGGTGCTGCTCTCTGGGCCCCAGGATGGCTGGGATTTCCCTCTCAGGCCCCTGGGAATCTCGGCTCCGAGTCCCGCATTCCAGCTGGCTCCAGCTCCCTTTCCGTTGTCACTTGACTCCACTGGGCCCCAGCCTTGCATCCCTCCCACTCCTCCAGCCTGGAGCTGGGGCGAGGTGGGCATCACCACTAGGAATTTCTCCTGAGGCAGTGAGAAGAGGGGACAAAGGTTTCAGGACTCTCTAGCTCCTTCTGCTCTCCCCAGTGGACCCCTCTGTCTGGCACTGCCATGCCACTTAGCTGGGGTCAGCGTGGGCCTGGGGTGTGGAATGTCCCACCAGGGTATGACGGGCTGTAGCTTGCCTGGCAGGCCTGTTGGGGCTTTCCCAGAGCACAGCTCCTGGAAGGAGGGGCTGTGGGCTGCCAGGTGAGGTGACTTGGGAAGCCTTGGCCCCACCCCCAGGCTGGCCCCACCCCCAGTCCAGCGTCTCCTGGGCCTAGATTCCCCAGCTGCTGTCTCTGGAGGGGTAGGTGTTCTGGGGGAATGAATCCCTGGGGGCTTGGTGGGACAGGAAGGCGGGAAGAAGCTGCTCTTCGAGTGACCCTGGGGCTGTCTGTTAGCAGGTCCCTCAGCCGTTGGAACGTCCTTGGGCTTCTGAACTAGTGCCCATGTGTGCCTCGGCCTTTCCCAAGGGCCAGCTTCTTCCTGGTAGTGCTTTTGTGTACTTGTCTGGTTGGGACTTCGTGTTTCTTTCTTGGGATTGTTGTCTGGGACTGCAAGCAGGGTATGTTTTTATCTACTGTGAGGTTCCTGGGGCGGAGATGTGCAGTGGAGCGAGAACTTCCTGTGACCGTGACATTGTCTAGGTGGTGAGCAGGTGTGGGGGTGTGGAGAGAGGTGAGGGGCTGAGGTAGTGCTGAGTGGGGAAAAAGCACCTCCCACCACAAGCTGTTCTGTCCGGCTCCATCCTCTGCCCAGTAGCTCTCTCAGTTGCTTTGCCTACTCAGTCTCACTGTTTCATCTTCCCTGGGTCTCTTGGTCCCCTTCCTTTTGACTGTGTGTGATTTTCACTGTGCCTCCATCCTTCTCCTGCTCCTCTTCTTCCTCCTCCCGACCACTCAACTTTGTCCTGGCCTCATTTTTGGCCTCTTCTGGCCAGTGATCAGACCCTCTGGCCCACTACGGCCAGAGCTGGCTGGGCCTGAGGGAGGCTTGCCCTGAGGACTCCTGAGTCCCCCTCCCACTCCACTCCGTTGGGAGCCCAGGGGAATCAGGGCCTGGGCGTCTGGACCCCCGGGTCCCTTAGAACGCCCTTCAGAGAGAGGAACTGAGAGGAGAAGGAGAAGAGAGTGGGCCCGCCTTCAGGGTCTGGGGCCTTCCAGGTTGGGTCGTAGGGGCGGGAGCGCACAGGCTGCGAGAGAGGAGCAAAGGTTGGTGGAGGGAGAAGAGCAGTCTGGGGCCTGGCTGGACAGGTGAGCCCTGAGACCTGAGCTCTGCTCCCTTCTCTGGGCTAACTCCCGCAGCTGGGCTGGGCCGAGCCTGTGGGAACCTGCTTCTTCCTCTGTGCCCTGGGGCTGCTCCCCTTTGCCTCTCCCACCAGGAACCGATCCCAGAAGTAGGAGGGGCGTCTTCCCCTCGTGGGCCCTGAGCGGGACTGCAGCCAGCCCCCTGGGGCGCCAGCTTTGGAGGTTCTCGTTTGGGGAAGCGGGGGTGGGCTGCGAGTGGGTGGAGGGGGCTGGGCGCGGAGCCGGCCGGAGGCAGCGGCGCGGGCGGCTGGGCGGCCTGGGAGCGCCCAGGCGGGCTTGGCGGGCGGGTTACCTGGGGGAGGCCGGGCCGGGCGCTAGCGCGCGGGGTGGGCGTGGCGGGCGCGGGGCCTGGAGCTCGGCGCCGGGCGTGGGAGCCACTGGGACTACTGGGTCCGGGAGGGGGAAGGGAGGGCTGCGAGCCCGAACGCGCGGCGAGAAGGCCGAGGGGAGGGAGGGGAGCGAGGAGCGGGAGGAGGAAGGGAGGGAGCCGAGGCGAGGGGGAGGCGGCGCCTGGGCCCGAGCCGCCCCAGCCCTGGCTCCTCTCCCCGGAACAGGCCCCCGACAGCTGCTCTCGGGAGCCGCCTCCCGACACCCGAGCCCCGCCGGCGCCTCCCGCTCCCGGCTCCCGGCTCCTGGCTCCCTCCGCCTCCCCCGCCCCTCGCCCCGCCGCCGAAGAGGCCCCGCTCCCGGGTCGGACGCCTGGGTCTGCCGGGAAGAGCGATGAGAGGTAGGGAGAGCGGCGGCGGAACCCGCGGGCGGAGGCCTGGGGCTCTTGGGGTGGGGGCGCGCGGCGGCGCCTGCAGGGCGAGGGGCGGGGGAGGCAGGACGTCCCGAGCCATGCTTGGTCGTCCAGCTCTTCTAAGCCTCCCTGCCCGCCTCCCCGATGCTCTGGCATACCGTCTGAAAACCGGGGGCGGGGACTGGGTGGAGGTGAAGCCCGTGACCTCCCAGAAAGAGTTTTGAGCCTCCAGCCTTGAGGCAAGTCCTCTCTCACTCAGTGCGGAGGAACTGAGCCCCGGGAGGAGGTGCTCCTGTGCAGCCCCACTGAGTCAGCTCATCTATCGCCTGCCCTCCACCTGGCCAGTCCCTGCGGGCATCTAACTGCTAAGCCTCCGCTCAGCCAACACCCAGTTGGTCAGTCTGGTCACAGTCCAGCAAAAAGAGGGACTGCCACTCTAACCCACCAGTGACACCACTCTTCCCGGCTGGATGGTCAATTAGCTCTGGCATGAGAGAATGTCACTGCCGGTGAGCGCCAGCTTCAGGGTCCCACCCCCCCATGCCTGGCTCTTGGCTGAACATTTCTTCCCAGCGCTTCCAGCAGCCAGAGGCAGGCGCCCAAGCTCGCTGGCTGTTGCTGAGGGCCTGTAGGTGTGTCCAGGACTGAGTGGTGTGGTGGAGACAGGTGAAAGGGGAGTGAGTGGAAAGGCAGGGAAAGGCTGTTGTCCTTATTGCCACTCTTCCCACCCAGCGCCCACCTGTTCCCTGCCCCCTCGACGTCCCTCTGGCTTGGTCACCCATGTGTGTTAGAGGCTGGGCCCCAGTTCTCTGGGGATCCTGTGCCCAAGGGCCCGGGTGTGTGTGTCTCATGCTGTCTTTTGGTCACAGGAGCATGTGGTGTCTGTCATTTCATGTTCACAGGTGTCTGAAGGTGGCTATTCACTGAGCGATGGGGTTGGACTTGAAGGAATGCCAAGGTGTGGACGGGTTGATGTATGCATGAGCTTCTGTGTTTGCTCTGTCTCAGAAACTCTGTGAGGGTTGTCAGGGACACTGAGAGGTGGGTGTGTGCATGCCACATTTAGCCTCGCTGTTTACAGCCAGTTCAGTAAGTTTGTGTGTTTCACCGTGTGTGTGTGTACAGAGCTGTGTGGGTGTTGTCTGAGTGGGACTTGGGGGTTGGGAGAGGAGCGTGAAGGGCTTGAGGCAGGGTGGCCTGGCCCCTGGTTTGTCTTTGGTTGTAATGGAGTGGAAGGGGGTGGGATTGGGGAAGGTCTTCTGGGCTTGTCCTCTCTTGCCCTCTGGGTCTCTGACTATGGACTGAAGACCCAGTGGAGAGAGATGAGGTGACTGGGGGTGTTGGAGAACAGACAGCCCAGACGTCTCTGTGCTTCTCCGTGTTCCTCTGCTTGGCTCTGTGCCCCGTGTTTCTGAGCCTGCTCTATTTACCTCTTGCATTGTGGCTCTCGCTCTGTCTCCGCCTGCCTCGTATCCTCTGCCTGCCTTTGTATCTCTGCCCCGGGCTCCTCTCGGCTCTGTGTGGCTCTGATGACTCATCTGGGATAGGCATGAAGGTTACTTAGGGGAACAAGAGCCCCGCTGTTCCCGATAGAGGTGGGGTTGGAGAGCGGCACCCAGGAATTCCAAGCCAGTCTCCTGGGACTCTGGCAGCCTGCTCCCCGGCGCTGGACCCTAAGGGACCAGGCGTGATGCCTTCTGGTTCTAGCCTCTGAGTGCCCCCCACAACTCAGTCGTCCCCCTCAGCTGCTGCTTCAGAGCTCTGGGGTCTCAGCTGCCTCTTACATTCCTGCCCTAGTGCATTGTGGGAGCAGCTGGAGGAGGACAAAGGGATGGGGGAGTATCCCCCACTCCTCCTACCTCCTGGGGTGACCTGCCTTCCTTGTCTTTAGACCCGCCCTCGTCTCCAAGGCAACTCAGCCTTTCCTCAGTCCCTCAGAGGCAGCCACCTTCTGGAAGTGGGAACTGGGGGGACTGGATGTCTGGGTCTCAGGAAGGCAGAGCAGGGATAACTGGGCCCAAGATGCCCTGAACCTGATAAGAGGTGGCAGTCGAGTCCCTCAGGACTCCAGGGCCTGGAGACTTCAGTACAGGGCTCTGAGACCAGTACAGGTTAGGATAGCTTTTCCTGCAGCAGGGGAGGGGAGAGTAGTTACTTGGGTTTGTAAGGAGATGCCATTTAGAATAGTTTTATGTGGGGTAAGCTTCCTGGGCCTGAGGAACAGAGTAGGGATTTTCAAACTTTAATGGGCACAGGTCACCTGGGAATTGTGTTAAAAGGCAGATTTTGATTGAGCAGGTCAAGGGTGAGCCTGAGATTCTGATTTCTTCCATGCTTCCAGGTATTGCTGATGGTCCAGGGACCACCCTGGGCCTAGAGGGCTATAGGGGACAGTAAGACTAGAAGGTGCTGGGGTCCCCTCTGCCCTTCTCTTAGAATTCTGGACTCCTATGTGGGAGGGCAGCAGGGTGAGCTGGTCCAGGCTTATCTGATGTTTAATTCTATCATATCCTCAACAAGGAATTGCCCAACCTTTCCTGGGACATATTTATTTTTTAAAAGTCAAAATGATTTTCATATTCTTTTACATATCTTATGATTTTACATAAATGCATTTATGTTACAAGATTTAGAAAAATAGTACAATCAACCTGTCTTTTTAAATTTGCTTTTCTTTTGCCCCGTTCATGTTAACTCTTGTTATATTGTATTCTATTGTTATATTCTATTATATATTCTCTCCTTCTAGACATACACACAGGTATATATACAAACATGGGTGCTTGTTTATTCTATTTTCAAAAGGTGGGATATTTTTTATACTTCTGTTGCTTGCTTTTCATATTCAACAGATATACATGGAAATCACACAAAGTTAGGAATATATTGCCTCTTTGTTACTTTTCATAGCTGCATAGTAGTCAATAAACCTTATTTTTTTTAATTCCAGCCTGTCCCCTGTGGGCATTCACATATCTTACAGATTTATGTCTTACAAAAGGTACCATAATAAACATCTTTGAAATCTTCTTTTTTATTTTTATTTTTCACTTTTTTTAAAGAGATGGGGTCTCACTATGTTCACCAGGCTGGTCTCTAACTCCTGGCCTCAAGTGATCCTCCCATCTCGGCCTCCCAAAGTGCTGGGGTTACAGGCATGAGCCACCAGACCCAGACCTGCACATATGTTCTTACTTCCTGGTGCTTCTCTCTCGAGGGAATGCTGGGTCGAAGAGGATGTGCATTTTTAATTATAATAGACATTGCTAGATTGCTTTCCAAATAGAAGATAACACTCATTTCTGCCATTGAGCATGGTGCCTCCCTTTTCATCACTTTCTACCACTTTTATATGTTACAGCCTTAAAAAAATATCTTGTCAGTCTGCTTGGTATTTCCCTGAGGCTAGTGAATTTGACCATTAAAAAAAATGTTTGTTGGCAATTTGGCTTTGCTTTTCTGTGAAATGACTATTCACATTCTTTGGCTGTTTCTTTATTGGGTTACTTATATATTTTTTCTTGTCAGTTCCTAAGGGGCCTTAGTTTATTGTAGTTATTAAACCTTTTCCTGTTGTATGTGTTATAAACATTTTTTGCACACTTGTTGTTTGTTCTAAGCCGTTGTTTATGGGGATATTTTGCCCATTCCTGATTGGAGAAATGGGGCTTTAGGAAGTTATTTAACTGATCTCTGCCCTAGTTTCTTCATGTGTTAAATATGGATAGTAATAGTATCTACCTTATGAAGTGACTGTGAAGATAAAATTATGGATTCTGTTTAAGGGTTTAGGCCAGTGTCTGGCACAGGGGAAGCATTCTAAAAATATAGCTGATGCTGTTAAACAATGACTGTTGTTGTTGTTTTACTGTTATTATCCCCAAAGCGGCCCATTCTGTCTGTTGCTGTCAGCTATGACTCAGTCCCCTGATTAACTTACGCACCACCCATTTTATCCCCTGCAGAGATGCTGCCCCCACCCCCTTAGGCCCGAGGGATCAGGAGCTATGGGACCAGAGGCCCTGTCATCTTTACTGCTGCTGCTCTTGGTGGCAAGTGGAGATGCTGACATGAAGGGACATTTTGATCCTGGTGAGGAGACTGAATCATGGGTCCCTGAGGGCCAGGGCTTGGGAGGTAGAGAGTTGGGGGCCTTGACCTGTTACATGCCTGCTTTTTACTCAGCCAAGTGCCGCTATGCCCTGGGCATGCAGGACCGGACCATCCCAGACAGTGACATCTCTGCTTCCAGCTCCTGGTCAGATTCCACTGCCGCCCGCCACAGCAGGTACTTGGCACACCTGGCACACTTGTAGCTGCCCCGAGAGGAGCTCCTGGGACCTCTACTTCCCCTCCAACCCCTCTGCCCATGCCAGTGAAACCCCTGCAGGCTGAGGGGGCAAATGAAGTGGGGTTTAAATACTGGAGATGGAGGCAGACCTGGGGCCAGATGTTCTCTGTGCCCCTCTTCACCCTCAGGTTGGAGAGCAGTGACGGGGATGGGGCCTGGTGCCCCGCAGGGTCGGTGTTTCCCAAGGAGGAGGAGTACTTGCAGGTGGATCTACAACGACTCCACCTGGTGGCTCTGGTGGGCACCCAGGGACGGCATGCCGGGGGCCTGGGCAAGGAGTTCTCCCGGAGCTACCGGCTGCGTTACTCCCGGGATGGTCGCCGCTGGATGGGCTGGAAGGACCGCTGGGGTCAGGAGGTGAGACTGGCAGGGGCAGCACCCAGAGGAGGTTGGCTCTCCTCACTTCCAGCTGTACTTTAAACACCACCTATACGCTGACGACTCTCCAGTTTATATCATCTCCAGACTAAGCCTCTCAGCTGAGCTCCAAACAATATTGTAAACCTGGCCACCTTTTGGATTTCTCCACTTAGATGTCTTTTTTTTTTTTTCTAATAGATGGGGTCTTGCTGTGTTGCCCAGGCTGGTCTTGAACTCCTGGGCTCAGTGATCCTCCCACCTTAGCCTCCCAAAGTGCTGGGATTACAAGCACTGTAGCCAGCCACCTAGATGTCTAATAGGCATCTCAAACATACGTTTAACTTCCCAAGCTGAATTTGATTCCCATTCCCAGCCTAAACCTGCTCCTCCCCTGGCATTCTCCAGCTCAGGAAGTGGTATCACCATTGCCTGGTTGCCTAGGCTATAAGTTAAGATGATATCCTTGATTCCTTTTTTTCTCTCACCTCCTTCCAAAGCATCAGCAGCCCCGTCTGTTCTACCTCCATAGTGTTCCTGAGTCCAGTCACTCCTCACCACTCCACCTCTACTGCCCTAGGCCACCTGCCCGCCATCTCCAGCTTAGATGAGTGCAGTAGATGCCAAACGCGTCTCCCTGCTTCTGCCCTTTTCTGCCTGGAGTCAAATCTCCACCTGGGGGGGCGGCATCCAGTGGACCTTAGAGCATGTAAATCAGATACGTCACACCTAGCTGACACCCCCATGCTGGCTTTCCACTCTGCCAGAACAAAAGCTGAGCCCCTAGCTGGTGCAGGATGCTCAGCCTGACCTGGCTCCTGCCTGCATCACTTGTTTCTTGGCGCCTCCTTGGCCACGCTGCCTTTCTTCTTGTTGCTGGAACAAGCCAGGGCTCGTTCCCACAGCTTCTGGACATTTTCTCTGTGCCTGCAAAGCTCCTCCCCTAAATAACCACAGGCTCTCCCTCACTCCATTCAGTTCTCTGCCAGGTGTCACCTCCTTAGAGAGCCTTTTCTGGCCACCCACCTCACTGCTCTGTGCATACTCCCTGCCTCTTGTTCTTCGCAGCTGTTTTCCCTGCTGGGATCTCAGTCCTACAAGGGTGGGGAGTGACGTTCACCACTGAGAACGCGCCTGGCACAGAGCGGGCACTCAGCCAACTTCTGCTGAATGAACAGAGGGAATGGGCTGAAATGAAGGGGAAGCTGAGGCAGGGGTGCAGGGCTGTGAGGATTGGGGAGAATCTGGGCACAATGGGATGATAGGCTTGGAGACAAATGGATGGAGCCAGGCAAGGAGAAGAGGGCAGCTGAGCCTGAAGTCTGAGGATGGAACATCAGAGCTGCGACAGAGCCAGAGGTCTCAGCTGCAGATCTTCATTTCACCCATGCCTGGCTGCGCCCCACAGTGCTGTGTGCTCGGTGCCACCCCTCATGGGTCTCTAAGTGGCCACTGTGGGCTGGGCCAGGGAGCAGCTGGTGGGTGGGAAGTAAGATCTGACCTGGACTCCATCCCACCCACCCCCTGTTTCCTGGCCCACAGGTGATCTCAGGCAATGAGGACCCTGAGGGAGTGGTGCTGAAGGACCTTGGGCCCCCCATGGTTGCCCGACTGGTTCGCTTCTACCCCCGGGCTGACCGGGTCATGAGTGTCTGTCTGCGGGTAGAGCTCTATGGCTGCCTCTGGAGGGGTGAGTGGCTCAGCTTCCTGGGAATCTGTTTCCTGAGCAGGGGACTGGAGGGTGGGGAGTGTGGAGAATGGGCATCCAGGATCCCTTCTCCTGCTGGGAAGCTGTCACTCTGAGGAGGGGGCTAGCCAGCATTGTCTCCTCCATGCCAATGAGCCAGTGGAGAGATACAAGAAGGGACCTGAAACCTGCCCAGGCCTGATGCAGGGATGGGGGATGGAGCCTTAGTGCCTCTGACCCCCATCCTCTCACCCTGCCCCAGATGGACTCCTGTCTTACACCGCCCCTGTGGGGCAGACAATGTATTTATCTGAGGCCGTGTACCTCAACGACTCCACCTATGACGGACATACCGTGGGCGGGTAAGAAAGGCCCCTGCAGGATATGGAGTTTGGGGTGGGAGGGAGGACTCTGTGTGTGTGTGTGTGTGTGTGTGTGTGTGTGTTTGTGTGTGTGTGAGTGTGTGTGTGTAGGGGAGCTGGTAAGTAGGGTGGGGAGTGAGATGGAAGAGCTGAGAAGAGGGATGGGTTAGGTGGGGCCTCAAAGGGTAGCACTAGGGTGACCACTAGCCCGTATGACACTGTATGAAAAAGGCACCCCTTTGCTAACACACATTGTTGGAAATTGCTGCAATAAATATATACATCATAGATTGAAATGGTGCCCCTTAGAGGTGGTGCCTTTGTGCTGGATGTGACCTGCAAGGTACCTGTAGTGCTGGGGTGGGGTGGAGAGAGGAGAAGGGCCAGCTGCATGAGTGTGAGGTGGGATGGGAATGGGACTAGTGGATGGGAGCCAGGCTGGCCATGCCACTGTGCCGGAGGGTGGCGGAGCAGAATGCCTGGATGTCAAGACCCTCTTCCCTTCCAACCTCCTCTTCCTTGGTCCCCTCTTCTCCAGACTGCAGTATGGGGGTCTGGGCCAGCTGGCAGATGGTGTGGTGGGGCTGGATGACTTTAGGAAGAGTCAGGAGCTGCGGGTCTGGCCAGGCTATGACTATGTGGGATGGAGCAACCACAGCTTCTCCAGTGGCTATGTGGAGATGGAGTTTGAGTTTGACCGGCTGAGGGCCTTCCAGGCTATGCAGGTGAGTGAGTCCGGCTCTCGAGGAGGGCTCTGAAGCCATGCAGGGTGCCGTTGGGGTGCCCCCACCACTCCTAGCCTTGACCCTGTGCCCTCTTCCCTTCCCCCCAGGTCCACTGTAACAACATGCACACGCTGGGAGCCCGTCTGCCTGGCGGGGTGGAATGTCGCTTCCGGCGTGGCCCTGCCATGGCCTGGGAGGGGGAGCCCATGCGCCACAACCTAGGGGGCAACCTGGGGGACCCCAGAGCCCGGGCTGTCTCAGTGCCCCTTGGCGGCCGTGTGGCTCGCTTTCTGCAGTGCCGCTTCCTCTTTGCGGGGCCCTGGTTACTCTTCAGCGAAATCTCCTTCATCTCTGGTAAGCCCTGGAGTAGCCCAGTCTCCAGTCCCTGAAATTGACAACTGATTTCATTCCTAACCCTGCAGTGTCCCTAAAATACTCATTCCTTGCATTATATCTACCCATCACCCACCGAAACTTCTCAATTAGGGGTGCCCCAAATAACTTGAGCCCCTTTCTGCCTCTTGTTCTCTGCGTATCCATCTTTCCTTTGTAAGCCCCTTGCCCGTGACTATTATTGAGCCAGTATGACAGTACTGGTTGTTAAAATATTGAAATACTTCTGTATTAGTTGAGAAATAGCCTCTTCTCTAAGCCTCCAGATACCTGTCCTCCACCTCCCCACAATCCAGCAACTATAGGGTTAACACCCACCACAGCTGGGTGTTCCAGGACCCTGCTCCCCCAGCCCCCACTGGTCAGTGGTTGCCTATTGAGAATCACCCATGCTTCTGCTCCTTTGCACAACAGTCCACTGCCTCTGCCTCCCTTGGGTCTCCTCCTCATTTACCTCCCTCCTTTCTTTTTGTTCCTTCTCCCCAGATGTGGTGAACAATTCCTCTCCGGCACTGGGAGGCACCTTCCCGCCAGCCCCCTGGTGGCCGCCTGGCCCACCTCCCACCAACTTCAGCAGCTTGGGTGAGCAATCTTGGGTGGGCGTGTGGACCCTCTGCACCCTTCTCCCTGGGCCTCCCCCTCGGCTAGGGTGGGACCCTCCTGTGGTGCTGACCCTGCTGCCTCCACCAGAGCTGGAGCCCAGAGGCCAGCAGCCCGTGGCCAAGGCCGAGGGGAGCCCGACCGCCATCCTCATCGGCTGCCTGGTGGCCATCATCCTGCTCCTGCTGCTCATCATTGCCCTCATGCTCTGGCGGCTGCACTGGCGCAGGCTCCTCAGCAAGGTGGGCACAGCCGTGGCATGTGGAATGGCGGGGGGAGGCCAGGCCCCAGCACGAGCCAGCGTCCAGTGGGACCTGCAGGGCACAGCCCACTAGCATCCCAAGAGGAGGGCTTAGTAAAGAGACCACTTACACCATGTCAAAGAGGGTATGGGGCTCACAGGGAGGGCTGCTCCCCAGCTCTGGGTCTGCTCAGCGGAGAGGAGCAAATACCACGACCCAGAGGAGAGAGCCTGTGGAGAGGGCACCTTGACAGGGGCAGTAGACTTTGGTCCTGGGATGCAGCTGGCCCGTATCTACCCCTCAGGGAGGGCCTGGGAGAATAGATGCCCTGACCTCACTTTCTGCCCCAAACTCCTGCTGGGCTCCTCTCTGGCTAACCCAAACCAGGCCTGTTGGTGCAGTGTACACTAGTCAGCCTTGGGGCAGAAGCAGGGTAGAGACAGGCAGAGAGTGGGGTTGGAGGGGCAAAGGGAAGACGTCTGGCACACCCCAAGCCACGTCTTCCGGCTGGAGTCCAGTGGCAGTAATATACATTAAGGTTGATGACTGGACACGGTGGCTCATGCCTGTAATCCTAGCACTTTGGGAGGCCGAGGCGGGAGGATCACCTGAGGTCAAGAGTTCGAGACCAGCCTGACCAACATGGTGAAATCCCATCTCTACTAAGAATACAAAATTAGCCAGGCATGGTGGCTGATGCCTGTAATCCCAGCTACTCAGGAGGCTGAGGCATGAATCTCTTGAACCTGGGAGGCGAAGGTTGCAGTGAGCTGAGATCATGCCATTTCACTTCAGCCTGGGCGACAAGAGCAAAATTCCATCTCAAAAAAACAAACAAACAAAAAAAAAACGGTTGATAGTTATGGACTGGGCAGATGAGGGTTAGAATCTCATTGTGGGACAGGGAAGTTACCTCCATGCTCTTGAGCTTCACTTTCTCTGCCTGTAAGATGGTGCTGATAGTATCCACAGCTGTAGGGCTCTTGTGAGGGCTGAGGGAGGGAACGCAGGGATGGACACAGCAGAGGGCCAGGCCGTGTGTGCTGAGCAACACGGGTGATGCCTCCCATCCCTATGACAAGGCTGAACGGAGGGTGTTGGAAGAGGAGCTGACGGTTCACCTCTCTGTCCCTGGGGACACTATCCTCATCAACAACCGCCCAGGTCCTAGAGAGCCACCCCCGTACCAGGAGCCCCGGCCTCGTGGGAATCCGCCCCACTCCGCTCCCTGTGTCCCCAATGGCTCTGGTAAGACCTGCCTTGTTCCAGTCGCACCTCTGTCCTCTCTGCTGTTTTCTTATTGTATCCCTTTCCCATTCTCTTTTTTTCCTGTCTTCCCCAGTTTCCACTTGTTTTCTTCTTTCTGTGCCCCTGGTTACTGTCTATATCACTCTTTGTCCCTACCATGTAGTCTCTCTCAAGAGTTCCCCATGTATTACCCATAGTCCCCCGTGGTGCTATCTTGTCTGTGTCCCACAGACATCTCTCTATCTTTGTTGTACCCTCTCATTGTGTCTCCCTGGCCCCTTTGCTTTGTATTAGACTCACCATGTTTGTTCCTTCATCTATCCTCCATCACCCATCCTTCCATCCATAGTCATACATCCTTGCATCCATCCATCAATCTTCCATCATCTGTCTTTCTATCTATATTCATAAATCTATTCATCCATCCATCCACCCACCCATATCCATCATCCATCTATCCATCTATATTCACACATCCATCTTTCCATCTGTTATCCATCCATCCAACAAAACATCTGTTTACCATCCATCCATCTATTCATACGTCCCATCTGTCCATGCATTCATTATCCAGCCAGCCGTCCGTCACTCTGCAGATCCTTGTTTTATCCTGTCTGTCTCTTAATGCAATCATCCCATCAGCCCTGGTCTTGCCCTATTCAAGGTCTCCCTGTCTGTCTAGCCTTGAGTCTCATCCCTTCCCCGTGTTTCCCCTCCTCCTTCTCCCGACAGCGTTGCTGCTCTCCAATCCAGCCTACCGCCTCCTTCTGGCCACTTACGCCCGTCCCCCTCGAGGCCCGGGCCCCCCCACACCCGCCTGGGCCAAACCCACCAACACCCAGGGTAAGCCCCTCTGCCCCTGGGCTCCGCCAGGCTCCCCATACCTCTACTGGGGCAGGGAAAAGCCCTCACACCTTGCACTTCCTCCTCTCCCCACTGTGGCCTATTCTGCTCTCCTGAGCTCCCAAGGAGGAAGCTCTTGTGCCCTTAGCTCATCTCTGCTGCTGCTTGCTCTTTTTTAAGGTCCCCCCCTTGAGCTGAGGAGTAGAAAGCTTACTGGTCCCCAGCTCTTCTCCCTCCTCCTCTTCCACGCCATCTCTTCAGCTCTCCAGAGCTAGACAGGAGGTTGCTGTGGTGGCCCCAGACTATAGTAACTCCTCCTTTATTCTCCACTCTCTCTAGAGCTGCGAGGAGGAGGGCTCTCACCCCGGGCGCTTGCCCTTTCCCTCACATGTGTCCTCTCTCTGCAGTCCCAGAGGTGAAGGCTCATGCCCCAACCCTTTCCATCTGCCCCTCTTCTCCTCAGTGTTGCCTTCTCATTGTGGCCCCTTCCCCAGGGCTAAGAGGGGACAGCTCTGCTTCCTCTCCTGTCTGTAGACAACTTGTGTTGGGGCTGTGAGCAGCTGTTACCCTCCCTCCTCTCTGTGTGCCTCTGTCTCTGCTTGTTGTTGAGCTTGGTGTGTTGGGTTGAAAGGGTTGGGAGGGCTTGGCCCCAGGGGGAGCCAGGCTGAAAGCCACGGGAGAGCAGCTAAGTGAAGGGGAGGGAGCTGTGGTGAACGGGACAAGGGTTTGGAAGGTGGAGGGTGCCTGGATGCTGGGACCATCCTGAGGCGGGAGAATTCCTGGGGAGGAATTCTTCTTCCAGCCAAGATTTATCTCACAGTCTCTTGAGAGACCCTAGGGAGGCCCTAAAAGAGTAAGACTTTATGACAGTTTTGCTCAACCATATTCATTGCCTTGAAAAGCTCTGGAATAGCTAACTCTCGTCCCATGCCAGTGTCTTCCTGGTTTGAGGTTGGCGCATGGAATACTGGGAAGATACAGCATAGACCCAGTCTCTCACTCAACCGGGAGACACAGGGCCCTCCGGGAGGCTGAGGTGTGGGGAACTATAGCTCTTGGGCTGTTCCTGATGCCTCGTCCTGTCTTCTTTCCCCTCACCCCTGCAGCCTACAGTGGGGACTATATGGAGCCTGAGAAGCCAGGCGCCCCGCTTCTGCCCCCACCTCCCCAGAACAGCGTCCCCCATTATGCCGAGGCTGACATTGTTACCCTGCAGGGCGTCACCGGGGGCAACACCTATGCTGTGCCTGCACTGCCCCCAGGGGCAGTCGGGGATGGGCCCCCCAGAGTGGATTTCCCTCGATCTCGACTCCGCTTCAAGGAGAAGCTTGGCGAGGGCCAGTTTGGGGAGGTAAGGAGGGTGCCTACCCAGTGTCTGGCCCTATTGTGTGCTCTGATGCCATGCCTGCGCATCCCCCTAGCCAGGAACCTTAGTCATTTGTAACCGTGTTAATCCGTTTGACCCTGTGACCGCCTAGCAAACGAACTTCTTTCTCCAGGTGCACCTGTGTGAGGTCGACAGCCCTCAAGATCTGGTCAGTCTTGATTTCCCCCTTAATGTGCGTAAGGGACACCCTTTGCTGGTAGCTGTCAAGATCTTACGGCCAGATGCCACCAAGAATGCCAGGTGAGGACTAGGGATGGCATCTGGAAGAAGGGAGGGGAGGCCGTGAAGAGTGGGGAGCCATCTAGAGAGAACAATGGCAGAGCCCAACAGAGGGGTGGCATCTCTGGGAGGGGATTTACATGTACGCTGGGGGTGGGGACGCCTGGTCTGCCTGAGGTGGGGCAGGGGGGTGGGGGCGCGGGGGAAGGTGCAGGCCACCCACTCGGCATTCCTCTTCAGCTTCTCCTTGTTCTCCAGGAATGATTTCCTGAAAGAGGTGAAGATCATGTCGAGGCTCAAGGACCCCAACATCATTCGGCTGCTGGGCGTGTGTGTGCAGGACGACCCCCTCTGCATGATTACTGACTACATGGAGAACGGCGACCTCAACCAGTTCCTCAGTGCCCACCAGCTGGAGGACAAGGCAGCCGAGGGGGCCCCTGGGGACGGGCAGGCTGCGCAGGGGCCCACCATCAGGTACCTGCTTACCCAGGCTGGGCCTTGCTCAGAATTCCCCCAGGGGATCTCCTCCTCTCCCCTCGCTTCAGCCTGGAGGAAAAGAGGGGAGCGTGGGGGTGGGAAGGGAGAGAGGTTCCAGGAGGGCCTGGGATAAGGAATGTGTGACAAGTTAACCCAGGAACATGGACAGAAAGGCTGGAGGTGACTATGCAAGAGTGGTGAAGGGACTTGGGCCCTGCCATGACGTCCCTTCTGCTTTCTCTCACCCTCACTCCCCTCTGAGTCCAGATTGGGGAGCACAATAAAAGAAGAGCCCCCTAGTGTTGGCCAGGCCTGGGAGATTGAGAGGGAAGTGACCCTTGGCCTCATGTGGGCATTCCACCTCCACATGGGGAGCCAGAGTGACCGGGCCCGGGGAGTGGGCTCTCTCTCCTCTCCTGGATGGGAATCTGCGAAGCTGCCCCCAGTGACCTTCTGTCGGTTCCCTTCTCAGCTACCCAATGCTGCTGCATGTGGCAGCCCAGATCGCCTCCGGCATGCGCTATCTGGCCACACTCAACTTTGTACATCGGGACCTGGCCACGCGGAACTGCCTAGTTGGGGAAAATTTCACCATCAAAATCGCAGACTTTGGCATGAGCCGGAACCTCTATGCTGGGGACTATTACCGTGTGCAGGGCCGGGCAGTGCTGCCCATCCGCTGGATGGCCTGGGAGTGCATCCTCATGGTGAGCAGCCCGAGGACAGCCAGGTTGGAGCAGGGCAGGTGGGAGAACACTGGCCGCCACTCACAGCCCTGGTCTCCATCAGTCACACACTTTCTCTGGGTTGCATTTTACAGAATCTCATCTATAATATGAGGTTCTCCTAGCCCAAGGGACTGGGGAAAGCAGGAGCTGCAGTGTGATGGGCAAGAATCCAGGAGCCAAGAGTGGGTACTGGGGATGGAGACAGGGTGGCAGAGAGCTCAAGAGATGAGGTTGGGGGAGGAAGCTGGAGATAGAAGGGGTTGGGTAGGGAGACCGAAGGTCAGGACCAGAAAGTGGGGGTGGATGGAGAGGAAGGAGGAGCAGAAGGAAGAGGTGGGCCAGGGCCCTGGAGAGAGGACCAGAGCATGGAGAGGAAAGGCAGAGCCCAAGGGAGAGGAGTTGGAAAAGGTGGCCAGCGGAGGAGAGTGGAGAGCCTGGCGTCAGGAGGGATCAGGCCTGAGTGGAGCCCAGAGTGGATCTGGGGCTTCCAATAGGAAGGGAGGAGGGTCTACGTTGCCTGATGTCCCTGTCTGTTTTTGCTGCCTTCTCTGCATCCCAGGGGAAGTTCACGACTGCGAGTGACGTGTGGGCCTTTGGTGTGACCCTGTGGGAGGTGCTGATGCTCTGTAGGGCCCAGCCCTTTGGGCAGCTCACCGACGAGCAGGTCATCGAGAACGCGGGGGAGTTCTTCCGGGACCAGGGCCGGCAGGTCAGAGTGGAGGAGAGGGAAGATGGGTCCGAGGCGGGGGACAGAAGGGGCAGAGTTGTCATCTTGGAGACTAAAGAATATTTGTTCCCTGACTCTCATCCACACTGCCACAATGCAGGTGTACCTGTCCCGGCCGCCTGCCTGCCCGCAGGGCCTATATGAGCTGATGCTTCGGTGCTGGAGCCGGGAGTCTGAGCAGCGACCACCCTTTTCCCAGCTGCATCGGTTCCTGGCAGAGGATGCACTCAACACGGTGTGAATCACACATCCAGCTGCCCCTCCCTCAGGGAGTGATCCAGGGGAAGCCAGTGACACTAAAACAAGAGGACACAATGGCACCTCTGCCCTTCCCCTCCCGACAGCCCATCACCTCTAATAGAGGCAGTGAGACTGCAGGTGGGCTGGGCCCACCCAGGGAGCTGATGCCCCTTCTCCCCTTCCTGGACACACTCTCATGTCCCCTTCCTGTTCTTCCTTCCTAGAAGCCCCTGTCGCCCACCCAGCTGGTCCTGTGGATGGGATCCTCTCCACCCTCCTCTAGCCATCCCTTGGGGAAGGGTGGGGAGAAATATAGGATAGACACTGGACATGGCCCATTGGAGCACCTGGGCCCCACTGGACAACACTGATTCCTGGAGAGGTGGCTGCGCCCCCAGCTTCTCTCTCCCTGTCACACACTGGACCCCACTGGCTGAGAATCTGGGGGTGAGGAGGACAAGAAGGAGAGGAAAATGTTTCCTTGTGCCTGCTCCTGTACTTGTCCTCAGCTTGGGCTTCTTCCTCCTCCATCACCTGAAACACTGGACCTGGGGGTAGCCCCGCCCCAGCCCTCAGTCACCCCCACTTCCCACCTGCAGTCTTGTAGCTAGAACTTCTCTAAGCCTATACGTTTCTGTGGAGTAAATATTGGGATTGGGGGGAAAGAGGGAGCAACGGCCCATAGCCTTGGGGTTGGACATCTCTAGTGTAGCTGCCACATTGATTTTTCTATAATCACTTGGGGTTTGTACATTTTTGGGGGGAGAGACACAGATTTTTACACTAATATATGGACCTAGCTTGAGGCAATTTTAATCCCCTGCACTAGGCAGGTAATAATAAAGGTTGAGTTTTCCACAACTGTGTGAGTGGGTTCCTTGGGAACTTGGTAACTCTGCCTCCTGCACCTCCCTCTGAACCCACTTCCCAACCCACTTCCCATCTTCCTTTTTTCCTGCCTCCTCATTCCATTTCCCATCACCTGTTTTGCCCAGCATTGTGTTCTGTTTCTGGATAATCCAGGCCTTTGCCTGTGGGACCTCAGGAGATGCATGAATGTCTGAGTGCATGAACCTTCTCAACTCAGAGGGGTGCTCTGGTGGAGGCCTGGAAGGAATGCAGTCAGGCCAGGGGTGCTGAACCTTTTTTGTGCCATAAACCCCTTTGGCAGTCTGTAGAGGTCTACTGAGTCCTCCTCAGAATTAGGTTTTAAAACCTATAAAATGGACCAGGCATAGTGGCTCACCCCTGTAATCCCAGCACTTTGGGAGGCTGAGGTGGGTAGATCACTTGAGGCCAGGAGTTCGAGACCAACCTGGCCAACATAGCAAAACCCCATCTCTACTAAAGATACAAAAATTAGCAGGGTGTGGTGGCATGCGCCTGTAATCTCAGCTATTCAGGAGGCTGAGGCAGGAGAATTGCTTAGAACCCGGGAGGTGGGGGTTGCAGTGAGCTGAGATCACACAACTGTGCTCCAGCCTGGGCAACAGAGTGAGACTGTCTCAAAAACAGAACAACAACAACAACAAAACCCATAAAATGTATAGGATTACAAGGGAAACCAATGGAAACAGTTTACCAAAATGCTAAAAAATTATGAAACTAATGTGCTTCTTTTTCATGTATTTAATAACAAGATCTAAAAACAGGTGTAATAAACTGACATTTTCCAAATACTAATGAGCATAAGCCATATTTGAGATTTCTACAACAGTCACAGTGAGACATAAAAGTAGCTGTGGTGTCAATTAGTGACAAGTCACAGGTACTGCTAATACTACTGGTGGTTTTACCCATATTCATAATTGGAGGAAATGCTAAACTTCTATTAGAGGTTAGTAAAAGGTGTAATTTCTTTTTCTTGCCCAAATTCTAGAACCCATCTGGCTCCCCAGGGTCTGGAAATCCCAGGGGAGAATCCCTGGGTTATGCTGATCAAGTGTGCAAATGCCCCACTGGGGGTAGGGGATAGGTTGTTGGAATGGAAACCAGAACCAGAAACCAGAATCAAGAGCCTCAGTTATCTCAGAGGCTTGGAAGGATGAGCTGCAACCACCAAGAGAACAATTAAAGGGTTCAAATTTGGTTGGAAAGAAAAAATCGGCCAGTGGGGTGGCTCATGCCCTGTAATCTCAACACTATGGAAAGCTGAGGTAGGAGGATTTCTTGAGCCTAGGAGTTTGGAACCAGCCTAGGCAACATAGCACACTCTGGCCCCCATTTATACATATATATATAAAACTAGCTGGGCTTAGTGGTGTGCACCAGCAACTCAGGAGGCCAAGGTGGGAGGATAACTTGAGCCCAGGAGGTTGAGGCTGCAGCGAGCCATGATTGCATCACTTCACTCCAGCCTGGGTGACAGAGCAAGACCCTGTCTCAAAAAGAAAATTAAAAGTCAGTTGCAGGGATGGGACAAGGCAGACCCATCTTGATGGCCATTCATGTGAAATAAAAACCCTGGGGTTTTGGTTGATGATATTCACAAAATGAGCCAATTGGATAATGAGGATCACAATAAAGATAAATCAATGTGAAGTTGAATTAATAGGCCCTTGGGGCCTAGGTCCCGAATCTAATAGTCCTGCTAAAACTTACACAGGTCAAACCACTGTGCACTATGATTTAAGTTGTGTACTGATAGGTTAGAGTTTAGAGGCCAGATCCCAGAATAATGAGCGATGGAAGCCACGGCAGTGAGCCTGATAACCCAAATCTCTGAGCTGTCTTTCAAGCAGAAACACCTGGAGTTAATTTTTTTTTTTTTTTTTTGAGACCTGGTCTCGCTCTGTCACCCAGGCTGGAGTGCCGTGGCGCAATCTCAGCTCACTGCAACCTCCGCCTCCTGGGTTCAAGCGATTCTTCTGCCTCAGCCTCCCACATAGCTGGGATTACAGGTGTGCACCACCATGCCCAGCTAATTTTTTTGTATTTTTAGTAGAGACGGGGTCTCACCATATTGGCCAGGCTGGTCTCAAACTCCTGACCTCGTGATCCGCCCACCTTGGCCTCCCAAGGTGCTGGGATTACAGGCATGAGCCACCGTGCCCAGCCCCACCTGCAGTTAATTTAAAAGTCAGGCCCTGCTTTTCCAAACCTGCTTCTCCTCCACAGTCTACTGACTCAGTGAATGGCAGCATCATCCACTTAGCTGCACAAGCCGCACAAGGTGGCATCCCCGAGCTCCTTCTCCCTTACCTTCCACCTCTCAAGTCCAGTCCAGCACAAAACGCTGTTGATTTTGCCTCCCAAATCTCCCTGGAACTTGTCATCTCTGTCTCCATCGCCCTCCTGGCACATGCTGCCTCCATCTTGCCTGGACTCCTGCAGTGGTCTCCCAGCTGTCACCCAGATCTGCCTCTGCTCCTCTCTGGGTTGTTTTCCGCCCTGCAACCACAGTTATCTTTAAAACACACAAATCTGACCCTAATCCTTCATTTCAAATCCAGCAGTGACTTTTCATTAATCTTAAAATGAAGAACAAAATCCTTCTGGCCAAGGTTGGCCCCCACATACCTCTCCAGCGTCCTCCCCCACCCGCTTGCTTTCCTCTGTGGGCCACTGGCCTTCTTTCAGATTCACCCAATGGGCCACAGTACTTCCTGCCACGTGGCCTTCGTGGCATGCTGTTCCCTCACCTGGAACAATGTTCCCTGCAGTCTGTGCCTTATTAACTCCTGCTTGCCCTTCAGCAGTCTTTCCTGACTTCCCCAACCAGGTCAAATTCCCTACTGATAATCTCAGAGGACATGAATCTCTTCTTTGTGGCACTTACTACGTGTGTAATTTTACATATCTTTTTATACCTGCCCCTCCCACCAAACTATAAGTTGCACAAGGGCAAAATCTTGGAACACAGGGCTCAATATTGGTTGAAAGAAAGAATTGTAGCAAATATCTGATAGACTAACATAGATTCTACGTAGTTACAGAACTAGAACTAGGATTAATAAGTGAAAGTTACAATAATGATGATAATATATTACTGAGCACCCACTATATACCAGGTATTGAAATTACGACATATTATATCTTACTTAATACAACAATATATGAAGTAGTTAAAATTACTTTGCACAGAGAAGAAAATTCTGTTAGGTTAAGCAACTTGCCCAAAGTAGCAGTCAGTCAACAGTAAAGCCTGTGGGAAGTGGGTCTGTGGGCTCCTGGCTCTCTGTTCCTTTTTTTTTTTTTTTTTTTTTTTTGAGACAAAGTCTTGCTCTGTCACCCAGGCTGGAGTTCAGTGGCACTATCTCCGCTCACTGCAACCTCCGCCTTCTGGGTTGAAGCGATTCTCCTGCCTCAGCCTCCTGAGTAGCTGGGATTACAGGCACCTGCCACCATGCCCGGCTAATTTTTGTATTTTTAGTACAGACTGGGTTTCACCATGTTGGCCAGGCTGGTCTTGAACTCCTGATGTCTTGATCCACCTTCCTCGGTCTCCCAAAGTGCTGGGATTACAGGTGTGAGCCACCACGCCTGGCCCTGGCTCTCTGTTCTTTCTCTCCAGGATGCTGCCTGAGAGGAGGAGGTCATGAGCTACCTATCACAGGAATTTTCTTTTTTGAACTACCATGCCCACTAACATGCTGGCCAACACGGTGAAACCCTGTCTGTACTAAAAATACAAAAAAAAATTAGCCAGGCATGGTGGTTCACGCCTGTAATCCCAACTACTCGGAAGGCTGAGGCACAAGAATCGCTTGAATCTGGGAGACAGAGATTGCAGTGAGCCAAGATTGTGCCACTGCATTTGACCTGGGTGACACTGTAAGACTCTGTCCCCTCACCCTCTCCAAAAGAGGTGTGCCTATTTCAATTTTTTTTTTTTTTTTTTTTTTTTTTTTTTTTTAAATTTGAGACAGACTCTCATTTTGTTGCCCAGTCTGGAGTGCAATGGTGTGATCTCAGCTCACTGCAACCTCCACCTCCAGGGCTCAAACAACCCTCCTGCCTCAGCCTCTCAAGTAGCTGGGCCTACAGGCATGCACCCTCATGCCCAGCTAATTTTTTTATTTTTTGTAGAGACAGGGTTTCACCATGTTGCCCAGGCTGGTCTCAAACTTCGGGGCTCAAGTGATCTGCCTGGCTTGGCCTCCCTTCAAAGTGCTGAGATTACAGGCGTGAGCTACTGGACCCGGCCTCAATTTTCAGCAAAAGTGTATGAGTATGCTCCTATACCCTGGTCAACATTGAGGTTGTCAATCCTTAATTTCTTTTTTGCTGAACTTTTATATTTTAATTTTATTTATGTATTTATTTTGAGATAGAGTCTTGCTCTGTTGCCCAGGCTGGAGTGCAGTGGTGTGATCTCGGCTTACTGCAACCTCAGCCTACTGGGTTCAAGTGATTCTCCTGCCTCAGCCTCCCAAGTAGCTGGGATTACAGGCGCCCGCCACCATGTCTGGCTAATTTTTGTATTTTCAGTAGAGACGGGGTTTCACCCGCTCAGGCTAGTCTCGAACTTCTGACCTCAAGTGATCCACCCGCCTCAGCCTCCCAAAGTGTTGAGATTATAGGTGTGAGCCACTGCCTCCGGCCGATTTATTTATTTTTATTTTTATTTATTTATTTATTTTGAGATGGAGTTTCACTCTTGCCCAGGCTGGAGTGCAATGGCGTGGTCTCAGCTCACTGCAACCTCTGCCTCCCAGGTTCAAGTGATTCTCCTGCCTCAGCCTCCCAAGTAGCTGGGATTACAGGCGCCCGTCACCATGCCAGCTAATTTTTGTGTTTTTAGTAGAGACAAGGTTTCTACTAAAATGTTGACCAGGCTAGTCTGGAACTCCTGACCTCAGGTGATCCACCCACCTTGACCTCCCAAAGTGCTGGCATTACAGGTGTGAGCCATGGCGCCTGGCCTATATATTTATTTTTAAGAGACAGTCTAATTCTGCGGCCAGGCTGGAGTGCAGTGGTGTAACTGTAGCTCACTACAGCCTTGAACTGCTGGACTCAACCGATCTTCCTACCTCAGCCTCCTGAGTAGCTAGGACTTCAGGTGTGTGCATACCGAGCTAATTTCTTTTTCTCTTTTCTTTTCTTTTCTTTTTTTTTTTTTTTTTTTTGAGACAGGGTCTCACTGTATAGCTCAGGCTGGAGTGCAGTGGCATGATCACAGCTCAGTGTAGCCTTGACCTCCTGGGTCCAAACAATCCTCCTGCCTCAGCCTCCTGAGTAGCTGGGACCACAGAACCAGGCCTGGCTAATTTTTTGAATTTTTTTTTTTTTTTTTTTGAGACAAAGTCTCGCTCTTGTCCCCCAGGCTGGAGTGCAATGGTACGATCTCAGCTCACTACAAACTCCACCTCCCGGGTTCAAGCGATTCTCCTGCCTCAGCCTCCCGAGTAGCTGGGCTTATAGGCGCCTGCCACCACGCCCGGCTAATTTTTGTATTTTTAGGAGAGACGGGTTTCACCATGTTGGCCAGGCTGGTCTCGAACTCCTGATCTCGGGTGATCCACCCACCTTGGCCTCCCAAAGTGTCGGGATTACAGGCGTGAGCCACCGTGCCCAGCCAATTTTTTGATTTTTGAAACATTTCTGATATTCTGTTTAACTTTCTTTTTGCTTTGGCCAATCTTTCTTTCTCTTTCCTTCTTTCCCCCTCCCTAACCCTCCCTTCCTCTCCCCTCCCCAATTCTCCCCTCTCCAGTTCTCCCCTGTCCTCTCCTCTCTTCCCCTCTCCTTTTGGGACAGGGTCTCACACTGTTGCTCAGGCTGGAGTGCAGTGGTGCTATCATTGCTCACTGCAGCCTCAATCTCCTGGGCCCAAGTGATCCTTCTACCTCAGCCTCTCGAGCAGCTGGGACCGCAGGAGAGCACACCACTACACCTAGCTAATTTTTGTTTTGTTTTGTTTTTGTAGCGATAGAGTTTCTGTATAATGCCCAGGCTGGTCTGGAACTCCTGAGCTAAAATGATCCACCTTCTTTGGCCTCCCAAAGTGTTGGGATTACAGGCCTGAGCCACCCCGCCAGGCCTCTTTCTTTTCTTTTTCTTTTCTTCTTCTTTTTTTTTTTTTTTAAGCTGCTCCTTGCTGAGCAGGGCTAACTAGTAAGCAGTGGTCTGTCCCAATCCTTCTATTATGTTTCTTTTTCTTATTGCTTTGTAACAGCTTTTTGTATTTTGTTTATTTCATCAACCATTTCTTCCTAGATTGTAAATTGTCTTTCAACCTTACCTAAAGTTTGCCATAAAGAAGCTCTGTCAATTTTTAGCTGTTCTTTGAAGATTTTAAAACATTAATTGCTAAAAAGACAGGGACAACAGAAAACATGGGTGGGCTACAAAGTATAACAAAGTCTTGCATAGTCATTACCATTTTGATCCCTGGTTGCTTGCAAATGTGCTTCAAATCCCAGCTTGGGCACTTCCTGTCTGATTGTAGGGATTTTTTTTTTAATTTTTTTTTTTTAGAGATGGGCGTCTCAGGTTGGGCTCAGTGGCTCATGCCTGTAATCCCAACACTTTGGGAA
The DNA here is from genome assembly GCF_000001405.40 of Homo sapiens. Taxonomy (NCBI): domain Eukaryota; kingdom Metazoa; phylum Chordata; class Mammalia; order Primates; family Hominidae; genus Homo; species Homo sapiens. Next base: position 2,163,087 of record NT_167245.2, read on the forward strand.
GCTGAGGCAGGTGGGTCACCTGAGGTCAGGAGTTTGAGACTAGCCTGGCCAACATGTTGAAACCCTATCTCTACTAAAAATACCAGAATTAGCCGGGCGTGGTGGCACACACCTGTAGTCCCAGCTACTTGGGAGGCTGAGGTAAGAGAATCGCTTGAACCCGGGAGGCTGAGGTTGCCGTGAGCTGAGATCATGCAACTGCACTCCAGCCTGGGTGACAGAGTGAGAGACTCTGTTTCAAAAAAAAAAAAAAAAAGAGAGAGAGAGAGAAATGGGGGTCTCCCTCTGTCACCCAGGCTGGTGCGATCATAGCTCACTGTAGCCTCAAACTCCTAGTCTCAAGCGATCCTCCTGCCTCAGCCTCCCAAGTAGCTGGGGGTCACAGCTCTGAGCCACCTCGCCAGGCTGCAGGCAAATTTCTTAATCTTGCCGGGCTCCAGTCTTCCAGTCTATAAGGTGGGAATAACAAAATTTGCATATAGGAATTTGGGGAAACGTGTAGTTCTGGGTTTGGGTGAAGACCTCCACTTTTGTAGGGTTCATAAATCAAATCAGAGCAAATAGTTGGTGTCTTAAAAACTGTACTTATCTGGGTCTTCTAAGTAAACGGTTTGAGGAGTGGTGGAGGCAGAAATTAAGATTTACTGAGTACTTAGGGTCAAGTAAGGTGCACTGGATCGTGTTAATCGTTAACTCGTGGAAACCGCCCGGAGTGTGTATGCTTTCTTTCTTTTCTTTCCTTTTTTTTTTTTTTTGAGACGGAGTTTCACTCTTGTCGCCCAGGCTGGCGTGTAATGGCATGGTCCTGGCTCACTGCAACTCCGCCTCCAGGGTTCAAGCGATTCACCTGCCTCAGCCTCCAGAGTAGCTGGGATTACAGGTGCCCACCACCACGCCCGGCTAATTTTTGTATTTTTAGTAAAGACGGGGGTTTCACCATGTTGGCCAGGATGGTCTCGAACTCCTGACCTCGGGTGATTCGCCGCCTCGGCCTCCCAAAGTGCTAGGATTACAGGCGTGAGTCACCGCGCCCGGCCTGGAGTGTGTATTATCCCAATTTTACGGGGAGTAATTGTGCTCACTCGGCTCACCACCAAGTCGCCATAGCGCGCCTCCGCAAGGAAGCCCTCCAGGCACTTCTACTTTCCCGGACCCGCCTCCCGCTCCAGCCGGTTACACGCGCCGTTAGCAGCGTGGGCGGAGTTGGTTCTGCCTTCGCGGAACCAACTGGTCCAGCTTCTGGTGTCTCCCCTCGCTCAATTAAAAGCCAGCTCCTCTCCTTTCGGCTTCCCCACGGTGCCTTTCGGGATTTGTAGTCAGACGCGCTTCAGCCGGCTCTAAGGAGAGCAAAGGCAAGACTCCAATTCCCAGCATCCCCCGCGCCCGGAGAGTGCAGCGTCTATTCTCATCCTCTTCACTTTTCCACTCCTCCCCTTACCTCCCTTCTCTTCTGAATTCTCCATTCTGGGCTCTTTCCTGTGAAATCTTTCTTTGCTTTCCCCATCTTTTCCTCGCATTTTTTCACCATCTTTCCCTCAATCTCCAGGAGCCAATGCGAGACTTTGGCTCCGATTAAGCGACGGCCCGAGACTTGGGGTGCGCGAGGAGGATCGACAGAGTGGTGAGGGGACCTAGGAGGGCGGGAGTGGCAGAGGTATGAGAGAGAGAGAGGTGAGTGAGAGGCGAAGAGTGAGAGGAAGGCAGGGAGAAGCTAGGAGATCGGAAGGCGTGGGTCAGGGTGAATGACGTGAAGTAGACTTGGGAAGGGAAAAGAGGTGGCTTTAGATTTGGGAAGCATGGAGGGGAGAGGTTACCGCCGTACTTAGCAGAAGTGGGCTAAGAGATAGAAGATAGGAAGGACGGGCAGATTTGGAGCTTATAGACTGGTCTGACCAGGATGGGATGGAAGAGAGAGGTGTGGGCTCAATTTTCTTTGTCCCTGTTTAGCCAAAGATGAGACAAGTCATTGAAATACAAAATGATCTTGCAAACACTGGACAGTTAACAATTCTGTCACTTGGTAATTGAGGGAAGACTGGAGTTGAAGGGCAGAAATAGGGTGAGGAGGCAAGAAAGGGAGGGAGATTGGTCAGGTTTGGGAGAAACCAGAGGAGATGAGTGACATGGGAAAGGAGACCACAGAAAAGGTGGGGTTATTGTGGGGACTGATGGATCTGGAATCAGTTAGAAAGGTCAGGGGTGACACTGGCATGGATGGTGAGGTTGCACTTCTGACGTTTGCATTCCTCAGGTGATGGAGAGCACCCCTTCAAGGGGACTGAACCGAGTACACCTACAATGCAGGAATCTGCAGGAATTCTTAGGGGGCCTGAGCCCTGGGGTATTGGACCGATTGTATGGGCACCCTGCCACATGTCTGGCTGTCTTCAGGTGAGAAGCCCCTTCATGGCAGGGAAATGTAATGGGGTCTGCGGACTGGAATAAAATATCATAGGTAAAAGTGTAGCAGCCTGGAGTCGGGGTGGGGACTGGGAGCAAGGGTTGGAAATTGCTCTAAAGTGTGGAGGCCAAAACAGCAGGACTGGTAAAGTTGTGCTGGAGTGAGATGAGATGTTTGAGAGGTAATTGAGGGCAGAGATGCAGATACAATGCAGCTTCTGATACTAACCTTTGACCTCTGTCCCTGTACAGGGAGCTCCCATCCTTGGCTAAGAACTGGGTGATGCGGATGCTCTTTCTGGAGCAGCCTTTGCCACAGGCTGCTGTAGCTCTGTGGGTAAAGAAGGAATTCAGCAAGTAAGTCTCAGCCAGATACAAATTTCTCAACAGCTACATTTCCCAAACTGCTGTTCCTTGGAGCACTTCCAGGAAGTGTTAATAGATATATCACAAAACTTAAAAATAAATACATTTGGGAAACTCTGCATATTGCCTTTTCCCTTTTATTTATTTCCCAGCTGAGATCTTGCTTTCAAATGTATCTTCCCTCTTAAAGAGTTATGTGTGATATCTGTAATGAGGCTCTGATAAGTAATGCAGTAAAGAATTTGTCTTAGGAAGATACTAATTTCACTCTGTGGAACAGTGTTCCAAGGGTCAGCAAGTTCAGAACAGGCAGAGATGGTGGCTTTTATGGGCCTCCTTTTTGTTTTCCAAATACCCTACTCACCTCTCTGCTTCTGTTCCAGGGCTCAGGAGGAAAGTACAGGGCTGCTGAGCGGCCTCCGGATCTGGCACACCCAGCTGCTCCCAGGCGGGCTCCAGGGCCTCATCCTCAACCCCATTTTCCGCCAGAACCTCCGCATTGCCCTTCTGGGTGGGTATGTCACTTCTCTCTCTTCCTAAGCTAGGGCAGGGGAACTGCTGCTTATTAAACCACTAATTAAACTTTGGGAGGGGGAGCTCCTGGGGGCCTCCCCAGAACCTTGTGGTCTCCACGTTGGGAACTCCTTTAGGAGTAAGTTGGACCAGATGTAGTGTGTGGTGTAGGAAATGTCCCCCACTCATGGCCCCTGAGGATAAGGGTGGAAAGATGGCAGAGGGCAGCAAGGAACACAGACAGGGTTCCTTACTCTTTTTTTGTTGTTCTGTTTTGTTTGTTTTTGAGACAGAGTCTCACTCTGTCACCAAGGCCAGAGTGCAGTGGTGTAATCTTGACTCACGGCAGCCTCTACCTCCTGGGTTCAAGTGATTCTCCTGCCTCAGCCTCCTGAGTAGCTGGGATTACAGGCACCCACCACGACGCCAGGCTAATTTTTTGTATTTTTAGTAGAGATGGGGTTTCGCCATGTTGGCCAGGCTGGTCTTGAACTCCTGACCTCAAGTGATCCGCCCATCTCGGCCTCCCAAAGTACAGGGATTACAGGTGTGAGCCACTGCGCCTGGCCAGGGTTCCTTACTCTTGGCCCATCCTGGCCGTAGGGGGAAGGCCTGGTCTGATGACACAAGTCAGCTGGGACCAGACAAGCATGCCCGGGACGTTCCCTCCCTTGACAAGTACGCCGAGGAGCGATGGGAGGTAAGCACTTGGGAGTGTGTGTGTCTCTGCTTGTGCTTCTTCTTCCCATGGCCCTTGGGGCATGGTCTCCCTGTTCTCTTCTGTTCTTCAGGTGGTCTTGCACTTCATGGTGGGCTCCCCCAGTGCAGCTGTCAGCCAGGACTTGGCTCAGCTCCTCAGCCAGGCTGGGCTCATGAAGAGGTGAGGAAGCCGGAGGTACAGCAGCTCTCTGCTGTGCCATCTCCTTGGGTTCCTAAGAAATGGTATCTGGGGCTAGTCAAGATCAGAGGACATTAGCTGGAAAAGGCAAGCTGAGTAGAATATAGCCAGAGATACCAAGAAAAAACGTGAGTGGACAAGTGGGGATAGTAGTCTTTCTCTGCATATCACCATCATTGTCCCGGTCTTTGTCTCTAGTACTGAACCTGGAGAGCCGCCCTGCATTACTTCCGCTGGCTTCCAGTTCCTGTTGCTGGACACCCCGGCTCAGCTCTGGTACTTTATGTTGCAGTATTTGCAGACAGCCCAGGTGAGGAGGCAGGGCCACTTAACCAGCATGCTCTGCTCCTCTCAGGTCTCACTGAGAGACTCCTGCCTACAGACTGTTCCCTGATTTTCTCTTCTCTGTCCCTTTCTTCCCATTGTCTCCCTCCCATCCCTCCTCCTTTGTCTCTGCCTCTTTCTCCCTAGAGCCGGGGCATGGACCTGGTAGAGATTCTCTCCTTCCTCTTCCAGCTCAGCTTCTCTACTCTGGGCAAGGTAAGCAGGGGGCTGAAAGGTATAGAGATGGGAAGGGGAAAGCAAGTTGTGGGGCAGTAGAGTAGACTGAGAAGATAAGAATGAAAACAGAACGAACAGAGATGGAGAAAGAAAGAATGAATGTATGGGGTTGGGGGTGGGTGGGTTGTGTTTTGGACCCCAGCTGGAAACCTCTGTTCCTCAGGATTACTCTGTGGAAGGTATGAGTGATTCTCTGTTGAACTTCCTGCAACATCTGCGTGAGTTTGGGCTTGTTTTCCAGAGGAAGGTATGAGCGCCTAGATAAGTGGCTTCCAGGGAAGAAACAGGGTGGTGTGTTGCCTTTGCCTTTAAAAAGGAGTGGGGTCTTGGGGCAGTAGCAGGAAGCAGTTGCCAGAACTGAATACTTGGGTCTCTCGGGGGAGAGAAGTTGGGGGTTGAGGTTCTGCATCTTGGGAGGGATCTGATATTTCAGGCAGGAAGATGTAAGGCAGTGACTTCTGAGACAAGGCATCTGCCTTTCTATTCTTTTCAGAGGAAATCTCGGCGTTACTACCCCACACGCCTGGCCATCAATCTCTCATCAGGTGTCTCTGGAGCTGGGGGCACTGTGCATCAGCCAGGTTTCATTGTCGTGGAAACCAATTACCGACTGTATGCCTACACGGGTGAGGCGGGACAGAGGGCCCCTGGAAGAGGAGGTTGGGGGTGAGGGAATGCCAGTTTATGTTCGTGTTTACCTGGCAGTCTACAGAGCTCTCTGACATTTCTCATGACACTTGAAAGAAGGGCTTGAGGGAGTCTGGGTGTGGGGGTGGCCTCCTCATCCTCTTTCTATCCCTGGCTCAGAGTCGGAGCTGCAGATTGCCCTCATTGCCCTCTTCTCTGAGATGCTCTATCGGTTCCCCAACATGGTGGTGGCGCAGGTGACCCGGGAGAGTGTGCAGCAGGCAATCGCCAGTGGCATCACAGCCCAGCAGGTATTCCCACTTGGGAGAGGTGGAGCAGGAAGACAGGCTGCACTTGGGCTGCGGGGGACAGGGGTCACATTATGGAAGGCTAGCTCTGAGTCTGTTATAATAGGTGGTGGTGAGTTGTCTGTGTTTGAAGAGAAATGAAGGCTTTGGGTGTGAGAATAGGTAGACCCTTGAGGGGAAAAAAACATGGAGGGAGGAGGTATAGATCTGGATTTGTGCCTCGGCACTGCCACATCCTAACTGCGTAAACTAGACATAGTTGTTTTGCCTCTGTGAGCCTCAGTTTCCTCATCTAGTAAATGACAGTTCTTACCTCAGGGTTGCCGGGATAATTCATTGGAAGAATAGGGGCAAAGCATTGAGCTCAGCACCTGTCATGCAATAAATGCTAAAAAAAGAAAATAGTAGCTGCTGCTATTTTAAAGAAAGAAAAACAAAACATTACTGGAAAGGGCGAATGTGCCAGAAAAGGAATATCCCACGTTGCTGGGAGCAGCAACGTGGGATAACAGCTGAACTGGGATGGGTGGAGTTGATGACAGGAGTTATGAGTTTTTAGAATAAGCTGATGTTCCAGTGACATTAGGTGACAGCTCAGATGGCTTTCCTGCCTTCTTGCTGGAGCCCTCATGCCATTCTTGTCTGTTTTCCTAGATAATCCATTTCCTAAGGACAAGAGCCCACCCAGTGATGCTCAAACAGGTATAGACAGGCTCCAAGATGTCAGAGGCTGGCAGCTGGTGATGACATGATGGAAAAGAAAAAGGGGCATCCAAATCTGGGGAAGAAACAGAGGGCCGGGTTGTCTGGGGCAGTATTCTGAGTCCCTACAGTCAACCCTTGCTCCTTGCAGACACCTGTGCTGCCCCCCACCATCACCGACCAGATCCGGCTCTGGGAGCTGGAAAGGGACAGACTCCGGTTCACTGAGGGTGAGTAGCTTCTGGTGGCCAAGTCTTGGTCATTGGCCAGAGAAAGGGCAGACAGTTCAGTCTGCATTTTATTTTTTACTTCATGGACTAGGAGAGAAAAGCTGGCAAGACAGTTTTTTGTTGTTTTGGGGTGAGTCGGTAGTAAACAAATCGTCCCAAATCAATGCACTTTGGATTTGGCTAGGTGAGGGAATAATTCACAGTAATTTGTATTAGGCCTTTCTGAATATGGCTGGATCACACTGGTGTTAAGATGAACCCCTGAGCAGACAAGCATAGAGAATTAGTTTGTAAAATTGCGGTGGGGGCAAGCCCAGACCGCGTCCAGGGCTGCCACCAAGGAGCTGGGGGGATTCCCAATAGGAGCTCCGAGCTTCACTTTCTCGTCTTCTCCCCGCGCCCCTCCCGTCCTGCCGACCCCAGGTGTCCTGTATAACCAGTTCCTGTCGCAAGTGGACTTTGAGCTGCTGCTGGCCCACGCGCGGGAGCTGGGCGTGCTCGTGTTCGAGAACTCGGCCAAGCGGCTCATGGTGGTGACCCCGGCCGGGCACAGCGACGTCAAGCGCTTTTGGAAGCGGCAGAAACATAGCTCCTGAGAGCGCGGGACTTGGACACGGACCTCGGCGGGCGGGACTGGGCGGGGCGGGGCATCAGAACTCAGGTGTTTTTTATTTACGCGTCAGGGCTTTTCTTGTTTAATAAAGTTATGATAGCTAGCAGTGCGGTCCCGGGCGCCTCCCCGTGGGGTTTGCCTTCGCGGCGGACTCGCTCCTCTGGTCTACAGCCTTTGGACCGGTAGGGAGAGGGTGGGGCCAAAGCCAGCTGCTGCGCATGCGCCGGCCGGGGCCCCGCCCCCATGCGCCGCGCGGCTCCAGGGCCACGTTCCAGGGTCGGGTTTGGTGGATTCCTCAGTCCCTGCCGCCGCGGGGCGCCCTGGGATAGCGGCGGGGCCTCCTGGTGAGCGCGCGCCGGGGCGGCCTCCGGGAAGTGGGAGACGCTGCGGGTCCTGGGCCCAGGCCTTGGGATGGGCGGGAAGGCCTGGCCGCGCCGGGCTGTGGGCACTGCAGGAGGCCCCTGTGCAGGTGGAGATCGCCGCGGCCCTGGCGGGACTCCTTGCTGGCTCTTGGGCGCGCTGATGCCCATCATCTCCCTGAGTTTCTGAGCCCTATCTCTCATGTGTCAGTGGTCACCGCCGAATCCAGACACTCCGGCCCTGTTCCGGAAGAGCCCTGATATCCGTGGCTCCATGGCGCTGTCTGTCGATACCATGCACTCTAGCTCTCAAGGAGGAAAGGTTTTGTGGAAGGGAATAGAGACTTGGAATAACAGACCTGTGCTAATTAGAGACAGGAAAGATGGAACAAGGGGAGTGACCCTTCTCCACCCCCATATCCTAATGTGCTCTCTCTCTATCCAGAACAGATCTCGGCCCCTTTCCAAACACTCCTGATGCCTCATTTGCCTCTCGCCTCTTTTCGACCACCATTTTGGGGGCTGAGGCACTCACGGGGCCTCCCCAGGTTTCACTCCGTTTCTACACAGTCGGAGCCCCATGGATCTCCCATCTCCCGGAGGAACCGTGAAGCCAAACAGAAGCGCCTGCGAGAGAAGCAGGCGACTCTGGAGGCTGAGATAGCAGGGGAGAGCAAGGTTAGGGGTCAGACAGCTTGTCCTTGGGTTTCTGAGACTTGAGAGGGGCTGGAGGAGACCGGCTGAAATGCAGTCTGGGGTATACTGGATCCCAGCCTCTTCTGCTTTCTCTTCTCAGTCACCTGCAGAATCCATTAAGGCCTGGAGGCCTAAGGAGTTAGTATTGTATGAAATCCCTACGAAACCCGGTGAAAAGAAAGGTAAGTAGAATAAGTAAGAAGGCCTTTTCTTTCACATATGTGTTGCCCATTTGGCCTGCCGAAATGCAGCCTGGGAACAAGTTCAGTGGTTAGTGGAGCTCTCCTCTGCCTTCACAGATGTCTCTGGGCCCCTGCCTCCTGCATACAGCCCCCGATATGTTGAGGCTGCCTGGTACCCGTGGTGGGTACGAGAGGGCTTCTTCAAACCAGAATATCAGGTTAGTATCTGGCAGGGAGGGGTCCTAAATTGTCTCCAGGACAGAGTGGCCCTTGAATACAACTGGACCTCAGAGTTGAGCTCACATTGTAGACCTTGTCTTCTTTCTGGCTCTGGTGTCTCCAAAGATTTCTCTTGGCAGGTTCCCCCTGGCCAATTCCCTCCTCTCCACTCTCCTCTTATTTGCAGGACAGTTCTTCCTTGAAGTTCTTTCTGTTCTGGAGACAGTAGAGGGTGCTCTTTCCCCAATCCAATTCTCTCTTGCCCCTTTGACTTTTTTTCTTCCTCTAGGCCCGGCTGCCCCAAGCTACAGGGGAGACCTTTTCCATGTGTATCCCACCTCCCAATGTCACTGGCTCCCTGCACATTGGCCACGCACTCACGGTGGCCATACAGGATGCCCTCGTGCGCTGGTGAGAGGGGAGTGGGGGCTGCTTGAGTTCTTGGAAGGGAAATAGGAAGGGCAGGAATGAGTGAGGATAAACATTTAAGCTCAGGGGCTCACAGGAGGGCATTTTTGTTGCAGGCACCGGATGCGTGGGGATCAAGTGCTGTGGGTCCCTGGTTCAGATCATGCAGGAATTGCTACACAAGTATGTCTTTTGTTACCTGTTCCTTTTCTTGGGCAAAAGCAATTTCTTCCCCCAAAGCAACCTGACTCTGTTCATTTGCCCTGAATCCAACTGCAGGCTGTGGTGGAGAAACAACTGTGGAAGGAACGGGGAGTGAGGAGACATGAGCTGAGCCGGGAGGCCTTCCTTAGGGAGGTGTGGCAGTGGAAGGAGGCGTGAGTATGATGGGCAGGACTCGGGGGGCCCAGATGGCAGATTTGGTTTCTTGCCTCCCACCACTATCACTCCTGACTTGTAATCCTTGGCTCTTCCCGACACAGCTCTGACTTCCTCAGAGATGGAAGCTCTGGAGCCTGTTAACATTTGGTGGAGTTTCTAAGCCTTATGTGTGTGGATATTATATATGCATTAGAATATTCGTGTGTGTGTGTGTGTGTGTGTGTGTATTTATATATATATATATATATATTTTCTTTCTCTTTACTTACCCCAATTTCTCTTGTCTAAATCTCACCTTCTTCCACTCGCCCATTCCCACCTTTCAATTCCCATGGAATTACCCTCATTCTTCTGGGTCTGTTATCTCATGCCATCTCTGTGAAGCATCCTTGGATTTCCCACAATATGGCTATCCCTCCTCTCTTCCTATAGAATCTTTTGCCTCTTTTAATATCTTAGAAAACCCCATACTGGGTTTGTAAGTCCATTTCTATTAGCCTCTAGAGGCTAGATCAATGCCATCCTCACTTGATTTTCCTCCAACACCTGGCATTGCTGGGGGCATCGCTGGGCCTGGTACATAGGAAGTGCTTGGGAAGTGTTTGCTGACAAGGATCTCTCTGGGCACAGGAAAGGTGGAGAGATCTGTGAGCAGCTGCGAGCTCTGGGTGCCTCCCTGGACTGGGATCGAGAGTGTTTTACCATGGATGTTGTGAGTGTTCTGTGCCTTGGTCCCTGTGAGTGATGGGCGATGTTTAGGGATCTGTGTGGGGCAGGGAGGAAGCAATGCCTGGGTCCCTGAGCAGGGTGATGGGCTGAGAAGTGGCTCTTAGAGGTGGACACTCAGGTCATTCCAGGGCTCCTCAGTGGCTGTGACTGAAGCTTTTGTGCGGCTCTACAAGGCGGGGTTGCTGTACCGGAACCATCAGCTTGTCAACTGGTCATGTGCTTTAAGATCAGCCATCTCGGACATTGAGGTGAGGCGGAGAGAGGGAAGCAGGTTTGTGAGAGCTCTGAGGCAGAGTGGTCAATGATTAAGAGCTCAGACTCTGGAGCCAGGGTGCCTGGATTCAAATCTGATGCCTGCCTGTTACAGCTGTGTGGCTTTTGGCAGGCCGTTTAGTCTCTTTAAGCCTCAGCTTCCTCAGTCTGTAAATTAGAGATGATGGAATGCTTGCATCGTGGGGGTGTTGTAAAAATTAAATGAGAATTCACATAGGTGCTTGGCAAGATACCTGGCCATGGCTTAAGTGCTCAGTGAATATTTATTAGAAGTGTGACTGCACGAGCATTGGGTGAGGGCAGAGGGAGGTAGCTCCCGAATCCTCCAAATGGCTTTTAGATGGATTGCAGGGAGGCTGGGCAGATGGATGAGTGGCAGAGTGAAGCCTGGGCATGAGCCTTGCAGAAAGGCTGCCCTCTGACCCAGCTTTCTCGGTGCCTCCAGGTGGAGAACCGGCCCCTGCCTGGCCACACACAGCTTCGACTGCCTGGCTGCCCCACCCCCGTGTCTTTTGGCCTCCTATTTTCTGTTGCCTTCCCCGTGGATGGAGAGCCTGGTGAGCATAGTACTCTGCAGGGTCACCCGTTTACCTCCATTTTTCCTGTTTTCTGAAGCCCATGTTGGGCTGCTAGGAACCCATCAGTCCATCTCTCACATGTACCTTGGTAGTGTTCACCTCAGCGTGGGCACTTACCCAGGGTCTTCTGGGGGATGTACAAAAAGTGCATGTGGTCACTGCCCTTTGAGAGTGTGGTGTGATTCTTCAGGAGTGCGCTACCCAGGAAAGAGATCAGTTCTAAGGTATGTTTTGTTTTGTTTGTTTGTTTGTTTGTTTTGAGACAGAGTCTCACTCTGTCACCCAGGCTGCAGTGCAATGGCACGATCTCGGCTCCTGCAACCTCTGCTTCCCAGGTTCAAGCGATTCTCCTGTCTCAGCCTCCTGAGTAGCTGGGATTACAGGCGCGTGCCACCAGGCCTGGCTAATTTTTGTATTTTTAGTAGAGACGGGGTTTCACCATGTTGGTCAGGTTGGTCTCGAACTCCTGACCTCGTGATCTGCCCGCCTTGGCCTCCCAAAGTGCTGGGATTATGGGCGTGAGCCACTGCACCTGGCCTCTAAGGTGTGGTTTTTACGGTAAATGTTCTGAAGAGCTCAGAGAAAGGGAAGACAGATGAGCTGGAATTGTCAGTGGAAGCTTCTTGTAGGAGCTGGTGCTCCCCCTGAGGAATGTACAGCATTTGTGATTAGGACACTGAGAATCCCCAGTGTCCTCTGGGCACCCAGCAAGAATTCTATTATAGTTGCTTTAATTAATGCTGCCCCCATTTCTTCCATGCAAATTATCAGGGAATTCTTTAGCACCAGAGACCCTCTCAGACCTCTGGTCATCAGCTTATGGGAAACCCTGGGTTCCTATAAACACTGCTCCTACTTTTTTCTAGTCACTCCTGGGGGCCTCTTCCACCTTGACTACTCCCTGCCCCTTCCCCTTTCCAGTTCTACTGCCTTTAGCTATGTTGGCAGTGAGAGGTGAGGATGATGACCAGCTGTAAGTGTTTAAATGTTTATCTTCAGATGCAGAGGTTGTGGTAGGAACCACAAGGCCAGAGACGCTGCCTGGAGATGTGGCTGTGGCCGTTCATCCAGACGACTCGCGATACACAGTAATACCCAGTGCGCTCCTGCACTCTGGCCCGCCCCGCCAATGGCCTTCTCTTCTCTTGGGTTTTAAATGGTGGCTCTTTCTCTCTTGCTTCTACTTCCTTTTCCTGAGACTTCTCTCAGTGGTTCTGATTGGACTCCCTCCTCCTCTTATAGTTTTTCTGTAGCTCAGGGGTTGACAAACTGGCCCATGGTCCTAATCCAGCTTGCGGCCTTTTTTTTTGAGACAGAGTCTCGCTCTGTCACCAAGGCTGGAGGGCAGTGGTGTGATCTTGGCTCACTGCAACCTCCACCTCCTGGGTTCAAGCAATTCTCCTGCCTCAGCCTCCTGAGTAGCTGGGAGCGTGGCACCATGCCCGGCACGTGCCACCACACCCAGCTAATTTTTTGTATTTTTACAAAAATTAGTAATTAATTTTTTTTAAGTAATGTAATTTTTAAGTAATGTTATTTAGTAGAGACGGAGTGTCACTGTGTTAGCCAGGATAGTCTCGATCTCCTGACCTCGTGATCTGCCCACCTCGGCCTCCCAAAGTGCTGGGATTACAGGCGTGAGCCGCCGCGCCTGGCTGCTTGCAGCCTTTATATTATCTATGGCTGCTATTATATACCCTCTCCAGCTCTGCTGCAGTGGCATAATAGAGTAATTGTGCTGAGAATGAATTTGTCTCTAGGCCCAAAAGCCTAAAATATCTACATTCTGGCCCCTTAAGAGTTTGCTGACCTTGCTCTAGCTTGCTACCTTCCACTTTCTACCTTCTTATTCCTGGGGTTCTCACGCCCCAGCCCAGACCCTTCCAACCCTCACAGGTGCCTGTCCTTGATCCCTCTCCCTTCCCTTCAGCATCTACACGGGCGACAGCTTCGTCACCCCTTGATGGGGCAGCCTCTTCCCCTCATCACAGACTATGCTGTTCAGCCACATGTGGGCACGGGTGAGTGGAAGTCAGGGGAGGGAGAGAAAGTTGGGGGTCCTGGAGGAGAGGGGAGGGAACCAGGAGGAAGAGGAAGGTGGGAGTGGGAGATCCTCATATAGGGTGGTCTGAGTGGGGAATGGGAGGGAGGCACAGACAGAGAAAGTCGCAGGGGCTGGGGCGGTGCAGGTGATGGGGCGGTGCAGGTGATGATGATACATCTGGAAAAGCAAAAGCCAAGGTCAGGTTCAGTACTCACCATGGCTGTGCTCCCCAAGGGGCAGTGAAGGTGACTCCAGCTCACAGTCCTGCCGATGCTGAGATGGGGGCCCGACATGGCTTGAGCCCCTTGAATGTCATTGCGGAGGATGGGACCATGACCTCTCTCTGCGGGGACTGGCTGCAGGTGGTACCACCCTATGTTACCCCATCCTTTGGGGGCTCTCTGTCCCCCTAATCCTCCTCCTAGTTTCTTATTTCTCTAGAGGCCTTCAGTCTTTACTCTTGCCGCTTTTTCTCCAGGGTCTTCACCGGTTTGTGGCCCGGGAAAAGATAATGTCTGTGCTGAGTGAACGGGGCCTGTTCCGGGGCCTCCAGAACCACCCCATGGTACTGCCCATCTGCAGGTAACCTCATTTTAACTCCTTTACTAAGGGCTACCCCAAAAGGGAATGTATGGAGCTTAAGGGTGACAATAGGATGGGCTCTGCACCCCTCCGTTAGAATACGAGCTCCGTGTCGGTTTTATTCGCTATTGTATCCTCAGTACCAAGGGCCTGGCATGGCATGGGGTCTTGTGCCCCTGGGAGAAGTCACAGGGCCGGAAGAGCAGTGGACTCACCCTGTCTCTCTTTCAGCCGTTCTGGGGATGTGATAGAATACCTGCTGAAGAACCAGTGGTTTGTCCGCTGCCAGGAAATGGGGGCCCGAGCTGCCAAGGTGAGGCTGCAGTGTAGGAAGGACTGGGGCCAGGGGTTGGGGGAGCTCCCTGAGAATTGGAATGAAGAAATGGGAAGCAGGAGACCTCCTGCCCTGAAGACCTCTCCAGCTGTGGTAACTGAGAGGATGTGTGGGATGGAGGCTGGGCGGCCCAGCAAGGGCTGGCTCATATCCTTACTCAAGCCCAGAATCTTGGCAAGAGGCTTGGGAGGTCCTTTCTGAGTTTTAAAATGACCTCAGAGGCCACTCGTCCTATCTGTGGAGGTGCGGCCGTGCAGGAAGGGCAACATTGTCTAAAGTCCCCTTTCTCTCCAGGCTGTGGAGTCGGGGGCCCTGGAGCTCAGTCCCTCCTTCCACCAGAAGAACTGGCAGCACTGGTTTTCCCATATTGGGTAAGGGTAGGGTAAGGGGAGCTCTTGTGGAGATGGGGAGGGGGGACTGACTGGTTATTCTAAGACTTCACGAATGTCCTCCCGGCAGGGACTGGTGTGTCTCCCGGCAGCTGTGGTGGGGCCATCAGATTCCAGCCTACCTGGTTGTAGAGGACCATGCGCAGGTGGGTAGGAAGAAGCACCCGGAGGGCCGAGTGTGGCACAGAGCACCTAGCCCAGGAGTCAGAGCTCCGCAGGGCCAAGTCCCGCTCCTGCCTGGTCATGTGCTTCATGCTCATAGTCATGTAACCTTCTGCGCGATCAAGGCTCCCTGAAGTGGCATTTCTTTATCTCACCCCTGGAGGAACCTGGCCACTCTAAGACCACATGAGGACGTGAAAACCAAGTGACATTTACACCTGTCAGCTGTTCTTCCTCACTCTCCCCAACCCCTTCCTACTTTTGCAGGGAGAAGAGGACTGTTGGGTGGTCGGGCGGTCAGAGGCTGAGGCCAGAGAGGTAGCAGCGGAACTGACAGGGAGGCCAGGGGCAGAGCTGACCCTGGAGAGGGGTGAGTGCCTGAGCTGGGGAGGGATGTACAGGGGAGCGGGGGCCTGGGCATCTGGGCCTTTGAGGGGAACAGATCCCAAGATACAGAAGGTAGGGTCAGGAAAGTTGGGAATGGAGCCAAAGGGGACAGCCCTGGTCTCTGGGGGTGGGGGTTGGCCTAGAATGGTGGCAGCAGTGGTCTGAGGTCCTAGAAGCCAAGGTTCCAACTGTCCCCATTCTTTTTCTGTTTCCCAGATCCTGATGTCCTAGACACATGGTTTTCTTCTGCCCTGTTCCCCTTTTCTGCCCTGGGCTGGCCCCAAGAGGTGAGGTGGGTTGAGAGGGCGAAAGTGAAGGGGAAACGATAAGGAAGGGATGGCTGGGCCCCCACAGAGGCTTGAGGGGGGCCTGGGGCCTGGGCCTCTTACTGCTCCTCTTCCCCCTAGACCCCAGACCTTGCTCGTTTCTACCCCCTGTCACTTTTGGAAACGGGCAGCGACCTTCTGCTGTTCTGGGTGGGCCGCATGGTCATGTTGGGGACCCAGCTCACAGGGCAGCTGCCCTTCAGCAAGGTAAGAGCCCTTCAGTGCCCTGCCGCTTTCTGTGACTCCAGTGTTCCCCAAACCTTGTCCTCCCTTCTAACCCCTAATGTGGTCCTTTCCACGTTGCTGATTCCTTTTTCCTAATTCACTTCCTACCCTACCCCCAAAAGTATGGAGGCCAGAGATCCCAAGGCACCTCCAAGGAAACCCCCCTCTGTTGACCCCTCCCTGCCCCCAGGTGCTTCTTCATCCCATGGTTCGGGACAGGCAGGGCCGGAAGATGAGCAAGTCCCTGGGGAATGTGCTGGACCCAAGAGACATCATCAGTGGGGTGGAGATGCAGGTGAGGACGAAGCACCCACTAGAGGGACAAGGTTTGCAGGGTTTGCAGGAGAGAGGAAGGCAGGCTGAGGGAGGAGTGAGGCCAGCAGGTGTGACCCTTGTAGAGGCAGGGCCTTCGACCTGGGTCGTGAATTGCCCCCTTCCATCCCCAGGTGCTGCAGGAAAAGCTGAGAAGCGGAAATTTGGACCCTGCAGAGCTGGCCATTGTGGCTGCAGCACAGGTGAGTCATCGCTGCCTGCCCCCCACCAGCTCTAGCTCACCACCTCTGGCTTCCTCTGCAACCCAGGTCCTGGCCCTGCAGCCACAAAGGCATCTGCCACCCTTCTTCTTCCTCTGGTTGCAGAAAAAGGACTTTCCTCACGGGATCCCTGAGTGTGGGACAGATGCCCTGAGATTCACACTCTGCTCCCATGGAGTTCAGGGTAAGCCTGGGCGAGGGGTGTCGGGGTGAGCAGAGGGCAGCGGGCACCTGTGCAGGGGCAGGGCAGGGGCAGGACTTCTGGTGCTGCTGCCACCTACATGCAGACTACCTCGATTCTCCCCTTCCAGCGGGCGACTTGCACCTGTCAGTCTCTGAGGTCCAGAGCTGCCGACATTTCTGCAACAAGATCTGGAATGCTCTTCGCTTTATCCTCAATGCTTTAGGGGAGAAATTTGTGCCACAGCCTGCTGAGGAGGTAAGAGAAAACAGAGGTGCTTGGGAGTAGGGTAGTCAGGTGTCAGAGGGCCAAGGTGGCATCTGGAAGGAAAGGAGGCAGGGGAGGGGGAGTCAGGCCATCCTGCCCCCTCTGCCTGCAGCTGTCTCCCTCCTCCCCGATGGATGCCTGGATCCTGAGCCGCCTTGCCCTGGCTGCCCAGGAGTGTGAGCGGGGCTTCCTCACCCGAGAGCTCTCGCTCGTCACTCATGCCCTGCACCACTTCTGGCTTCACAACCTCTGTGACGTCTACCTGGTGAGTGAGGCTGGGGGAGGCTTGGTATTCCCATGCCTGCTTCTAATTCCTCTGGAAATTTCCAAGGCAGAGAGCTCTGGAGTTAATAAGTTCCCAATTGTCCCCTCAGTTAGGAGAGGAGAGGAGACGAGGGAGTCTCAGTTCCCCTCTTCCTGGGACTGGTTTTGGCAGTGCAGCCCAGGCACTGTTGCCTGCCTGTCACCTGGGGAGAGGAGGAGGAGGGAGACTTCTAGAAATGTCTGACAAGTCGGTGTCAGAAGGCAGAGGGGAATTTTTTCAGTCCCTGTAGTTGCTGAGTTTGGCCCATGGGCAGGCTGCGTGCTGAGAGAGGCCTGGGAGGGACTAGCAGCGGTCTTTAGACCAGGGGTTCTCACGCTGTCCTACGTCCAAAGCACCTGGAGGGCTTGTTGACCGTGGATCCCCCCCGCTCCACTGCCACCCCAGAGTGGCTCCTTTAGCAGGTTGGGGTGGGGGTGGGTGGTGTAATGAATATTCATTTCTTGTCCCAAGTGGTGCTGCTGCTGCTGGCTGTGGACCACTGCCCTAGCTCAGCCTTTTAAAAACCTCTGTCCCCTGTTGATAAGCAAAAAACTCAATGATTTTTTTCCCTAAACTACATGTTTCCCTGGAAATCCTGTCCCTGTGTACTGCAGAGAATTGCTGTCCTGGAGTCCCCTTCTTTGTGCTGAGTGTGTCCTGGGACTGTGGATCATATCAGAAGTGCTAAGTGCTTCTGCCTGTCCCTCTCTCCCAGGACCCATGGCCTGCCCCGCTGGCGGGTAGCAGTGGCTGTAGGGAGGAGGGCTGTGGCCCTGGACCTGTCCTCTGACCATTGGCTTCCTCTCCAGGAGGCTGTGAAGCCCGTGCTGTGGCACTCGCCCCGCCCCCTGGGGCCCCCTCAGGTCCTGTTCTCCTGCGCTGACCTCGGCCTCCGCCTCCTGGCCCCACTGATGCCCTTCCTGGCTGAAGAGCTCTGGCAGAGGCTGCCCCCCAGGCCTGGTTGCCCCCCTGCCCCCAGCATCTCGGTTGCCCCCTACCCCAGCGCCTGCAGCTTGGTGAGTCCCAAGCACCTTGGAGTGGGTCTGTGGGTGAATGGGGGGGAGCACCTTCTGAAGGGGTTTGCTGCAGGGGGCTCATCTGCAGGAATGGTTCGTACTTTACTGTGGAGCCCTGGGGAAGATGGATTGTTCCTGCAGGGTTGCTGCGATGACCCTAGGGTCTTGAGGGACAGTATTAGCATAGTGCTCAAGAGCAGGACTCTGTTGCTAGACTGCTATTTTTGAGCTGTGTGATCGAGCCTCAGTTTCCCGCATGTTTAAACTAGGAACAGTAATAGTATATGTTATGGTTGTGATGAGGGTTGGATAAGTTAGTAATAGGGTGTCCCCAAAATCTCAGTGCAGCTTTAATAACTTCAGAAGGATAAATGCTATGAACTCACCCAAAAATTATTTTAAAATTTAACTATTTAAATTTATACTTATTTGGTTTTGAGTTTTGACTAATTCATTTTAAATTCTAATTTATTTTTGGTTGGCCATTTCAATCACAGCAACTAAACAGGCATCAAACACTGATCATCTAAAACCTCTTAAATGACGCCTCACTTTTTGTCATGTTCCTTGAGATAGTGGATTTTCTGTGGTGCTGAGGACAGATCTCATTGCCCTAAGGAGATGGGGTGGATGGGTCGAGAAGAGAGCCAGCAGGGTTGGTATGAGTCTCCCAGGAGCCCCTTTGCCAATTCTGGGTCCCCCCCATTGCCAGGAGCACTGGCGCCAGCCAGAGCTGGAGCGGCGCTTCTCCCGGGTCCAAGAGGTCGTGCAGGTGCTAAGGGCTCTCCAAGCCACGTACCAGCTCACCAAAGCCCGGCCCCGAGGTGAGGCAAGGCGGGTCCTGGGCTCGGATCCCTGCAGGAAAAGGGGGCTGGTGGGGAAAAGAGCAGAGCCTGAAGGGCCAACCCCCCCGTTAGGAGGTGCAGGGTAGGAAGGGAGGCAGGAGCTGAGGCCTTGCCCCTGACAGTTTCTTTCTTTCCAGTGCTGCTGCAGAGCTCAGAGCCTGGGGACCAGGGCCTCTTCGAGGCCTTCTTGGAGCCCCTGGGCACCCTGGGCTACTGTGGGGCTGTGGGCCTGTTACCCCCAGGCGCAGCAGCTCCCTCCGGCTGGGCCCAGGCTCCACTCAGTGACACGGCTCAAGTCTACATGGAGCTGCAGGTGACCAGAGGGGATGGGGAGGGTTAGGGCAGGCTTGGGAAGCATGCTGGGAGGAAGGGAGGGGCTGGCTCTATAAAGTAGGGGAAGGGACCTTCTAATGGAGGATGGAGGCCTGGCAGCAGGCGGATGTCTGAGCCTTTTCTCCCTGTTCTTCCCCAGGGCCTGGTGGACCCGCAGATCCAGCTACCTCTGTTAGCCGCCCGAAGGTACAAGTTGCAGAAGCAGCTTGATAGCCTCACAGCCAGGACCCCATCAGAAGGGGAGGCAGGGACTCAGAGGCAACAAAAGGTAAGGCTGAGGGAGGCCCCCAGAAGGCTCCACCCCTGAGGGAATGTGGGCCAGGAGGGGCCTCATTCCTGGATCCTCACCTCCTTTTCTCCTCGTCCAGCTTTCTTCCCTCCAGCTGGAATTGTCAAAACTGGACAAGGCAGCCTCTCACCTCCGGCAGCTGATGGATGAGCCTCCAGCCCCAGGGAGCCCGGAGCTCTAACTCATCATCCCCATCAGTTTTCCTCCCTCTCAGACCTGTCTTTGAGGACAAACAGATTTGTCAGCTGTCAGGGTGCAGTGGGACGTCAGAGACTATGTGGTCCATCGCCTTCATTGTGTAAATGAGGACACAGACTGGCTTGGTCGCAGTGACTGTGGTGTCCTTGAGATGCTCACATTACTGCCCGGCCTGCCTCCCACCTGGAAGTCTGGGAATGAGGAGATTGAGATAAACTTTTGAAATCCCAAACATGTCTGTTTATGGCTCTTTGGTCCCCTTTGCTCCCAGTGGTGACTTTTGTGCTTCTGAGTTGTCCCCTGAGAGCTTGGTCTGGGAAAAGAGGAGGAGGGGTCCTCGCTGGAGGAAGAGGAACTTTCTAGTCATGGGTAGGGTATGGGCACAGTGGTTCCGGTTCTACCTACTTTCTGGACTAACTGACAGTGCCCTGGCTTTTGCAGGCTCTTTCTCCTCCACTTCTCACTAAATGGAAGCTTCCCCGCTCCTTGGCTGTATCCCTAGAGGTGCTGAGAGAAGTAGGACTTCCTCCAGACCTGATGGGCTGCAGGCTGTGCTGCAGATGGTGTGCCCCCACCTTCTGTGCTCTGACACCTGAGTGCCCAGCCTCTGAGTTACACATTCACAGCACAGCCAGCCACCTTACCCACGCCAAACACCATCTCATCTCCATGGAATTCAAGGGCCTGGCCCTTCCACGCCCAGAGTACATTCTGTCCAGCAGCTCTGAGTAGCCTGTCCTGGGCTGGGTCCTCTATGGTGCTAGATGTACAATGCCATTTAATCCTACTGAAAACCTCATGAGGCGGGTGTTAGCTCCATTTTGGAGATTTTTATTTTTACTTTATTTTTGGGACAGGGTCTCGCTCTGTTGCTCAGGCTGGAGTGCAGTGGCATAATCATGGCTCACTGTAGCCTCAACCTCCAGGGCTCTAGTGATCCTCCTGCCTCAGACTTCTGAGTAGCTGGGACCACAGGTGTGCACCACTGTGCCCTGCTACTTTTTTTTTTTTTTTTTTTTTGGAAACGGAGTCTTGCTTTGTCACCTAGGCTGGAGTGCACTGGTGAGATCTTGGCTCACTGCAACCTCTACCTCTCTGGTACAAGTGATTCTCCTGCCTTAGCCTCTTGAGTAGCTGGGATTACAGTTGTCTGTCACCACGCCCAGCTAAATTTTTTTTGTATTTTTAGTAGAGACAAGGTTTCACCATGTTGGCCAGGCTGGTTTTGAACTCCTGACCTCAAGTGATCTGCCTGCCTCGGCCTCCCAAAATGCTTGGATTACAGGCATGAGCCACCATGCCCAGCCCTGCCCTGCTAATTTTTAAAATTGTTCTGTAGAGATAGGGTTTTGCCATGTTGGCCAGGGTGGTCTTGAACTTCTGGGCTCAAATAATCCACCTGCCTTGGCCTCCCAAGGTGTTGGGATTACAAGCATAAGCCACTGCGCCCAGCCCCCATTTTGGAGATGAAGACGTGTGCTCAGAGAAAAGTCTCCACTGGGACCTAACCCAATAAATTAGGTGCAGGCTCTTTCTGGCTGCTGTAACTAAACTTCAAATATAATGGTGGCTTAGATGAGGTGGATGTTTCTTCTGCTGGGCATAAGTAGTGCAGAGATCTGCAATAATGGGAGCCCACACCTCCTTCAATCTTATTTTCCTGCCATTCTGATGTATTGTCAAACTTCATGTCCAAGGTCTGCACCAGCTCCCATCACCGTGTCTGCATTTCCACCCAGAGGGAGGAGGGAAAGAAGGGGATGGGCAGTTTTCTTTTTCTTTTTACTCTGTTTCAGCAAGGTGTTTTTTTTTTTTTTTTTGAGCACCTGCTATGGATGGGCTGGGCCTTATTCTGGACACTTAGATTCATCAGTGAGTGAAACAAAATTCTGTGCCCTTGTAGTACTTTCCTTCTAGCAGGACAGTCAGAAATAACATACAAATGAGTGAACGATATACTATGTTTGAATGTCGTGAATGCAGGGGAGGGAAAAAGGATAGAACAAGGTAAGGGGACTCTAATGTGTTTGTGTGGTGGGGGGCAGGTTGTACTTTTAAATAGTGGGTCAGGGCAGAACTCACTGTAAAGGTGAGGTTTAAGCAAAGGCTTGTAGGAGGTATAGGAAGAGCATTCCAGACAAAGGGAAGGGCCAGAGGAAAACAGATAGAGGCATGGTCAGACAGCTCGAGGAGTAGCCTGGAGACCAGTGTGGTGGGGCAGAGTGAGAAGGGGAGGATGGTGGGAGGTGGAGAAACAGAGGTGAGGGTGGGGAATTGGTGGGGGGTAGGGAAGACTCAAGGCGGACAATCTGGGGCTTGTGTCCAAAATGGTAGCCAGTTGGCTACCTAAAGCATTAAATAAAATAAAAACGTTCAGTTTCTTAGTCGTACTTGCCATATTTCAAGTGTTTTGGTAGTTGCATGTGGCCAGTGGCTACTATGTTCGTCAGCACGGTTATAAAACATTTCCATCATCACAGAAAGTTCTATTGGAAAGCACTGATCTAAGACCTTATAGGCTGTTTCAAGAACTTTGCTTTTCCTCCTCTGAAATGGAAGCTCCTTTCTTTTCAAGGATACTACCAGAAAGTTGCCCACCTCCTTTCTACTTGCATCCTATTGGACAGAACGTGATCACATGGCCACAGCTAGCTGCAAGGGAGGCTGGGAAATGTAATGATCCACATGCTGAGTTGAAATCTACATGACTATCCAAAAGGAGGAGGATGGCTGTTAGGGGGGCCAGTTAGCAGTCTCTGCCACCCCCAGGTCTGGTGAACCCCAAAGCACTCTTCACTGCACTGCTCTGTTTTGAGCCTTGGGAGACAATTCTTTGAGAAAAATAATCTGGAAATCACATCCTGGTGATCTCAGGCCCTGAAGTCTAGGAACCAGGTTGAGGTGCATTTAGCTGTCTGCTCTACCAACCTCTTGGACATTCAGATATCCAGTCCCCCAACTTGTTTGGGGATCCTCACAGCTGCCCCATGGGCGTCACCTGCCCACTACTGCAGGCTAGGGGCAAGTCATAAAATACTAGTCTCCTTTGGAGCCCCCTGCTACCTCTCCTTGGGGGCTAATTGTCCCAGGACAGTTGTGAAGGAAGGTAGACCAATTTTTTAAGTGTTTTTTTTCCACCCTGCCATTTTCTATGCTCCCCTCATCTTCAGTGATGCTCCATACTGAACTCTTGTTGTCTTCTGTCTCCAAAGGAGTCAGTCTCCAATTTCATATGGAGATAATGGAGGGTTGTGTAGGTGTGGGGGGCAGAGTGGGTACCACAGAGGACAGAGAGCAATCCTATCAGTACCCCCCACTGCTCAAGTCTGAGCTGCAAGTTTGTGTTTTGAGAGCTGGTGAGAAGTCAATTTTTTTTTTTTTTTTTTTTTTGAGACAGAGTCTTGCTCTGTAGTCCAGGCTGGAGTGCATGGTCTTGGCTCACTACAGCCTCTGCTTCCCAGGTTCAAGCAATTCTGCCTCAGCTCCCCGAAGTAGCTGGGACTACAGGCACATGCCACCATGTCCAGCTAATTTTTGTGTTTTTAGTAGAGATGGCGTTTCACCATGTTGGCCAGGCTGGTCTTGAACTCCTGACCTCAGGTGATCCACCTGACTTGGCCTCCCAAAGTGCTGGGATTACAGGCGTGAGTGAGCCACTGCGCCTGGCCAAGATAATCTTGAGAAGGTGGTCAGGAGTGCCTGCCTCAGAAATCAGCATAAGGAGGACCCTGAACCCCAGGGGACTAGGAGTTATATGTTGGGACCAGGTTTCCATCCTAACAGCAATCCCTACCATCCTGCCGACGACCTATAAGACAGGCTGTGATATGTCCCTAAGTAGCTTCCCTGTGTGATCCTCACAACAACCTGATGGTGCAGGAATAATGAGAAAAACTCAGAATTGTGTAAAAACAAAACAAAACAACAACAACAAAAACCTTCCCCCAAACTGGGAGGGAGCTGAGAGGCCAAAAAGTGACTCAGACAAGTCCAGCTTGGTGAGTAGATGAGTTTTTTAGGACTTACATACAAGGCACTCCTGGATGGCAGCAGGACAGCTTTAGAGATCCGTGCTGCCTCCCATGCTAAAGCTGCTTTCAAGCTAATTTTCTGACTCTGCCGACTGTGTGTGTGCGAATGGACTGTTTTCCTTGGTGGGTTCCCAGATACTCTCCGGGATGTTTGGGTTCTCAGGGACACCTGCTCCTCGGCCAGGCACCGTGACCTTGGCTCGCCACCTGGCCTTCAGGATTCAGGCAGTGGCATACACCGTTAAGTAACCTGGTAGGGGACCTGTCACACTACAGCAGGTACCATCATTGTTCCCATTTTGCGAGTGAAGAAATGGAGGCTCCAAGAGGATAAGAAACATGCCCAGGAATTCACATGTGGGCTGGTGTCACCTCATACTCACATGGTTAACCAGGACAGGCTCAGCTTGCACCTGGCCTCTCCTCCCCAGCACTTGCGCCTGGCTGGGCATCCTCTCACAAGCTGAACCCGTCATCTCTCACCTGAGTGCCCACCCACCTCCCACCCCAATTACCTGTGTGGATCCATGGGCCAGGGGAACCATGTCCTGGGGGTGTTCTGCCTATGTCTCTTTCTTTGGTTTTTGAGCCCCTGGCCCCAATGCTTAAGCAAAGGGAAATGAAATAAAAATCTTGCTTAAAC
Organism: Homo sapiens; assembly: GCF_000001405.40. Lineage (NCBI taxonomy): Eukaryota > Metazoa > Chordata > Mammalia > Primates > Hominidae > Homo > Homo sapiens. The sequence goes on from NT_167245.2 coordinate 2,187,219, forward strand.
CAAGACCTCTGTCTAGTGCCTGACTTCTCCACTGCTATTAGATCTCAGGTGAGTGACTTGCCCTCTCTGAGCTTCAATTTCCTTATCTGTAAAATAGGATAATGATACCTAGTATGCCACATTCAAGACTGCTGCAAGCATCGAAATAGGGATGCAGGAGAAAAGCAGGACTTCAATAAATGTTGCTTCTCTTTATTCCCAGGTGTTCCAAAGATCTCAATTTGGTGTGTGTTCCTATGCATGCGTATATGTGTGTGGTGTGTGTGTCCCCAAACAACTCCCCAGATGCCTTGTAGGCCTGTGACACTGGTGTTGAGGGAGACATTGTCCATCCCTGGAACCCTCTGCTCAACAGGGGGACAGTCAGAGACTTGAGCATCCAATCCCCACTTCCTGCCAGCTCTGTGCTCAGGGACCCACAGAGTCAAGCAAGTTATTGAATTCAGCATACCGAATTTTATTTATTGCCACTCAGGAGGGTGGGGGCCTGCTGAAAGACAGGGTCGGGGCCTGCCTCCTGCATCCCCGGCCCAAAAGCCTGGGCCAAGAAGGACACAGGCTTCAATGGCTGTCATGTGTTGCAGACAACATGGTGTTGAGATCTTGCATGGTGGAGGGTGACGCTGGTCCCTGAAGGGAGATGGAGGAGGAGGCAGAGCTGGGAACAAAGGGTTAAAGGGCGCGATGTAAGAGAGCTCTCCATTCCCACCACGGAGACATCCAGACCCCAGCAGAGGCCCAAACTGACTCACAAACACACAGCCCCATCTTTCCCCTTCCAAAGAACTACCTTTTCAAGCAATTCCAGGAAGCTGGACTCATAGGAGGAATTTGTCAGAAAAGACTCCTTCAGCTTCAGTTGCAAAGTCATACCCGGTCCTGCGGATCCAGAAGTACAGCTTAGGACCCAGCAGTCAGGGCTGATTCCTCCGGAGACACAGAACCTTCCTGCTCACGCTCCCCGGCACAGTTCCTCTTCCCCAGCAATGCCCCTCCAGAGCCTCTTGGAAGCTCAGGACTGGGGTGTCTCTGTCACTCTCAGGGACCATGAAATCCCACCCCTTTTCTCTGGCCTCTTCTTGCCACAGGGACCCAGGAGTCCTGCCCTCTAGCCCTCACCTGTTCCATGTGAGCTGCCAAGGAGGGTCAAGAGGAGGACAAGGGGCAGCCCAGACCCCATAGTGGCCACTGCGCTCCTGGGATGGAGGAGACACTGAAGTCCCGGTGGCCTCTCCTTAACAGGCCTGTTTCTACACCCCACTCAAGCCTTAGCATAAGTGTTTGAGGGGAAATGGGAGGAGGAATCTGGTCAACTGGATTTTCCAGTTCTCCCAGTAAGAGAGGACCCAGGAGAGGACCATTCACTGTGCTTTTGGGGAAAATAGAAGGAAGTCCCCTCTCTTCCACTCTGTGTCCCACCCCTCCCTTGTGTCTCCAGGTTTGAGGGAGTGAGTGCGGGTCCTACAGACAGGGAAATGGAGAGGGAAGCGGGGACCAGGGAGGCGTCCCTCCTGCAGGTGTCTGGGCCCCCACCCATGCCCGGGCCTCCCAAGGATCTTTAGAGATTAATTATTAACTGCAGCTAATTTTCATCATTCTTGACACCGAAGGGCTCAGGAATGTGGGCCCAAAAGGGAGGGGTGGATTAAGCCAAGTTTCTTCCAGAACCCAGGTGTCCTGCTCCCTCAGGTTTTTTTTTTTTTAAAGACTAGTCAAGTGCAGTAGTGAAAAGAGGAGAAGGAGTAGAACAAGGAGTTGGGTCTATAATGGACTGTGAACACTGCTTCCCCAGCCTTGGTGGCTTTCTAGATGAGAAATCTGGTCATGGGAACTTCCATTGCTGAACATTCTGTTTTACTTGCTCTAACGCATCCTGGATTGTCAGGGGGAGACACGAGTTTCCTCAGACATCCTCTCACTCCTGCCTTGTGCACCCATGAAAAGGGGACACCCACCTACTCCCGGCCGAGACGCCTACAGGCAAGCGCTGGGACAGGCAAGCACAGGACAGATGTGCAGAGGGAGTTACTGACCCTCTTTAGAAACTAGGAAAGTAAGGCACAGAGAGGGTAAGTGACCTGCTAAGGTCACCCAGCCAACAAGTAGCAGAGAGATTAGAACCCATCCCTCTAGCCAGACAAAGAGACACACCAGCCATGGAAACTTGCTTGAACACACAAGGGCACAGGCCAGCATCTTCCTATCTGCCACTTCCCTATGCAGCCTCTCCACCTTCCCCAAAGCCAGCGGGACTGAGCACAGAGAGACAGAGGCAGAGAGAGCACTGGGCAGAGGTGGGGAGAGCAAAAGCAAGATGGGGAAACAGAGATAGAGGCCTGGTCTGCACTGTAAGTGTAAAGTGAGGCAACCAATGACTCCCAGACTTGCACAGGACAACAGGAAGACCACAGTGGGAAGAAAGCATGGAGGAGAAGAGCAGCAGGCACAGGAGGGACGAGCAGGAGGTAGAATTGGGAACACAGAGAGATCTTCCTCGGAGAAGAGTAAGGGCCCTCCCTCCCTCCCTCCCTCCCTCCCTCCCTTCCTCCCTCCCTTCCTCCCTCCCTCCCTCCTTTCCTTCCTTTTTTTTTTTTTTTTTTTTTGACAGCGTCTCATCCCTGTCGCCCAGGCTGGGGTGCAGTGGTGCAATCTTCTCCTGGCTCAGCCTCCCGAGTAGCTGGGATTACAGGCACCCGCCACCACAGCAGGCTAATTTTTGTATTTTTAGTAGAGACAAGGTTTCACCATGTTGGCCAGGCTGGTCTCCAACTCCTCACCTCAGGTGATCCACCCCCTCGGCCTCCCTGAGTGATGGAATCACAGGCGTGAGCCACCGCACCTGGCCTCCCCCACACTTTCTACAGCCATGTGCTAGGCTCATCACTAAGTATTCCTTTATAGCGCATAAGCGCCTGTGAAGTAGGTACTAGATTACCCCGATTTTAGAGGTGAAATTAAGACTTAGGCCTTGTGACTTGCCAGAGAATGCACAGCTCAGCAGTGGTGGATTCCAGTGCAGTGGACTCAGCCCTGGTACTGAGCTTCTGAGGATTCAGGGCTGTCTGGCTCCAGAGCTGGGGTCTGACCTTCCATATCACACTGTCCCCAAACATGACACGTGTCTTCCTTGGTGCCCCTTATCTCCCCTTTCCCCTTCCCTGTCAAAGGAATGGAAAGCTCTGTCAGCTGCAGCCATCTAGGTGAGAGACGGCTCAGGTATTGACCTTCCCAGCCCACCCTTAGGTTTCCAGAAGGTCAGATGCAGTCCTAGACCCTCATGGTTCCCCTACAACCCCAGCTTCCAAATCCTGCTTCCCTGATGGACTCATACGTCCTGACTTCCAACGGTTGTACTTCTAGGAACAAGAGGATGACCTTGGGATAGGTCATTTGGGTCTCCCCTTTTAAAGGAGGGTCTGGGCTGTGAATTGACTCAGACCTGGGGGACAGGTCCCTAGTCCAGGAAGAGCCCAAGGGCCAGGTGGGGGAGCCTGCAGGCTCTTACTCACTCTCCCCCTCACCCTGTGCTTCCTGGGATCAGGCTGGGACAGGTTAATCCCCTGGGACAACTTGGCGACCTCTCTCTGGGGATGGAGATTCTGGTGTTGGTGGAGGCCCCGGCACAACTGGCTCTCCCGGGACTCATAATAGGCCCCAGAGCCTTTAAAGAGCCTGGGAGATGGGCCTGGCCAACACACTTCAACTGGTGCCATGGACACTGTGCTGGTGCTGCTCCTGGGCCTGCAGGCCTTGGCCGGACCCAGTGAGCACTTGGGCCCAGACAGGGGGTCTTGAGGAAGGACATGAATTTGGGACCCAGTGGGATGGCCAACTCTTCTAACCCCGTTCTATGGTTTATCTTCTTTTTTCAACAGTTCAGCTGACCCTACTGGGGACTTCTGACACAGTATCCCCAGGTCTCCCCTGTCTCTGGAAGTCTCCCCACTGTCTCTGGAAGTCTCTCCTCTGTCTCTGGAGCTCTCCCCGGTTTCTGGAAGTCTCCCACTGTTTCTGGAAGTCTTCCCACTATCTCTGGAGGTTTCCCCACTGTTTCTGCAACTGTCCCCACTATTTCCAAAAGTTTCCCTACTGTCTCTGAAATCTTCCCTCTGTCTCTGGAGGTCTCCCCACTATCTCTGCAACTGTCCCCACTATCTCTAGAAGTCTCCCTACTGCCTCTGGGAGTGTCTCAACAGTTTCTTCAAACTCTGGGAGTTTTCCCAGCAGTCCTCAGTCTTTAGCTCCAGCCGTTTCTGGGAGCACTTCAGGAACAGTCTCCACATCATCAGGTGATATTTCTGTTGCTCAACCCATCTCGGGAGAACCCTTCAGCTCGGTCTGTAGCTCTGGGGTGGGGCTTCCTGCAAGCCTGGCAGTTTTCCAGAACCTCAGTGGAAGCAGCTCCCTTGCCTTTGTGGCTATACAAGGGCCTCTCTTTCTGTTTTCCAATTCATCACCTTTTTCTGTCATGATTAGTTCCTGTTGTATCCTAAGACTTTTTTGGCTACTTCAAGGTCATGAAAATATTCTCCTCTGCATTCTTCCAGAAACGTTATTATTTTAGCTTTCAAATTTAAGTCTATTATCCATCTCAAGTTAATTTCTGTGTATGGAGCGAGGTGGAAGTCAAGATTCATTTTTTCTTCTTATGAATATCCAGAACCATTATTTCCAAGGACCCTCCCCTGTCCCTGCCATTGAACGGTGAGCACCTATCCTGAAAGTCAAGTGACTATTTGTGTGGGTTTTTCGGTAAGTTTTTTTTTTTTTTGAGGTGGAGTTTCACTCTTGTTGCCTAGGCTGGAGTGCAATGGCGCGATCTCGGCTCACTGCAACCTCCGCCTCCCGGGTTCAAGCAATTCTCCTGCCTCAGCCTCCGGAGTAGCTGGGATTACAGGCGCCTGCCACCACACCCAGCTAATTTTTTTGTATTTTTAGTAGAGACGGGATTTTACCATGTTGGCCAGGCTGGTGTCGAACTCCTGACGTCAGGTGATCTGCCTGTCTCAGCCTCCCAAAGTGCTGGGATTACAGGTGTGAGCCACTGCACCCGGCCTATCAGTCAGTTCTTACTCCAGGGCCACAGTGCTTAAGGACTACAGATTTGTAGCAAGTCTTGAGATCTCATAGTGTAAGTTCTCCCTTTTTTTTTTTAAGAGAGTGTCTTGGTTATTCTCAGTCTTGATTTTCATAACATTATTTCATCAGTTTATTCCAAAAACTTGCTGGAGTCTTGCCTGTGGGTGCATTTGATGTGACTTCTGCTTTGCTCTTGCTTGAATCTCTTCTGTTTTTTCCCTCTGCCCTCTTAGGACCTGCCTCATCCAGTGCTCCCGGAACAGCTCCAACTGTGCCTGGGACTTTAGCACTGAGTGTTGCTGTCTTAGGAGTTCCACTGCCACCATGGCTGGGTGGCCACCACGTCCTCTGGGCTCAGCATCCTGGCCAGTTAAGTCACTCTTCTAGGCACTGGGTCACTTACAGTAAAATGTTGGTGGGCCTATTCTCTCTCATTTCCCTGCAGCCACCCCTGGCTCCTTGGGAGGAGTTCAGGGAGAGTCATTAGCTCCTGCTTTCAACTGTGTTTTAAACCTGTCTGAGGATGTGTCTGTAGCTCAAAGGGGTTTTGGTGGCCTCTGGTCAGACCAACTGCCAGATGCCTGTTACCTGGCTGCTTTCTCGAAAGGTTTTCATCTTTCTTCCTCATGATCTAATCTCTCTGTTCAGGGCGAGAGGCATTCCTTCCAGAGATCACCCCTCCTTCTTCCATCATCCTCCTCCCCTCCCTTTCATTCCTAGAAGGGGAGCATAGGGAATACCACGCGGGAAGTCTGACGGCAGGAAACGAATGGAAGGAAGACAGGAGATCAGGCTCTGGTTCCCCTTAAGGACAAGAATCAGGGTGGAGTGGTGGGGAGAACTGGGGCTTGGAGGAAGGAGAGTGCCTACTGAGGACCCTCCCAGTGCAGAAGCATCACAGACCCAGGGATGCAGAAAATAGGGCCCGAGAAAGACAGTGAGGTGCAGACCTCAGTGATGAGTCTGGGACTGACAGACGTGTCCACAGGGAAGAGGCAATTGAGACTTGGATTGAAGCCCTTTAAACCCCCACCCCCACCCCTGCTGAGATTCTGCTCCCAAGGTGATAGGAGAAAACACCAGAGAGATGAGGTCTCAGAGTCAGAGACATCAGTCACAGAAAGAAAGATGGAAAGTCAGAGGGCAGTGGGGGTCTGGGGGGCTGGAGGCACCACTTACCTCAGTCACTGGCCCTGTCTTTGTGCCCCAGGTCCGAAGCCCCAGAAGGACTCTGTCTCAGACTGGGCCATTGTGTTGATCACTCTCACTTTGGTGGCAGCAATTGTCAGCCTAATGTACGGTATCAAGAAGGTGAGCAATGCCATGGTCCAATGTGTGGGATCCCTGTGCCAGTGGGGCTGGGACCTGGTGCCCCAGGATTCAGAGGAGAACAGGGCTTTGGGGAGGGGAATGACAGCTTGCAGGGCTTGTTGCAGGGAGGGCAAAGAGAGCCCTTGTCTCAGTGGCCGAGAAAAACACCGGTCTGGCAGGGATAGGGGGTTGGGGCCACTGAAAGAGGCGGGGGAGTGCTGGAGGCTGACTGGCACGTGGAAGCACTCAACTCAGCTCTAGGCAATGAAGGACCAGTTCTGTGGAGCCACATTCACCTGGGCTTGAATCCTTGTGCAAGTTACTTAATCTGTCTGTGCTCCGGATTCTTCATTAATAATAATACTTAAATAATAATAATATTACATCGCACTGATTATGTGCTAGGTGTGCTAGGTGCTGTACATATTTTAGTTCACAGCAAGCCAGTGATATAGGAAATATTACTCCTCATTTTACAGATGAGGTAATTGAGTCCTGGATGAAATGAGAATGATGGCATCCATCTCAAAGGGTGGTTGGGAGGATCAAATAAGCTTATGCAAAGAGAGCACTAATGGTGCTTGGCATGTATTATAGTAAGTGCTCAATATACAGCCTTATTCATTATTATTGCTGTTTTTGCTCAAAGAGGAATGCTGAGTGCCTGGGTTGCCAAGAGGAAGCAGCAGTTCATGGGAAGAGCTGGGCTGAGCAGCAGGTTCCCGGGTCCCTAGATTAACCCATCGTACCCTCCCCTCATCTCACAGGCCTGCCAGTTCCGGAGGGAGATGAGTCTGGGGTGTGGCTGTGGCTCTGTGACCCCTTACAGCAGCCACCATGAGGGGGAGGCTGCCAGCCAGCGCTACTCTTGTCAAATGAAAGGTGGGGCTGGGGCAGCTGAGCGCCTACCCTTTGGCCTTCCTTCTTCCTCTCCCAGATAGTCTCATTCCCAGACTCCCCTATCCCATTCACCTTAGCTGGGACCATTTCCTGCAGGTAGATTCCTGGGGTCACTGGCCCCCCCAGGTCTCTTCCACCCACAGCGTAAGGAGGAGTCTACTGTCAGTCACAAGATTCTGCTCTCTGTCCTGCCGCCAGCCATGCAGACTGCGGGAAGGTGCCCAGCTTCTCCGAGGGCAGTTTTCTCATCTGTAGAAGGAAGGACCAGGGCTAAGTGGTCTGCAGGCACCTTCCAGCCCTCACGGAGCCCAGGTCTGGACAGCTGGAACCCCTGCCCCTCACCCTCTCTTCCTAGTCCCACCCTCCTCCCTGACGACCAGAGAAGCTCTTTAGCTGAGGACAGTCTGCTCACGGCTTCCCTTCTCACTTCCCTCCACAGGGAGCCCCCTCAGGCTGGCTCTTGAGCCCCCAAGGCCCTCTGATTCTCTCCCCTCAGGGCAGGTGCAGGACCCTCCTCTGTGGTGCCCCCTCGGTCTGCTATGGGAGGGTGGTGAACAAGTTATTGCTAAATAAAATGGCACTTCCTCCACTTGTCTCCCAGATGCTGTGGGTTTGCCCAAGTGCATGGGCTTTTGTGTCATGTGGGCCCGGAAGGGCCAAGTCTGGTCTCTGCCAGTTACCAGGGCAAGTCATTCCCTGATCCGAGGCTCATTTATCCTCATCTGTAAAGTGAGGGTGACAGGTGATAACTCATAGGTGAGGTGCTTAGTACATTCTTCAGTACATAGAAATGCCCAAACAATGGTAGTTGGCAGAGTTGTTTCGTGACTGGCCTCTCAGCCTCCAGCTCAGATGAAGCAACATAGACTGACTGTAAGAGACTGTTTTGGGCCTCCACCTACCTCCAGGTTTCTCCATCCCAGACATCAGCGTCCTTGGGGTGGAGTTGTAGCTCAGAGAGAAGGGAAGGGGGTGTTCATTCACAAACACTGGTTAGTGCTTATTCTAAAGCAGAGATCCTCCACTTCAGCACAATTGGTGTCCTGGGCTGGATAATTCTTTGCTGTGGAGACTGCTCTGGGCATTATAGGATGTCCCACAGCATCTCTGGCCTCTACCCCCTAGATGCCAGTAGCATCCCACTCCAAATTGTGACAAAAATGTCTCCAGAAATTTCCAAATGTTCCCTGATGTGGGCAAAATTACTCCTCCCTGTACAGAACCACCGTCCTAGAGGCTTGGGTCCCTGGGGAAAGGGGGGGGGGGGAAGGGGACCAGTGAAAAGGGGGACTGTCAGTCACCCGAGTCTACATGGAGTTGCAGAGGACAGCCTGTGTCTGCCTTAGTTTCTCCATCCTGCAGGATATATTGCCTGGGAGGCAGGCTGCCCAGTTCTGAGTAGTCAGTCTTTGGCCTGACTCCACGGAGCCTCATTAATCTCCCATTAATCACATTAATAAGCAGTTGGCCTCCTCTCCTCTTCCCACCTATTCCAGCCCTGCCCAGGGCTTAGGGACAAGTCACACCAAGTAAGGAGAGGAACCCACATGTCCAGTTCTCTAGTCCTCTCATGAGCCCAAATGCCCTGAGGGCCTGGCCTCCTGCCCTCAGGTCCTGGACCTCTCTATGGCCTTTGCCTGCCCCCACTTCCCTCAGAAAGGCATCCTCCGGCCCTGGCTTCCACTCCATCCAGGCGGAGTGGAAACATTTATTGATTGCCTACTGTGTGCCAGACACTGTCCTAGGCTCTGATGACACAGCAGGGATCCAAGGTGCTTACTTTCCATGGAGACCCACAGTGGGCAGAAAGGGGTTGTGACTTCTCTGTGCTAGAGACCCAGGGAGTCTGTCCTCCCCTACTCCAGCCCCAGGCACTGTCACTGGGGAGACAAGGGAGTCTCTGAGCTAATGCTTGCTTTAGGCAGGAAGTGAGGAAGGGAAGGGGGAGCTCTGGGGTGCTCCTAAAAATGAGATGTCTGCATTTCTGTATAGGAGTGAATGGGGACTTCGAGACAAAGAGACAGCCGCTGAGCTGAGGTGGGAGGGAAGAGGTAGAGTGAAAGCAGAAGCCCCTGTACACCGAGCATCTCTTGGCCAAAGATCTTGGCCTCGGTCCTTCTGGGTGGCCTGACCTGTCTGTGTCCCTGGTGAGGGGTGTGACATATGTCCCTGTGGTTCTGTGTCTTGTCTCTGTCACTGCCTCTGCACTCTCCACATATTGTTGTATGACCTCTGAACATCATGAAGCACCTTTCTCTGCAGCGAGGGTCATTCGAGGGCTTTCTCTCACCTTTGCTCTTTCACCTGATCCTCGCGGACAGCTCCGCCCAAGGTGGCAAGAATGACCATGTGTGAATAAGGGGTGTGGAAGCTGGGCTGATGCGGGAGAGGTGGGAGGGTGCGCGTGAAGCTGGACACAGATCAGAACGTGAACCCCACCCCATCCTGCTCCCAGCCAGAGCTCAGTCCTTCTAGAACTGAGCCATCTGCTCCCCACTTCCCCAGAGCCCTGGAGGCGCCACCCTCACTTCCCTCCACTGGGGCTGGCTCAGGTGCCTGCTCCTTTCTGGTTCCTCTGCCCTGCCCCCAGATCCCACCCCTCGGCAGGCACCCAGGTGCCTGGCTCCATGACGCAGCAGCTGCGGTCTCCTCTTATCAGGGCTCCCCTGTGGGTTGGGGTGGCTCCATTTGTTTAAGACTTAGTCCTGAGGAGCCCCAGCCCCCATGACGTCAAGATTGGCTCCATATAAGGTGAGGGGTCCGCAGCCCATGGTCCCCAAGCAGCCACCCAGCTCCGACATGGCCCAGCCGGTCCACAGCCTCTGCTCCGCCTTTGGCCTCCAGTGCTGCCTCCTCTTCCTTCTAGCTTCTTGGGGGGCAGGTAAGATGCCCACAGGGGATACAGAAGACAGAAACAGCTTGTTTCTTAGTGTTCATAGCGTTGGACAACAAATAGAAATGAATGAAGGGGGCGGGCACGGGGCTGCTACAGACAGTTGTCTAGAGTGTTCTCTGCTCAAGTTTGCTGGCTAAGGGACATGTAGTAGGAGATGAAATCCAGCCTGTGCTCTGCTCTTTAAAACATGGCTCACAGGGCTGCACCCATCCAGAGGGGGTTTCTTCAAGTTTGCATAAAGACACTGTAGAGGCTGCCAGCCCTGGATGGTGGGGGTAGGCACCTGACATTCATTGAGCACCGTGCACGGAATTCACAGCTGCTCATGGTGATTTCTTTCTTCTTCTTCTTCTTCTTCTTCTTCTTTTTTTTTTTTTTTTGAGAAGGAGTCTTGCTCTGTTGCCTAGGCTGGAGTGCAGTGGCACAATCTTGGCTCACTGCAGCCTCTGCCTCCCGGGTTCAAGCGATTCTTCTGCCTCAGTCTCCTGGGTAACTGGGATTACAGGCACCTGCCACCACGCCTGGCTCATTTTTTTGTATTTTTAGTAGAGACAGGATTTCACCATGTTGGCCAGGCTGGTCTCAAATGCCTGGCCTCAAGTGATCCGCCTGCCTCGGCCTCCCAAAGTGCTGGTATTACAAGTGAGAGCCACCGTGCCCAGAGACTCATCTCATTTCATCTCAGCATCCCCTGAGGTGGCTAATAATATCCCATCTTATAGTTGAGGAGAGTGGATTCACAATGATTATGTCCCATATCTCACAGCTAGAGGGAGGTAAGCAGGGATTCCAGCTCCACTGCCCCCAGCCCTGGGGGGACAGGTGGAGCTTCTCTCCTGAGAGCTCTGTTTTGTGCAGACCTAGCTTCCAGTCCTGACTCTGACCCATTTGCCTACTCTGGCCTTCCACACCATCTGTAAAATGGGCTGGATGCTGCTGCCCAGCCGTACCAGTATTTGATGCCTACAGAGCATTTACACTGCACCAGGTGTTGCTCTAGGGACTTCATCCACATTTACTCATTTAATCCACATGGAGACTCAGAAAAGTGTGCGTCAAAGGCTCTGTCCCTGTCTTACAGTTGGGAAACATCTCAGGACTTTGATGGGAAAATGACTATGGACAAGTTCGACGAACAAAACATACCCTAAAGATAAGATGAAATTATGAAATTAGTTCACTTAGTCAAGAAACGGACTGCTACTGAACCCGGGGAGCAGAGATGCTGAACACAGGGGCGGTGTGGAGGGCCTGGGCAATTTGGAGGAGGGTCTCCACAAGGCAGATGTAGAACAGCAGATTCAGAGACACTATCTACCCACTGGACAGTCATCCAAGGACAGAGCCATCCACAGGGTGATATTAGAGGCAGTGCCCCTTCCCTGAGCACAGTCAGGTTGAGGCCAGGGGTGGAGGCAGGGGCAGGTGGGTGGTGAATGGCGATGACTGAGGAATCTTTGAGCTGCCTCTGAAAGGTCTCAGCAGTGCGTCCTGTCTGTGCCCTGACTTGATGTCTGTCTCCCCTACCTTGAGGGTCTGGAGACAGAGGTACCACAGCTGCCCAACACCTCCCGGCCCCATCTCTCCCGCCTTTCCTTCCCCTTCCTCTCAGGCGGATTGTCCACTGGCTGCTCTCTCCTCCTTCCATCTTGCAGCTTAAGGAAGAGGAACCTGCAGGGGGCGGAAGGGAATCCACTCCATACACAGTCGCTCTGAGATTTGCTTCAGGGCGGAGATCTGAATTCCTGAGATTCCGATGGGGCCATGTGGGCGTGGTCTCGGAGAGGAGATAGGCGTGGCTGGGCGGCATGGAGGGAGGGGTGGGGAGGACAAGGGGAGCTGGCTGCTCCCATTCTGCAGATTTTGAAGACAAGAGTGAGTGGGTTACAGGTGGGGAGGGCTTGAGGCTGGGCTCGGGTTGTGATGAGGTCGGGTGGAACTGGAGTGTGAATCAGAGCTGGTGCATGGCTGTGCCCAGCAGAGAGAGAGGCCAGGGCAGGAAGGGAAGAGGGACAACTGGGATGGATGAAGCCCTTTAGTCTACCATTCTGGTGAGGAGACCCTGACGTTTGTCCACAGGACCAGTCAACACCCAGACAGATAACTAGATCCTGGAACCCCAGAGTCTGCATCATGCAGTCACAGAACCACAGGTACAATCTAGATTAAATCATCCGAGGGCAGCACAGGTGCAGTCCAGATTAAATCATCACAGAGAGGCATAGGTGCAGTCCAGATTAAGTCACCAGAGGGAGGCACAGGTGCAGTCTAGATTAAAGCATCTGAGGGAGCACAGGTGCAGTCTAGATTAAATCATCTGAGGGAGCACAGGTGCAGTCTAGATTAAATTATCACAGGGAGGCACAGGTGCAGTCCAGATTAAATCATCACAGGGAGGCTCAAGCGCAGTCTAGATTAAATCATCTGAGGGAGGCTCAAGTGCAGTCTAGATGAAATCATCTGAGGGAGCACAGGTGCAGCCCAGATGAAATCATCTGAGGGAGCACAGGTGCAGTCTAGATGAAACCATCTGAGAGAGTACAGGTGAGGCAGGAGATGGGAATTGGGGCTGGGGTCCTTGGAAGAATCTAACAAGAACATTTTCCTATAACAAATGTTATTTGATTTAATTTCTATAACACAAATAATGTATGCTCATTGTAGAAAATGGAAAATAGAAAAAATAAGAAAGAAAAATAAAATCTCTGTATACTCCCTAGTCCCCAAGCAATCATTTGATTATATCTCCCTTTAGCTTTCCTTTTTTTTTTTTGTAGAGACAGGTCTCGCTATGTTGCCCAGACTGGTCTCAAACTGGTGATCCTCCTGCCTCAGACTCCCTAAATGCTAGGATTATAGGTGTGAACAACTGTGCCCACCAGCTTTTCTTTTTCTATGTCTGCATTTTAAGCCACTTATTGAACTCATACTGTATAGGTATTTTAACAAACATTTACCCACATTATTGCAAATGGAGCATGCCATTTATGGGGGTAAGGATACCAGGAAACACTAGAGATGCTCTTTTGGGACAGCGTGCCCTGACAGCGACTCCAAGGCATGAGTTGCTTAGCAAGATATTCTTTCTCCCTTCCTTCCTTCCCTTTCCTTTCCTTTCCCTTCCTTCCTTCCTTTTCTTTCTTTTCTTCCTTTTCTTTCCCTTTCTCTTTCTTTCTTTCTCTGTCTCTCTTTCTTTCTTCTTTCGACAGAGTCTCACTCTGTGGCCCAGGTTGGAGTGTAGTGGCATGATCTTGGCTCACTGCAGCCTCTGCCTCCCAGGTTCAACTGATTCTCCTGCCTCAGCCTCCTGAGTAGCTGGGATTACAGGGTCCTGCCAACACGCCTGGCTAATTTTCATATTTTTAGTAGAGACGGGGTTTCGCCATGTTGGCCAGGCTGGTCTCGAACTCCTGACCTCAGGCCCACAATGGCCTCCCAAAGTGTTGGGATTGCAGGTATAAGCCACTGTGCCCAGCCGATGTCCTCTCTTTCAAATGAGTGAACAAAGCAGATGGCGGGGACCTTTGGCACTGTGCATCATTTTGATGTTGTGGGATTTGTTCTTATTCTTTTATCCCAGCTGAGCATCCACCTACAGTGTCTTGTGCTAAAGTTGGATTTTCCTCTCTGCACCTCCTGCCTATTCTTCAGTGACCAAAACAGTTCTTTTCGGGCTATGATGGTTGTACGTGGAATGAATATCTCCTGGTGAAAACTTACTAGGGAAATAAGTCACTACCAAAGTAGATCGTCTGGGGCAGAGATGCTCCTCTTGTCCTGGGGGTTTACACTGATTTGCCTCTTGGCTGTGTCAGGACCAAGGAATCCCTTGAGCTTTACCTCAGCTTTTTACAATCTATGGTTCCACAACTGTTTGATGCAGATCTAAAATTCTAAAATCTTGTTATCTGAGTCTAGTTATGGACTGTGATCCTGTGGTTTAATGACAACTGGTATCCCAGAATTGGTGGGCCAGAGGCCTTCTTTCAACGTCTTTTAATCTCAGAGCTCAATTACTGAACAGCGGAAGTCGCCCTTGGTCTTCCAGCCTGTGGAGGTCACAAATACATTTGGTTTTTACTTAACGTGCATGATGAAATGTTGTTGGCAAGGCTTTTAAGGAGTTTTCATCAGTCTTATTCTTTCATTCATTATTCAACAAATATTTACAAAGTGCCTCCTATGGATCAGACACTGTTCTAGGCTGGAGACAGCGATGAACAAAACAATAAAAATCCCTGCCAGGCCAGGCCAGGCCAGGCCAGGTGCAGTGGCTCACGCCTATAATCCTAATATTTTAGGAGGCTGAGATGAGAGGATCACTGAAGACCAGAGTTTGAGACCAGCCTGGCCAACATAGTGAGACCCTGCGTCTTAAAAAAAAAAAAAAAAAAAAGGTGAGGAGGGGGCATACTGGCTCACATTTGTAGTCCCAGCTGACAGGGAGGCTGAGGTGGGGGTACTGCTTGAGCCCAGGAGGTCAGGACTGCAGTGAGCTGTGACCATGCCACTGCACTCCAGCCTGGTGCAGAGTAAGACTCTATCTCAAACAACAACAACAACAACAAAAACCCCGGCCGGATGCAATGGCTCATGCCTGTAATCCCAGCACTTTGGGAGGCTGAGGTGGGCAGATCATGAGGTCAGGAGATCGAGACCATCCTGGCTAACACAGTGAAACCCCATCTCTACTAAAAATACAAAAAATTAGCTGGGTGTGGTGGCATGTGCCTGTAGTCCCAGCTACTCAGGAGGCTGAAGCAGGAAAATCACTTGAACCCAGGAGGTGGAGGTTGCAGTGAGCCCAGATCGCACCACTGCACTCCAGCCTTGGCGACAGAGTGAGACTCCATCTCAAAAAACAAACAAACAAAAAAAGCCTTGCCATTGTGGAAATTTAATTGTATTTATCACATATCAGAAAGTGATGAGTGCTGTGTTATTAAAACACAGCAGAGAAAGTGGCCCAGGAATGCAGAGGCTGCTGTTTTCAAGAAGGTGGCCACAGCAGGTGAGAGGTGGATGGAGCAGGCAGGGGGGTAGGGCTACTGCTCAGGCTCCCCTTACTACCAGGAGAAGGACAGGGCAAAGCACGAGATTATTTCAGAGACTACAATGTGGATTCAACAAACATTTAAATAGCTTCTGTGCTCCAGAGTCTTCCATGGTCCATACTTCCTTTAATCCTCACATTAAGCTGGTGCAGTCAGCATCATGGTTATTTACAGTCGAGAACATGGAGCTTCAGAGCACTTAAGAGACCTGAGCAAGAATGCAAAACCGCTGAGGGACCGAGCCTGGATGTCAAACCTGTCCTCTGATTCTTTAAGGCCAGTGGAAAATGCCCTTTGCATTGCTGCCAGCTCCTTTATTCACTCAATAGATAGTCATTCATCCCTTATCATGTTTAAAAACATCTGGGGCACAGTGAAAAGTCTAATTTTGCCAATTACTTAACCTCTTTGCGTCTCCTTTCCCCACCTGTAAAACAGTAAGATCACACTCCTCACTTCACAGGTTCATAATTATTTGATTAAATAAACAAATATATGAACAGCACCTTTCAGGGAGTCCACACATGTCAGTGTCTTTCCTTCTTTAAAAGACTGGGCTGACCTATTGGCTGTGCACTGTGGTCTTAACCAGCAATGATCTGGGCCCGGGACCCCAGGATGTGTGTTCAGATTCTGTCTCGACCTCTTACTTGCTGGGTGTCCTTGAGAAGATTACTTAACCACTCAGAACCTTGTTTCTTCATCTATAAAGTTTGGAGAATAGGATAGTTCTCAACCTCAACAGGTTCTTGTGAAAAGTAAATAAGTTAATGTATGCCCTCACTTGTAGAACCTGCCTGTCTCATTGTAGAGCTCTAGAAATGTTGCCCATTGCTATTGTTGTGGGACTATGTACAGGTCACTTTTCCTCCGTGAAATGTAAATTTCTCAGATGTAAAATAGGGGAAGTTGACCGCTTCTAAAGAGCCTTATGGAGCATTGGGAGATCAATCACCATAGAAGAGAATCCAGAAAGAGAATGTCTGTGAGGCCACCAGCCACATCCTGGGGCCGGGGAAGGTGTCCAATAAACAATAGCTATTACTGGTATTGCTGCCAAGGAGATCAGGTAATGGGATTGGGACAGTGGAGTGCAGGCCTGATCATTCAGCCCCCTTCTCTCCCCTCATTCTCAATTCCTTTCAGAGACTTGGGCTTCTCTATTACCCTCACACCCTTCTTGTCCTGCCCATATTTCTTTCAAGGACTAAGCTCCCCAGGCCGATTCTGCCCATCAGCAGGCAGGTGGACTGTGGTTTCTTGTGATTGGGAATAGGTCCAGGTTCCGGTTGCCGCCTTGAGCTAACAGGGACCAGAAACCTCAGTTATGTAATGACACTATCTCTTTCACTCTTTGGTGATCTCTTGGCCTTCACTCTTTTGGCTAGGTATCAGAGACATCTCCTCTGTCTCCATCAGGTTGTTTTTCCATGGAATTAAGGCGTGTATCTGTCCACTGATAGGGGTGTTTTCTCTCACACCCTGTCCTTAAACATAGTCAGTCCCTACCACAATCTAGTTGCCTCGTTTACTCCTGTCAGGACCCCCAAGCAGATATCTTTTCCTTTCAGGATGGCCCCTTTCATCTATCCCCAGTTGGCTTTAAATGTGTGAAGAGGGGGACCCAGTGGGGTGACCATAAGGGTTGGGTCATCTCATCCATTCCCCTCATCCAACTTTATCACCGAAATGAAAGCTTCCCATCTCCTTACTCTACCCATCCTCCATTCTTCTTATACATCTCTCACTCACAATTTGTGTCTACCTGCTAATCCCTATGGGAAGTTCTGCCAGAGGTCTTACCTCAATTTCTCACACTGTTACATTTGGGATGGTGTTAGAATGTTATGGAAAGGTGAAGAGTCTAACGTTTACTCCTGGTCTTCTCAGCTATGCCATAGAAAGAAGACTCCATTCCATAAGTTACAGACCCTAAAGGGGCACCTGCACAGTAAAATGCTAGTCCATACATGCCCTCAAAACCTTACCATTGGATAGGCATGGCAGGGAGTGGAGGTCGGCAGGCACGCAAACAACTGTAACGTGAAGTTGAAGGTAACAGGACAGAATGGTGAATAAAGACCTTTTCAAGCACTGAAATGAAGCTGGATTTTATCTGCTTAGACGGATCAGAAAAGATGCCTTAAAGCCAGAAGGCCTTGAGATGGAGAGTTGAGGAGATGTGGAAGGGGATGAGGTGGCATGCTTGCTGAAGGCACAGCCTGAGCCTAGGGGCTGGAGGTGAGAATGGGGAATAGATATCATAGTATTCAGAGGAGACTGGCTGGGGAGTCATATCAGGGGGAACAAAGAGATCCCCTAGAGAAGGAAGTGGGAAGGGGGAGTTGGAGAAGAACATGGGGGAAGTTTCTTATTTGCCTCTCTCCCTCCACAGGTGCTACTACATTCCAAGAATATCAGAAAACTGGGGAACTCTCAACATCCGATCACATATTTCCCCTCACTCCAGGCCTTGTTTATAGTATCCCTTTTGATCACATTGTTCTGCATTCAGGACAAAGACCTCCAGAGCTCCCTAAATCTACAGAAATCCATGAGCAAAAACGCCACTGCAACACCACACGCCATTCTAAGCCAACTGACAAGCCTACAGGCAACTCCAAAACTATAGACCACAAAAGCTCTACAGATAATCATGAGGCTCCTCCCACTTCTGAAGAAAACTCCAGCAACCAAGGGAAAGACCCAATGATCCGGAACCAGCGCTCTGTTGATCCTGCTGACTCCACTACCACACATAAAGAATCCGCTGGAAAAAAACATATAACGCCAGCACCCAAGAGCAAAATAAACTGTCGTAAGTCCACAACAGGCAAATCAACGGTAACAAGAAAATCAGATAAAACTGGAAGACCTTTGGAAAAGTCCATGAGTACTTTGGATAAGACAAGTACCAGCTCACATAAGACTACAACTTCCTTCCACAACTCAGGCAATTCACAGACCAAGCAAAAAAGCACATCTTTTCCAGAAAAAATCACAGCAGCCTCAAAAACAACATACAAGACCACAGGAACCCCAGAAGAGTCAGAAAAAACTGAAGATTCCAGAACAACAGTTGCCTCAGACAAGCTCCTGACAAAAACTACAAAAAACATACAAGAGACCATATCAGCCAATGAGCTCACACAATCTCTAGCAGAGCCTACAGAACATGGAGGAAGGACAGCCAATGAGAACAACACACCATCCCCAGCAGAGCCTACAGAAAATAGAGAAAGGACAGCCAATGAGAACACCACACTATCCCCAGCAGAGCCTACAGAAAATAGAGAAAGGACAGCCAATGAGAACACCGCACCATTCCCAGCAGGGCCTACAGAAAATAGAGAAATGACAGCCAATGAGAATACCACACTATTCCCAGCAGAGCCTACAGAACATGGAGAAAGGACAGCCAATGAGAACACCACACCATCCCCAGCAGAGCCTACAGAACATGGAGAAAGGACAGCCAATGAGAACACTACACCATCCCCAGCAGAGCCTACAGAACATGGAGAAAGGACCCCATTTGCCAATGACAAAACCACATCATCCTCAGCAGAGTCTACAGAACATGGAGAAAGGACCCCACTGGCCAACGAGAACACCACACCATCCCCAGCAGAGCCTACAGAAAATAGAGAAAGGACAGCCAATGAGAACACCACACCATCCCCAGCAGGGCCTACAGAAAACAGAGAAACGACAGCCAACGAGAAGACCACACTATCCCCAGTAGAGCCTACAGAAAATAGAGAAACAACAGCCAATGAGAAGACCACACCATCCCCAGCAGAGCCTACAGAAAATGGACAAAGGACCCCATTTGCCAATGAGAAAACCACATCATCCTCAGCAGAGCCTACAGAACACGGAGAAAGGACCCCACTGGCCAATGAGAACACCACACCATCCCCAGCAGAGCCTACAGAAAATAGAGAAAGGACAGCCAATGAGAAGACCACACCATCCCCAGCAGAGCCTACAGAAAATGGAGACAGGACTCCTTTGGCCAATGAGAAGACCACGCCATCTCTAGCAGAGCCTACAGAAAATGGACAAAGGACCCCATTTGCCAATGAGAAGACCACATCATCCTCAGCAGAGCCTACAGAACACGAAGAAAGGACTCCACTGGCCAATGAGAACACCACACCATCCCCGGCAGAGCCTACAGAAAATAGAGAAAGGACAGCCAATGAGAACACCACACCATCCCCAGCAGGGCCTACAGAAAATAGAGAAATGACAGCCAACGAGAAGACCACACTATTCCCAGCAGAGCCTACAGAAAATAGAGAAAGGACAGCCAATGAGAAGACCACATCATCCCCAGCAGAGCCTACAGAAAATGGACAAAGGACCCCATTTGCCAATGAGAAAACCACATCATCCTCAGCAGAGCCTACAGAACACGGAGAAAGGACCCCACTGGCCAATGAGAACACCACACTATCCCCAGCAGAGCCTACAGAAAATAGAGAAAGGACAGCCAATGAGAAGACCACACCATTCCCAGCAGAGCCTACAGAAAATAGAGAAAGGACAGCCAATGAGAACACCACACCATCCCCAGCACAGCCTACAGAAAATGGAGACAGGACTCCATTGGCCAATGAGAAGACCACACCATCTCTAGCAGAGCCTACAGAAAATGGAAAAAGGACCCCATTTGCCAATGAGAAGACCACATCATCCTCAGCAGAGCCTACAGAACACGCAGAAAGGACTCCACTGGCCAATGAGAACACCACATCATCCCCAGCAGAGCCTACAGAAAATAGAGAAAGGACAGCCAATGAGAAGACCACACAATTCCCAGCAGAGCCTACAGAAAATAGAGAAAGCACAGCCAATGAGAAGACCACACCATTCCCAGCAGAGCCTACAGAAAATAGAGAATGGACAGCCAATGAGAACACCACACTATCCCCAGCAGAGCCTACAGAACATGAAGAAATGACCCCATTGGCCAATGAGAAGACCACACTATCCCCAGCAGAGCCTACAGAAAATGGAGAAAGGACCCCATTTACCAATGAGAAGACCACACCATCCTCAGCAGAGCCTACAGAACATGGAGAAAGGACCCCACTGGCCAATGAGATCACCACACCATCCCGAGCAGAGCCTACAGAACATGGAGAAAGGATAGCCAATGAGAAGGCCACACCATCCCCAGCAAAGCCTACAGAACATGGAGAAACGACAGTCAATGAGGACACCACACCATCCTCAGCAGAGCCTACAGAAAATGGAGAAAGGACCCCACTGGCCAATGAGAACACCACAACATCCCCAACAGAGTCTACAGAACATGGAGAAAGGACAGCCAATGAGAAGACCACACCATCCCCAGCAGAGCCTACAGAACATGGAGAAAGGACACCATCAGCCAATGAGAAGACCATACCATCTCCAGCAAAGCCTACAGAACACGAAGAAATGACCCCATCGGCCAATGAGAACACCACACCATCCCCAGTAAAGCCTACAGAACATGGAGAAAAGACTACATTGGCCAATGAGAAGATCACACTATCCCCAGAAGGGCCTACAGAACATGGAGCAAAAACTACGTCGGCCAATGAGAAGATCACACCATCCCTAGCAAAGCCTACAGAACATGGAGAAAGGACCACATCACCCAATGACAAGATCACCTCATCTGCAGCAGAGTCTACAGAACATAGAGATAGGGCTACATCAGCCAATGTGATCACACCAGCCCCAGCAGAGCCTATAAAACATGCAAAAAGGACCACATTGGCCCATGAGAAGATGACACAAGTCACAGAAAAGTCCACAGAACACCCAGAAAAGACCACGTCAACCACAGAGAAAACCACAAGAACCCCAGAAAAGCCTACGCTATACTCAGAGAAGACCATATGCACCAAAGGGAAAAACACACCAGTCCCAGAAAAGCCTACAGAAAACCTGGGGAACACCACACTGACCACTGAGACCATAAAAGCCCCAGTAAAGTCCACAGAAAACCCAGAAAAAACAGCAGCAGTCACAAAGACTATAAAACCTTCAGTCAAGGTCACAGGAGACAAATCTCTCACTACTACCTCTTCTCATCTAAATAAAACTGAAGTTACTCATCAGGTGCCCACTGGTTCTTTCACCCTCATTACATCTAGAACGAAGCTGAGTTCTATCACATCAGAAGCCACAGGAAACGAGAGCCATCCATACCTCAATAAAGATGGCTCACAGAAAGGTATCCACGCTGGACAGATGGGAGAGAATGATTCATTCCCTGCATGGGCCATAGTTATTGTGGTCCTGGTGGCTGTGATTCTCCTCCTGGTGTTCCTTGGCCTGATCTTCTTGGTAAGGGACAGATGTGCCCCACAGAAATCAACCTATGGGATAGGGAATTGAGGATACATTAGGGGTCAGAGTTACAGGGAATAATGAGTCTAGGAAAAGAGACATGGCAGAAGTGGGAGGAACAGTAATAGAGGGAGAGTTTTGGTGAAAACTAAGGAGAAAGACAATAAATACACAGGAGGTAAAAAGCTGGAATTGGGGACAAGGCTGTGGCTGAGAATGAAAGGGTGTGAAAGAGAAAGTGTGGGGGGTGGAGAGTCTGGGGTATGAGAATAGGAGGTGTAAAGACAAGGAGAATATGGTAGAGTGGGGAACTGGAGATGGAGCTGGGACTCATTGTATTGGACCTGGAGCTGGAATAAACATCAAGGTTTGGATGGAATCTTGAGAATAGAATCAAGACCTGAGGTGAGTGTTGTGGAAAACAAATCGCAGATGGTTCTCATTCCTCCTTTCTCATCCCAATCACAGGTCTCCTATATGATGCGGACACGCCGCACACTAACCCAGAACACCCAGTACAATGATGCAGAGGATGAGGGTGGCCCCAATTCCTACCCGGTCTACCTGATGGAGCAGCAGAATCTTGGCATGGGCCAGATCCCTTCCCCACGGTGATCTTGGAGTAGGCGCCCAGCCCTGGCTCTTCCATGCTCTGCCCCTTTCCTGGATGAGGAACCAGACTCACAATTTCTATTTCCGGGACTACAGGAAGGGCAGAGAATACTGACGGTTACCAGTATTAACCCTTCATCTGTTCTTGAAACTGGTTGGGGAATGAGGTGATAAGCAAGGAGGGTGTAAGTTTAGGGGACAAAGAAGAAAGAATGAATAATACGAGCAGACATTCTCT
Source organism: Homo sapiens (assembly GCF_000001405.40). NCBI lineage: Eukaryota > Metazoa > Chordata > Mammalia > Primates > Hominidae > Homo > Homo sapiens. The sequence continues at coordinate 2,209,660 of NT_167245.2, forward strand.
GTAGAAGGTAATGGTCTGAGAATGAAAAGGTGTTTGATGGACATGTTGTGGGGGCACCAATGCAGAACACTGCACTGAGTCCTAAAGGAAGGACAGGAGCCTTATAGGCAATGCCCCAGACTGACTTGTGAGTGGGGTTTATGGGGAAAGGGAGGGACTGAGGGCAGAGTCTCTGGGTTTCAGGACAGCATTATGTTATTTCCATTCACTATTACTTAAGAGTTTGTGTGTAAATAGGCTCATCTCTGAGTTCTCAGGACCCTTGCCCCCACCCCCATTTTTTTAATGAAAAAAAAAACAAAAAAAACGGATCCAAGAAGAAAAGAGAATTTATTTCCTTCTCCACTCTCTCCATGCCCTGGAGAAAAAAAAGTCCAGAAGAAATCATAAATATCTCTCATCTACATGGTTGCTTCCTCTTCCTCCCAAATCCCTTAGTTTTCCTAAATGTCTACAGTGGACGCCCTGTTGGTTTGGCTTGCTGGGTTGTGGGTGGACACGCAAGGAGGGGATTTTTATTTGGCCAGCAGTCTCACCCACTGATCTCCACCCCAGACCTTCCCTGATTGGTGTCTCAGCATTTATTTTCCTGTCTCTTCCACCAAAAGCCAGCTGTAGCTTTATCTCGTAAAAGTTACCCATCTTCTCTACTGTCCCCATTCTCTCTCCTCCCACCTTCACCCCAGATTCAAGTTTTCCTCCTTGTAGGCATTTCATCTGTGTGTGTTTTCTGGATTTTCTCTCTCTCTTCCTATGGCCATTTCACCTTATTACTGATTGGGTAGAGGGGGAAAAGGAGAATGATGATGATAGTTTCCTTCTGTCTATTGACCTTTTTTATAATAAAGTATAACATGTTTATAAAGGGCATCATAGTTATTAGACTATCCATTGGGAGAAAGTTCTGACTGGCGTTCCTGGCTCTGGCTGAGACCTTACAGAAGTGGAGGAGACAGAGGAGCTGGAGGGCAGGACTGGCAATCTATGGAGGGTCAAGAAAGGGGAGGCTGAATTTCTATTGCTCCAAAAATGGCTCCTTTCTGGGTTTAGGTAAGAGCCAGCCTCAGTCCAGGCTGGGTTTATTTGCATGGTGACAAAATGAGTAGAAAAACCTGTCAATTAATAAGCAAGTATTTTAAAGCAACTATTATATACTCTGTTGAGGATATAAAGAAGTATAAGACATAGTTCTCACCTGAGACACAAAGACAGGAAAATTAAAATTAAATAATTCAACAAGAGTTGTCACAAGTTAGGTGCTATATAGAATAAAACAACACCCTAATTCATTAAGCCCAACTCCGTGAGCATCTACTATGCCCCCTATTTATGTTAGGACACCAGCCCTGCTCCAAAACCGTTGTGTGCCCATGTCAGTCCCAACAGAAACCTCCCATCACCCATGCAGCCTTGGCTCTCTTACCAGAGTATGGCATCATCACTAATTGAACAGGTGCCCCAGTTTGCTGCCAGGCTCCTAAACGTAACTCCATCCAGAATCAAACAGCAGGGCCACAGGTCACTCGCTATCTGCTCCTTTGGGCATCCCCATTTGCTGAAAGCTGGAAACCTATCATGGTCAGTAATCCCAACCCTGACACTGATGTCACTGAACTATCTGGCCCTGGCTGGGCTGGGAAGGCCCTTATTACTGAATCTCCCACCAGAGACCCGCTCTGCTAAAGGCAAGATTGAAGCTTGACTCTCAGAAAGCAGACATGCCAGATGCCAGAGGGACCCAGACTTAGGCCCCTGGAGAAAGGAGGCAGAGGGACACCTGGGTTCTGGAAGGGGCTGGAGAGCCCTCGAGAAAAGGAGGAAGATGCCTGGATTTTAGTTGTCTGGGTAGACGGTGACTCAGCCTGTGGCATCTGCCAGGACAGGAGTGTCTCTCTGCCCTGGGAGGGATGCAGAAACCCCTAAACTCAGCCTGGACCCCAATTCAAAAACAAAACGAAATAAAAACATCTCTGCCTCTAGAGTCCTAAACATCCAACCGGACAGACCCCTCCCCTATCAAGACACCAAAATGCAGCACTGGAGGTCAAAGGGTGTATAAGGGGGATGGGGAGGTTCTTCGCCCGGCAAAGGCGGACTGTGGGCCCTGGGGCGCGGCGGGTGTCTCCCTCCCACTTTCCTCTCTATTCCCCGCTAATTATCACTTTGAAATCTAGGCGGAAATCCTTTAACAAGCTCCGGGGCTGGGCCCTCATTAGGGATAATTACTTAATCAGTAGGACGGGAGGGAATGCGCTCCCCCAGCCCTCGGGGAGTACACCTCGGGGGGAGCGAGTGCCCCGAGGGCAGGAGGCTGCCGGGGCGCCGGAAGCTGCTGTCCCGGCGGAGTCGCAGCGGGGGCTCCGGTTCCCCGAGACTGCGGCCCTCCCTCGTTCCTCCAGGTTCCGCTTTGCGGGCGGCTTCTGATCTCTTGCGGACAGCTCAGATTAGTGGCTCGAGGCCGCCGCCCCCGCAGCGCCCCAGCCCTACTGCGCCGAATCCCCTCCTCCCAGCCCCCAGCCCCCAGGGAGGGGCCTGGACTGACGGGCCTGGGCGTAGCTCCTACCCCCGTGACATTGGCCATAAAACTGACACCCGTTTGTGCTGTGCTTTCACGTACATCGCACCTGTGATCCTCCGATCACCCTGCGAGTTACGAGGCCTGCTTTACAAGCCTTATAAGAAGTTACAGACCTTATAAGAGTTCTTATAAAGCTTGCTTTACAGATGAGAAAACCGAGGCTCAGAGAAGAGCCCTGTTCAAACCCACACGGCTCCTATGGAACAGAAGGCTTGCTTTATTTTCTCCAAGCCTCAATTTCACTTTGTTCCTCAGTGGAGCCAGGTTCTCTGACACCAAGGCAGCCCCACCTGGACGGGTGGGATGTTACAGGGATCACCTAAGGAACAGGGTGTAATTGAGATTTGCACGAGGGTGTCCAGCCCCTTCTTCCAGAGTCCAGGCCTCCCTTTCCAGCTCCTTGAACGTCCAGAGAGTCTTCTTCTGGCCTCACTGCCAGTATCCCAGGTCAGGGTTTTTTCTGCCAGCCTCTGTCCCCGGAGACACATTAACTGGCCTCATAGTCACAGGCTCTGCATCCTCCCCTCACAGTGCCCAGCTGTCCCTGGAGAGGTGCTGGCAAAGTAAGAAGATCCAATGATTTGGGACACAGTCACCTTCATTTTTCTCCCCTCTGCCTCCTACAAAGGCCTCTGTCCCAGAAATGAGACATCCCAGAGAAAACAGGTTTCTGCTGACCTCTGGCTGGGAGGGTGGGTCTCCTCTCCTCCCACAGATGTGATTCCCTTGTTCTCTCCCGCTCCCTCCTTCTTCCCTCATATTGTCATGGCCTTAAGATACCCCTCCCTGGAGAGGGAGCGTCCAGAAGTTACGGCCTCCCCTGCCTGGTGGCAACTATAAATGCCACAGCTATGGTCAAGTGAGAAAAGAAATTAAGCCAGACATATTGTGGGAGCAACCCTCAGAACCCAGGAATCCAGCATTCCCAGTCCCCACTCACCACTGTCTTGGAACCTACCCCAACTGATCTTACTCCTCCCAGAACCCTGCCCCTGGCAAGCTTTTAATTCTTCCTGCAACTTCATGTCCCATTGAGACACCAGGCATCAAGGCCCCCTCTGGAGCCCATCTGCCCTCTAGAACCCAGGCATTCTAGATAACAACTTCCCACATGGATTATTTCAAGATGAGGTGAGGGAAATTACCTCCCACCTCCTGCATCCAGGTGATGCTTCTCTTTGGAATCTTGAGACTGGTAAGTGAATTATCCATCAATCGGAGAAGACACTGAGGCCACAAAAAGTCTGAAGGAGACAAGGGTTCCTGTCCCAGGCATTCTGTTTGCTTTTCTTATTCTCATTCTTTTGCAAAAGCAAAAAGCAAGCAAAGATGATGAACTTCTTTTTTGCCCCTTTCTGCAAAAGCCAGTACTAACCTTAACCCCCACTAACCACGATTTTGACCCCCAACTTCACCTTGCAGCAAACCCACCTTCATCTTCCCCTTCCAATGCTCCGCTGTAAGCATGAACACAAATAATAGCTGTGTTGTATTTCCTTAGAATCCCGGGTTTAACGGCTGCTCAACAAATGCTTTGTATCTAACTTGAAAATTCTAGTTTCAATATCATCTTTAAATATTTATTAGAGCTAGGCTCCAAGTCTAAAGCCAAGTGAAATGAAAATATCACTTCCAGAAATACTGCCTAAATTAAAATCCTCAGTAGGGCTTTCATAATCCCCGGATAGAGACAGGGAGGGATCCTTCGGATCCCAGGGATACGGGAACTGTGGGTGATATTAGCCTGAAGAGAAGTACAATCCAAATTCCTGTCTTCCTAGCCATTTCACCTGACTTCTCTCCACCTGACTTCTCTCCTTGGTCCCTTCAATGTTTCAAGTTTCTCTGCCTAATGACTACAACCCAATGTCAGGCAGATTTATAAAGCCCCTTCGCTTCCACTGTAGGATGGAATGCCATAAAAAGGGAGCAAGGAGACAGTTGTGGAATTGGAATAAACAGAAACAGCCCTAGGCTGAATGAACAGGAGGCTGCTTTGTGGTGGCTTCTTTGATGTCTGTTTCCTGCATCCTCTCTCTGCTCTCTTATCCCAGGCACTCTCCTGGAGACCCTGCCTTGCACATCCTGTTCTTTTCCTCCTCCCTGCGTCTCTGTGAGCTTGTTCATTTTAAGAGGCCCAAATTATTACTGCAACAGGCAACTTCCAAACTCATATTAAGTCTACCTTGGCTCTGAAATCCAGTCCTTTATTTTCAATTTTTTTTCAATAATATCTTCACTTGGATGTCACATCATATCAAACGTGACATTCACGTGTTCATCTGGCAAACATTTTTTGAGCATCTACTCTGTGCTAGTTCTGAAGATAAATCAGTGAACAAAACAGCAACAGGCCCTGCCTTCAGGGAGCTCACAGTTCACTAGGAAAGGCAGAGATCACACAAAGAAGGCATATAATAAAAGAGAGGCACAAGTGTGCAAAATACTGTCAGGACCCACCTCGTCTTCCCACCATCAAGTCTAAAAAGCCGCCTTCATCAGCATCCATTCTCCCCTGCTAACATTGGAGTGTTCGTGCATCTTGGCTCTGGCTCCCCCATCCCACACCTCCTGCCTTCTTCATGGGCTTCTTCCCCTTCCAGTTTTTCCTTCTCCTTCTACAGGGTCCTTCCCAACACCAGCCAAATAAGCCCTAAGCAGTGTGCACAGGAAGCACCCAGAGGAGAGTATTTTTAAAAAGTAGATTTCTAAAGACCCGGCACGGTGGCTCATGCGTATAATCCCAGCACTTTGGGAGGCTGAGGTGGGCGGATCACGCCAGGAGTTTGAGACCAGCCTGGACAACATAGCGAAACCCCGTCTCTACTAAAAATACAAAACTTAGCCAGGTGTGGTGGTGCACACCTGTAATCTCAGCTACTTGGGAGGCTGAGGCAGGGGAATCACTTGAACCTGGGAGGCAGAGGTTGCAGTGAGCTGAGATCACACCAGTGCACCCCAGCCTGGGTGACAGAATGAGATGCTGTCTCAAAAAAATAAAAAATAAATAAATAAAATGGAGATGGCCACTGGATGCAGTGGTTCAGGCCTGTAATCCCAGCACTTTTGGAAGACAAGGTGGGAGGATTGCCCAAAGCTAGGAGTCAGAGACCTGCCTGGGCGACATTGCGAGACACTGTCTCTATTAAAAAAAAAAAAAAAAAATTAACAAGTTCCCCAGGCACTCCTGATGTGGTCCAGGGACACACTTTGGAAAGCTCTGCTCTGCTGGCAGCCATCTTCACAGACCCCCACCCACATCTTCTCAGCCTTGCCCCCATCAGCTCCCCTTCATCACCAAGCCTCTTGAAACAATCCCCTACAAACACTATCTTCATGTCCTTATCTCCTACTCTCTGTGTGTATGTATTTTCTCTGCAAGTTTTACCAGAGCAATCCATGTAAATAGTTTAAAGAGTCCAATAGTTCCATAGATTTATTGCAAAAACTAGCACGGATGCACCCTCCCCCTTTTCATGTCCAATTCCTGTTCTCCAGAGGAGACGACTTTTAACTTTTAGCTTTTTATCCCAGTATTTGCAAGTGCAGATTTAAACATCATGCCCATATTGTATTGCAATTCATAGATTTTTTTTAATGAGACCTTAAATTGCGTCTTTTATTGGACTAAAGAATATTGTAAGTCTCAAAATAGCTTCCTGTCCCAATCTCACCTCTGAAAGGACTTACTAATTTAAATATATCTACTATGAACTGAACAGTGTCCCCCCTAAATATGTTTAAGTCTTTTTTCTATTTTTTTTTTGAGACAGGGGCTTGCTCTGTCATCCAAGCTGGAGTGTAGTGGCACAATCATAGCTTGCTGCAGCCTTGACCTCCTGGGCTCAAGCGAGCCTCCCATCTCAGCACTCACCCCTCCCAGAGGCTGCCACCATGCCCAGCTAATTAGTTTTGTTTTAAATTTTAGTAGAGACCATATCTCACTATGTTGCCCAGGCTGGTCTTGAACCCCTGAGCTCAAGTGATCCTCCTGCCTTGGCCTCCCAAAGTGCTGGGATTATAGGCATGAGCCACCGTGCCCGGCTCATATGTTGAAGTCTTAATCATCAATGTGACTATATCTGAAGATAGGGTCTTTAGGAAGTAATTAAAGTTAATGGGGTCATAAGAGTGGTGCCCGAATTCAATGGGACTGTGGCCTTATCAAAGGAGAAAGAGAGTTCTTTCTGTCTTCACTATGTGAGGACACAGCAAGAAGGCAGCCATCTGCAATCCAGAAAGGAGCCCTGACAAGGAACCAAGTTGTCCAGTACCTTAACCTTGGACTTCCCAGCCTTCAGAACTGTGAGAAGACAAATTACCATTGTTTAAGCCACCCAGTTTGTGGTATTTGCTATAGCAGTCCAAGGTGATTAAGACAGTATCCAATATCATGGAGGGATAAATTTTCTTTTCAAAACAAAACTAAAAATATTTTTTAATTCTAATTTTTAAAAATCAGTAAACTTCATTTTAGCAGTAATCATAAAATAAAATGCAAAGGAAATTCTCTAAGTTACATGACTCGAGAGAAAATATCCATATCTATTGTTTCTGTTGTTTAAAACATAATTTATCTAGAATTTGGCTCATAAGTTTTAAAACAAACTGTATGAAAATATGACAGTGCATTTACTGTTAACTCCTGCTTATGTTTTAGAAAGCTCTTATGGAAAGAAAAAAAAAATGCTTTCCAGGTAGCAGACACAGATAGGTTATTTGGGGAATTGATAACTAAAAATTAGAGTCTTATTTTTTATTTTTTATTTTTTTGAGACGGAGTCTTGTTCTGTTGCCCAGGCTGGAGTGCAGTGGTGCGATCTTGGCTCACTGCAACCTCTGCCTCCCAGGTTCAGGCAATTCTTCTGCCTCAGCCTCCCGAGTAGCTGGGATTACAGGCATGCACCACCACACCTGGCTAATTTTTTTTATTTTTAGTAGAGACGGGGTTTCACCATGTTGGCCAGGCTGATCTTGAACTCCTGACCTCAGGTGATCCACCGACCTCGGCCTCCCAAAGTTCTGGGATTATAGGCATGAGCCACCATGTCCAGCCTTAGAGGCTTTATTAGCATTCAAAACCATGGATGCAATGAAGTGTGGAGTACTCTTAAACAAGCTCCAAGTCCATGAAATGCCGTGTCAGAATTTTTCCTTTCCTTTTTGCATAGCAAAGTACTTGCACAATCCCAAATATTTGTCTTCCTGAGCAGCAGCTACAAAGATGATGCCACCAGGCTTGGCCAGGGTAGCTGCTGATTTTCCCTTCTTCCTCCTCCTCTTCTCCTCCTCCTTTTTCTTCTAATTCTTCCTCCTCTTCCTCTTCTCTCTCCCTCTCTGCTTTCTCCTCCGCCTTCTTATTTTCTTAACCATGATAAAATATACATAACTTACAATACATCATTTTAGCCATTTATAAGAGTAAAGTTTAGTATCATTAAGTACATTCATGTGGTTGTGCAACCATCCCTGGTAATTTCTTCTTGATTCTCTGTCCCGGAACTACTAAACTCAGGCTGGGTTTAGCATAATCGTTGCCTGTGTACTTGAAAAGTGGAGAGTTGCTGACCTCTGATGGGTAGCTTGGTCTTGCTGGGCAAACCCTTCTGGAAGCTGTTCTAGCACAGCTCAGCCACCACTTGCACGGACTCCTGCTGTGCTGGAGCTCTCCTGACACAGCTTTCCCAGCTGCACAGTCGTTGCTATGTAGAGGAACTAATACTTGAGCGACTATTTTCTTATAGTTGGATAACTCTGTTTCCTTATAAATATTTTTCTTTATAAATAGAGAGTGCTGTCCCATCAATCCTGCATCCTTATACTAGCAGTCCTGAGGCTTTTCCTAACTGTTCAGCTGCCTGTTGAGGCATTCCACATTTTTAAATGCATTGCTGTTTGTTGGTATAACCGTACAGCCTTTTCTGGGTCTACATTTTCTCTGAGCTTTCCAGCTTGCTCCAATGCCTCTGAGGTTGCTGTGTCAGTGCTGCTGTTTTTTAGATCCATCAAAGGCTGGGATTTCTGCATTTCCTTCAACATTGTGTCAACTAGGTTGGGCGCGGTGGCTTACGCTTGTAATCCCAGCACTTCGGGAGACTGAGGTGGGCGGATCACTTGAGGTCAGGAGTTCATGGCTAACATGGTGAAACCATCTCTACTAAAAATATAAAAGTTAGCCGGGCGTGGTGACGTGTGCCTGTAGTCCCAGCTACTCAGGAGGCTGAGGCAGGAGAATCACTCAAACCCAGGAGGCGGAGGTTGCAGTGAGCCGAGATCACACCACTGCACTCCAGCCTGGGCAAAAAGAGTGAAACTCCATTTAAAAAAACAAAACAAAACAAAACAAAAACAAGAAAACATTGTGGCAATTTGCTCAGAAGCGCTACTTTTCCATATTCAGAAGGGCACTGTCACAGTACGGCTTCCATTTTGAAAAACCAGTCTGCAGGTATTTCTTTGCTTTGGGCCTCTCATTTCTTTTTTGGTCCTGCACATGGTCCTGCATGGAGGACAGGAGGGACTTTTCCTTTTGGCCCCTGAAAGAGTCCCAGTCAGCTATGCATAGGTTTTTCATTTCGGACATCATCCATTTACTTATTCATGGTCTCTCTCCCTTATTTGAATATAAGCTCTGTATCAACTTTTCAATCACTGTATCCCATGCCTGGCACATCATGTGGCCCACAGAAGGTTCTTAAGGAATATGTTTGAATAAATGAATGAGAAGGCCTGGATGCAGAGAGTGTATATCAGAGAGAAACCCAGACTAATCCCCCAGATTCTTCTCTAATCCATTCCCAGTGCTACCACTTAATCTAGTATGTTATACTAGAAGAGTAAATAAATGAAAGTAAGAAAGACAGGAAGGAAGGAGGGAAAGAAGGAAGGAAGGGAGGGAGGGAGGAAGAAGGAAGGAAGGAAGTAAGGAAGGGAGGAAGGAATTAAAGAAGAAAGGAAGGAAGAGAAAGAAAGAAAAAGAAAGAGAGAGAAAGAAAGAAAGAAGGAAAGAGAGAGAGAGAGAGAGAGAGGGAGGGGGGAGGGGAGGGGAGGGGAAAGGAGGGGAGGGGAAGAAATCTTCCCAAGGACTTTTCCCCCTAGTATCTCCTTGTGTCTCTTTACAAACTGCCTAACTCATCAACTTTCACCACCTGAAGAGGCTGGAAAAAAGCTGGCCTCCTGTGAATTTTACACCCCGGTGCTCTCAGATGGTGGATGAGAACCTGCAGGCTCCCTTCAGGCAGGGATCGTGTGCTGAACGTCCCAAAGAGTGATGGGGGACTTGCACCAGAGTGTCTCTGCTCAAGCTGCCCTCCTATGACCTCCTTGTCACTTCCACCCAGACAAGGGGATTCTGATCAGTCCAGATGACCTGGATGAAGTTTTCTTTCTTTCTTTCTTTTTTTTTTTTTTTGAGACAGAGTTTTGCTCTTGTTGCCCAGGCTGGAGTGCAATGGCACGATCTCGGCTCACTGCAACCTCTGCCTCCTGGGTTCACGCAATTCTCTTCCCTCAGCATCCTGAGTAGCTGGGATTACAGGCATGCACCACCACACCTGGCTAATTTTGTATTTTTAGTAGAGACGGGGTTTCTCCATGTTGGTCAGGCTGGTCTCGAACTCCCAACCTCAGGTGATCTGCCCGCCTTGGCCTCCCAAAGTGTTGGGATTACAGGCGTGAGCCACTGTGCCTGGCCCTGGATGAGGTTTTCAAACAACACACTTTCCCCTAATCTGATGAGACCCAACTATCCTTAGTGTTATAACACACACAGAGATAATGTGGAGCCTCCTTAACATAGGTTAGATTTTATTTCACCTAGGCAAGTACAGTTCCAAAAAACATTATGGCAGAAAGGACAAGGTGCCAAGAAGATCGATCAAATGACTCATGCACTACAGAAGCACAGCTGAATCAGCAACCGGGCCCTTAGCTGCGGAGGAAACTGCAAATGCTGAGCCTCTGAAATACATGATTCCAAATAAAAGGTAACGACACCAGCAGTTCTGCTGATGTAAAGGAAACAAGAAAGACATATGCACGATGCTCCTAATTAAATATCAAAAATGTAAAGTAGGTGTCGTATTTGACTAAAAATTGATATTTTTCAGGAAGGACTATGCCCCCAGGGCCCACTGTAGCCTTTGAGACCATGGTGGAGTCTGTGTCCACAATGGCCTCAACCACAGGCTCTGAGAGTACCTCAACCTCTGAGATCATCGCCATCTCCACCATGGACTCTGAGACCTCCATAGGCTCAGAAGCCACCACAACTATTGTTGCAGCCTCTGAGGTTACCACACCCTCCACCACAGCATCTGTGCCACTGTGGCCTCAACCACCGGCTCTGAGAGCAGCACGGCCTCTGAGATCATCACGTCCTCTACAATGTCTGTGTCAGCCACAGCCTCCAGCACAGCCTCCAGCACAGCCTCTGAGATCACCATGAGCTCTGCAGCCATCCCAGTCTCCTCCACAGCTTATGAGACCATCAGGTTCTCCACTGCAGTGTCTGAGCCAGTGACAGCCTCTATCCTGGCCCTTGAGTCCACCCTGGCCTTCACCACGGTCTCTAACACCACCACATCTTCCACAGTAACACCTGTGCCCACCACAGCTTCCACCTCAGGCTCTAAGAACACAACAGCCTGTGAGGCCACCATGTCTGAAACTACCATTGCTGCCATCACAGCCTCCGAGGACACCACAGTCTCCACTCAAACCTCTGTGATAGCTGCAGAGTCTGTGCCCCACACAGCCACCAAAACACCTACTGACACCACCACAGCATCTGTGTCCGCCACAGTCCCCAAGAACAACACACCCTCTGTGATAACATCTACACCTTCCACAGCTCCCAACACAGCCTCTAAAACCATGACCACAGCTTCCAAGACCGCCACGACCTCTACGATAACATCTCTGCCCACCACAGTCTTCACCACAACCTCTAAAATCACCGCAGGCTCTGAGACCCCCACAGCCTCCACCACAGACTCTGCGACCACTGCAATCTCCACAAAAGCCTCTGGGACAACTGTAGAGTCTGCGCCCTCTACAGCCCCTCCAACACCTGCTGAGACCACCACAGCATCTGTGCCCACCACAACCTCTACCACAGGCTCTGAGAACACCGGACACCACACAGTATCATCTGTGCCCACCACAGTCTTCGCTACAGCCTCTGAAAGCAGCACAGGCTCTGAGACCACCAGAGCTTCCACCTCTGCCACTGAAGTGACTACAGCCATGACCACAGCCATGACCACAGGTTCTGAGACTGCTGTGGTCTCCACCAAAGCTCCTGTGACAACCACACAGTCTGGGTTCTCCACAGCCACCGTAATGCCTGCTAAGACCACTACAGCGTCTGTGTCCACCACAGCCTCCACCACACTCTATCAGAATACTATAGACTCCGTGACCAAGTCTGTGCCCACCATGGACTCTACCATAGCCTCCAAGAGCACCACTCTCTCCAAGATAGTATCTGTGCCTACTGCAGTCTTTATCAAAGCGCCTGAAACCACCACAGGCTCTGAGATCACTCTGGCTTCCATCATAACCTCAGGAACCACTGCAGTCTGTGACTACATTGGCCTCTAGCAAAGATTCCGAGATCCCCACAGCCTGGATGATAACCTCTGTGCCTACTGTAGCTCCCACCTCAGCCTCTGAAACTACTGAGGCCTTCTCCACAGCCTCTGAGTCCACCACATCCTCTTTCAAAATATTTGTGTCCACCACATCCTAGCCTCCACTATGGCCTTTGAGGCCACATCAACCTCTGAGACCCCCACTACCTCCACAATAGTATCTGTGCCCACAACAACCTCCAAAATAACCTCTGAGAACACTGCAGGATTTTTATCCATGATGGGCTCTGAGACCACCACAGCCTCCACTACAAGATCTGAGACCACTACAGCCACTGAAACCTCCACGGCTTCCCTCACAGATTCTGAGACCCCCAGTGCCTCCATAATAGTATCTATGCCCACAACCGCCTCCTCCACAGACTCTGAGACCACCACAGCCTCCACTGCAATATCCACGAGCAACATGGCTGTGAGCACAGCCTCTGAGGTCACTTCAGGGTCTGGAAGCAGCATGGCTTCCACCACAGGCTCTGAGGCCACCATGCCATCCACAGCAGTATCTGTGACCTCCACAGCCTTCGCTTTGGCCTCATCGCCCTTCTTGGCCTCTACCACAGCCTCTGGGGCCACTGCAACCTCCACCACTGTCTCTGCCACTTTCGTGCCCAACAAGGTCACTGACATTTCTACTCAGACCATCACCAAAACAGTTGTGTCAGGTACTAACCCCCATGTCTTCTCTGATCACACACATTTTAATTCCAATGGCAACCACTAGCTCTTCACCTGTTTCTATCATCTCTGCCCTGTCTCAAGTCAAGCCTGTACACTGTTAGGTATCATTTCCTGGAGGGCCCCTAGAGGCGAGGTTGAGAGTGTGACCCATGAGGAGATGTACTACACTCGAAAAGAACTGCTTGAATTTTCTAATTTATATAAACAGAAATCTGGAGAACAGGCATTAGAATGGATATGAAGGGTGTGGGATAATGGTGGAAGGAACATAGAGTTAGGTCAGGCTGAATTTATTGATTTGGCCCCACTAAATAGGGACTCTGCATTTAATGTTGCAGCTTGGGGAGTTAAAAAGGGTTCTAATAGTTTATTTGCTTAGTTAGCTAAAATATGGATTAAAAGATGGCCCGCTGTGAGCAAGCTGATCTCCCTTGGTTTAATGTAAATGAAGGGATCCAAAGGCTTAGGGAGATTGGGATGGTGGAGTGGATTAGTCAATTTAGACCTACTCATCCCAGCTGGGAGGGTCCAGAAGATATACCCTTGATGATGCTTTGCAAAATACATTTGTGAGGGCAGCACCTGCATATCTGAAGAGCCCTATAATTGCTCTTCTCTGTATGTCAGATCTAACAGTGGGAACCGCCGTCAGTCAACTGCAAAATTTAAATACAATGGGAATAATTGGATCCAGAGGTGGCAGGGGCCAAGTGGTAGCACTCAAACATCGAAGGCAATGTGGGTGTAGGTACCATAATGGACAGCAGAGGCAAAGTGGCAATCAGAATAGTCCAACTCATGCAGAGCTCTGGCATTGGCTAATTAATCACAGTGTTCCTAGAAGTGAAATTGATAGGAAGCCTATTGCATTCCTATTTAATTTATACAAGCAGAGAACTTCTAGGCTGAATGGACAAAAGACTAATTTGAATTATAAAAACAGAATCACGGCCCCTCAACCAATTTCCAGACTTGAGCCAGTTCACAGACCCAGATCCCCTTGAATGAACGGGAGGCCGGGTCCCCTTGAGGAAGGACCCCACTACATTACCAACAATTTGTGCAGTGAATCTTTCTCCCATCCTTCCCCAAGACCTCTGGCCTTTTACCAGGGTAACTGTGTATTGGGGAAAGGGAAATGATTAGACATTTTGGGGACTACTGGACACTGGCTCTGAGCTGGCGTTGATTCCAGGAGACCCAAAATGTCATTGTGGCCCTCCAGTTAAAGTATGGGCTTATGAGTCCGGGAGTGGTGGTTCATGCCTGTAATCCCAGCATTTTGGAAGGCCAAGGCAGGTGGATCACGAGGTCAGGAGTTCGAGACCAGCCTGGCCAAAATAGTGAAACCCTCTCTACTAAAAATACAAAAATTAGCCACGTATGGTGGTGCACGCCTGTAGTCCCAGCTACTTGGGAGGCTGAGGCAGGAGAATAGCTTGAACCTGGGAAGTGGAGGTTGTGGTGAGCCAAGATCTGCCACTGCACTCCAGCCTGAGCAACAGAGTGAGACTCCGTCTCAAAAAAAAAAAAAAAAAAAAAAAAAAGTAGGCGTTTATAGAAGTCAGGTAATTAATGGAGTTTTAGCCCAGGTCTGACTTATAGTGGGTCCCGTGGGTCCCTGGACTCATCCTGTGATCATTTCCTCAGTGCCAGAATGCATAATTGGCATATACTTAGCAGCTGGCAGAACCCCTGCATTGGCTCCATGACTGGTAGGGTGAGGGTTACTATGGTGGAAAAGGCTGAATGGAAGCCATTAGAGCTGCCTCTACCTAGAAAAATAGTAAATAAAAAAAAAAAATCACATCCCAGGAGGGACTGCGGAGATTAGTGCCACCATCAAGGACTTGAAAGACACAGGGGTGGTGATTCCCACCATATCCCCATTCAGTTCTCCCATTTGGCCTGTGCAGAAGACAGATGAATCTTGGAGAAGGACAGTGGATTATCGTAAGCCTAACCAAGTGGTGACTCCAATTACAGTTGCTGTACCCGATGTTGTTTCATTGCTTGAGCAAATTAACTCATCTCCTGGTACCTAGTATGCAGCCATTGACTTGGCAAATGCCTTTTTCTCCATTCCTGTCCATAGGCCCACCAGAAGTAATTTGCCTTCCGCTGGCAAGGCCAGCAATACAGCTTTACTGTCCTGTCTCAGGGGTATATCAACTCTCCGGCTTTGTGTCATAATCTTATTCAGAGAGAGCTTGATCACTTTTTGCTTCTGCAAGATATCATACTGGTCCATTACATTGATGATATTATGCTGATTGGGTCCAGTGAGCAAGAAGTAGCAAACACACTGGACTTATTGGTGAGATATTTGTGTGCCAGAGGATGGGAAATAAATCTGACTAAAATTCAGGGAGCTTCTACCTCAGTAAAATTTCTAGGGGTCCAGTGGTGTGGGGCCTGTCAAGATATCCCTTCTAAGGTGAAGAAGTTGCTACATTTGGCCCCTCCTACAACCAAGAAAGAAGCACAACGCCTAGTGGGCTTACTTGGATTTTGGAAGCAACACATTCCACATTTGAGTGTGTTACTCCAGCTCATTTATTGAGTCACCCGAAAGGCTGACAGTTTTGAGTGGGATCCAGAACAGGAGAAGGCTCTGCAACACGTCCAGGCTGCTATGCAAGCTGCTCTGCCACTTGGGCCATATGACCCAGCAGATCCAATGGTGCTTGAGGTGTCAGTGGCAGATAGGGATGCTGTTTGGAGCCTTCGGCAGGCCCACATAAGTGAATCACAGCAGAGGCCTCTAGGATTTTGGAACAAGTCCCTGCCATCTTCTGCAGATAACTACTCTCCTTTTGAGAGACAGCTCTTGGCCTATTACTGGGCTTTGGTGGAAACTGAACATTTGACTATCAGTCATCAAGTCACCATGTGACCTGAACTACCTATCATGAACTGGGTGCTTTCTGATCCATCTAGCTATAAAATGGGTCGGTGTGCGGCAGCATTCCATCATCAAATATAAGTGATATACACATGATCGGGCTCAAGCAGTTCCTGAAGGCACAAGTAAGTTACATGAGGAAGTGGCTCAAATGCCCATGGTCTCCACTCCTGCCACCCTGCTTTCTCTTCCCCAGCTTGTACCGATGACCTCATGGGGAGTTCCCTATGATCAGTTGACAGAGGAAGAGAAGACTAGGGCCTGGTTCACAGATGGTTCTGCACAATATGGAGCACTAACCGAAAGTGAACAGTTGCAGCACTACAGCCCCTCTCTAGGACATCCCTGAAGGACAGCGGTGGAGGGAAATATTCTCAGTGGGCAGAACTTCAAGCAGTGCACTTGGTTCTGCACTTTGCATGGAAGGAGAACGGTCAGATGTGTGATTATTTACTGATGCATAATCAGTAGGGGGTTTGGCTGGATGGTCAGGGACTTGGAAGAAGCACGATTGGAAAATTGGTGACAAAGAAATGTGGGAAAGAGTTATGTGGATGGACCTCTCTGAGTGGTCAAAAACTGTGAAGATATTTGTATCTCATGTGAGTGCTCACCAACAGATGACCTCAGCAGAGGAGGATTTTAATAATCAAGTGGATACGATGACCCGTTCTGTGGATACCATTCAGCCTCTTTCCCCAGCCAACCCTGTCATCACCCAATGGGCCCATGAGCAAAGTGGCCGTGGTGTCAGGGATGGAGGTTATGAATGGGCTCAGCAACATGGACTTCCATTCACCAAGGCTGACCTGGCTATGGCCACTGCTGAATGCCCAATTTGCCAGCAGCAGAGACCAACACTGAGCCCTCAGTATAGCACCATTCCTCAGGATGATCAGCCAGCTGATTACTGGATTACTGGCTGGACTTCTTTCATCATGCAAAGGGCAGAGGTTTGTCCTCACTGGAATAGACACTTACTCCTGATATGGGTTTGCCTATCCTGCATGCAATGCTTCTGCCAAGACTACCATCGTGAAGTCACAGAATGCCTTATCCACCATCATGGTTCCACACAGCATTACCTCTGGCCAAGGCATTCACTTTACAGCTAAAGAAGGGTGGCAGTGGGCTCATGCTCATGGAATTTACTGGTCTTATGTTCCCCATTATCCTAAAGCAGGTGGATTGATAGAACGGTGGAATGGCCTTTTGAAGTCACAATTACGACATCAACTAGGTGACAATACTTTGCAGGGCTGGGGCAAAATTCTCTAGAAGGCTGTGTATGCTCTGAATCAGTGTCCATTGTATGGTACTGTTTCTCCCATAGCCAGCATTCCTGGGTCCAGGAAGCAAGGGATGGAAGTGGAAGTGGCACCACTCACCATCACCCCTAGTGATCCACTAGCAAAATTTTTGCTTCCTGTTCCTGTGACATTACATTCTGCTGGCCTAGAGGTCTTAGCTCCAGAGGGAGGAACGCTGCCACCAGGAGACACAACAACAATGCCATTAAACTGGAAGTTAAAATTGCCACCTGGACACTTTGGGCTCCTTCTACCTTTACGTTAACAGGCTTAGAAGGGAGTTACAGTGTTGGCTGCTGTGACTGACCTAGACTATCCTGATGAAGTCAGTCTACTACTCCACAACGGAGGTAAGGAAAAGTATGCATGGAATACTTGAGATCCATTAGGGCGTCTCTTAGCATTACCATGCCCTGTGATTAAGGTCAGTGGGAAACTACAACAGCCCAATCCAGGCAGGACTACAAATGACCCAGACCCTTCAGAAATGGAAGTTTGGGTCACTCCACCAGGAAAAAACCATGACCTGCTGAGATGCTTGCTAAAGGGAAAGGGAATACAGAATGGGTAGCAGAAGAAGGTAGCCATCAATACCAACTATGACTGCGTGACCAGCTGCAGAAAGAGCGCTGTAATTGTCATGAGTATTTCCTCCTTCTTTTGTTAAAAACACGTTTGTACATGTATACACTTGTACTAAGAAAATATCTTCATTTTATTTCCTTTCTCCTTTATTATGTGATGTAAGATTTATTGACTTCACATCAGCATTTAAGTATTATTAACTTTGCGTAATAGCATATGGGCTGGGGATTGGTGCGTTTCCGGTTGTATGAAGGATAGTTGTATTATGTTGGGCATAATTATGACCTTATTATTGTCTTTATTTGAAGATTATGTATAATCTCAGGAGATGCGCATGGGTTCAAGTTGACAAGGGGTGGACTTATGATGGTTAATACTGAGTGTCAACCTGATTGGATTGAAGGACACAAAGTATTGATCGTGGGTGTGTCTGCGAGGGTGTTACCAAAGGAGATGAACATTTGAGTCAGTGGCCTCAGAAAGGCAGACCCACCCTTAATCTGGGTGGCACAATCTAATCAGCTGCCAGAGTGGCTAGAATTTAAGCAGGCAGAAAAATGTGAAAAGAGAGACTGGCCCAGCCTCCCAGCCTACATCTTCCTCCCGTGCTGGATGCTTCCTCAGTTTTGGAACTCGGACTGGCTCTCCTTTCTCCTCAGCCTGCAGACGGCCTATTGTGGGGCCTTGTGATCATGTGAGTTAATATTTAATAAACTCCGCTTTATATATATTCCATCAGTTCTGTCGCTGTAGAGAACCCTGACTAATACACCCCTCTTCCAACATTGGAGATTACAATTTGACATGAGATTTGGGCAGGGACACAAATCCAAATCATATCACCTTGCTCCAGTCTAAGACCAAACAATTATGTTCATTCTCTGGCACTTTCCATCAGCAAGCCGGTTGCATCTGATTCTATCCTCTTCGTTCTGAGCACCCTCACCTCTATTCTGGTGACTGGTGCTGTTTGGGATCCTATTTTCACCACTTCTGACCTAGGCACACCCATTGCTATCAAAGCCACCACCACTGCCTCTGCTGTGTTGATTCTCACTCGCACCTGTCTGAGCCCACCCTCTCCTGTCCCTGTGAGCAGCCTTCTCCACTTGGGTCAGGTCCTCCCACATCTGCCCAAGCACACTCACCCCACCTTTGCTGACCACCACAGTGTGGTAGATGATGTCACCTCCGTCCCAGCCACGGCCACTGGCATGCCCATGAATGAATCCAATTCTGTCATCTCCTCCTCCAGCTCCCTCCTTACACCCAGTGATCACAGTCACAAAAGAAGCAGGGCCTGCCACTTTGTATACAAGCCCGCCCTCTTCTATTTGGGTGGCCACTTCCGAAGTCAAATAGATCTTCCACTTCCATACCCATCACGGTCACGTTTCCTCAACCTTCTGCCTCCTCCATCACCAACTCCACCAGGTGACACATTCTACCTCCTCCTCTGTACGACACCCACCTCTATTGTGAGGACACAGCCACAGAGGAATGGCTTTCTACCATCTCTCCTCCCCCACCACCCCTCTCCTGAGCTACTCTCACCATAGACATGTTAGATTCACCCCGCTCTGCTCTAAGCGCTCCCACTCCCCTTTAATTATCTCTGCTATGAATGCATCATGTTGTGTGACCCCTGGAACCAGTCCTACCGCCCCTAGCTCTGTCACCATGGCCCCTGGAATGGACTCCATGGCCTCTGCTGCAGCCATCCTGTGACCGGAATAGTCTCAAACACCTCTGACCTGGGTACATCCACTATGGGAGCATCATCTACCACCTCAGCCCCCAGCTTCAGGACCACTACAGGATCCACCCGTGAGCCAACCAGCAACACCTCCCAGTAAACAGGCCCAATGTCCACAGGCACAAATACAGTTAGCGTGAGCCACACATCCAAACATGTGATCAAACTGAGTGGACATTTACAGCCCCAGGCCATCATGCTCATTTCCCTGGCTGTAGTCATGGTTGGTGTTGGATTGTCAGTAGGACTGAGGTTTTGCCTGTGAGTGACTGAGCATGGAAATGGGCAGAGCTTTCCTGAGAAGATAGATCACGAGGAGGATTAGAATTGACGGAAGAAGGGCCACTAGACTATTAGCATGGAGAGGGGTCTGGAGAGTCACTTGTACCCTAGTCCAATCGACCAAGAGTGCAGGAGCAAATGTATAGTCCCATGAAGTCAGATTTATCAGTTAGTTGCAAAATGGGAGGCTGTATACCAGGGAGCTGAGGAGCTTCTCACCAAACAACGGAAATGTCATTACAGTATTGGGGGAAATGTCATTATAGTATTGGGGGAAATGTCATTATAGTATTGGAGGAAAGTGTGGATTTTTGGTGAAATTTAAATGAAAGAATTTTAAAAGGCTCAAAAGAAAGCAGGGCTGTTTGTAAAGGGGTCACCGGCAGCTTGAAACTGTGAAATAGATTGTTTCCTTGGAAACTACAGTTAAAATGAACGTGGAATGTTGTATTCAGAGAAACCCCTTATCTGTACCCCAGTTGGAATTGGAGGCTGCTTCTCTGTGTCAAAGTCACTTAGAGTTTCCAGACAAGAATGGGATATTTCCTTCTCACTGATTTAGAATCAAACAGCAAATTTGTAATAGTCTGCGATTTTAGAGAATGAAATTTTTCATTGGCTAAATCACTGCAAGTGAGTAGGTCACTGGAAGTGAGTAAGGGCTGTGATACTTCACAGCTGCAGTGCGCCCTGGGGAAAAATATTCCTCTCAGTGCCCCTCACAGCTGGCCACCTATGCTGTTATGCATCTACCTCCTGATGGACAGCGGCCGACTGCTGCTTTCGCAGTCTGATTTTTACTGTCTCACATAGTGTAGTATAAAGACCAGGGAGAAGGAGAAAGACAGAAAATATAAACGATAGATATAGCAGGAAGAAAAAAAGAAGAAGAAGAAGAAGAAGAGGCCGGGCGTGGTGGCTCACACCTGTAATCCCAGCACTTTGGGAAGCCAAGGCAGGAGGATCACCTGAGGTCAGGAGTTCGAGAGAAGCCTGACCAAAATGGTGAAACTCCATCTCTACTAAAAATACAAAAATTAGCCGGTGTGGTGGTAGGCACCTGTAATCCCAACTACTCGGGAGGCTGAGGCAGGAGAACTTCTTGAACCCGGGAGACAGAGGTTGCAGTGAGCCGAGATCGCGCCACTGCACTCCAGCCTGGGCT
The DNA here is from genome assembly GCF_000001405.40 of Homo sapiens. NCBI lineage: Eukaryota > Metazoa > Chordata > Mammalia > Primates > Hominidae > Homo > Homo sapiens. Next base: position 2,230,572 of record NT_167245.2, read on the forward strand.
ATAAGAGTGAAACTCCATCTCAAAAAAAAAAAGAGGAAGGGGGCCCCAAGTGAGAGGAAAGTGTCTGGGTATGAATAGGAGAGCATTGAGAATATGATGGAAAATGTGTCTTATAAAATAGCTGGGAATGTAACACTAGAAAAAACATCTTTGGAAAGTGATGAACATTTAGGTCCTCAACAGGTTTTTCACTTTCAAGACAGACAAAATCATAAGCTCCTTCCAGGGTGAGAGTGGGGCATGTCCCACCTCATGCCTTTATGATTTTACCCAAGTGAAAACAAATTCACTTTTCTAGGTACCTCTTAGCACAACTCAAATAGGCTAGAGATTTCAAAACTTCATGAAACACTAAGGGAAGTTGACAAAGAAATGCCCTTCTGGAGAATGGAGGCTGTAGAAACGCTCCCCCTGGTGTAGGGGAGGGTTTGACGTTCCAGAGGCCCCAGCCCTCCGCAGTTCTTGGTGCCAATGTGACAGCCACTGGCCAGCAGCAGACTGTGTTCTATTGTCCATCCTGGTCTTAATCTTCTATTCAAATGTATTTCTCTTGTTCTATTTTAAGAAATAGAACATTTATATTTTCCCATTTTGGCTTTATGTATTCCTGTATGCAGTCTTGTAAATTTGTAGGAGGAGCCAGAGTGAGTACACAATACATAAATGAGAAATTCACACAAGCCACAAACAGTTAACATAATTTACAATCAACTTACCTGAGTTTCTTATTTCAGAGTCTCTGACCCCTCCCTAAGGGAAGAACAATATGTGACTCACCAGCCATGAGCAACCCCCTAAATGTTTAAGATAAAGATGTAATATTAGTTAACTAGCATTTTATTAGCTATCTACTAGGTATGAGGTCCAGGGCCCAGAGTGCTTAGAGGGCATCATCTCTCCTTTGCTCTGCTCAACCACCCTTGGGGATGCGTACTCCTATTATCCCATTTTATAGACTAGAAAACTGGAAGCAGAGACATAAGTAACTTGCTGAAGACCACAGGACAAGGCCACGCAGAGCTAGGCTCTAATTCTGGTCCGCTTGACAGCAGAGCCTGTGTTCTTAGCCAGAGTGTTTGTTTGTTTTTTTGAGCCGAAGCCTCACCCTGTTGCCCAGGCTGGAGTGCAATGGCACAATCTCGGCTCACTGCAACCTCCACCTCCCGGGTTCAAGCAATTCTCCTGCCTCAGCCTCCTGAGTAGCTGGGATTACAGGCATGTGCCACCATGCCCGGCTAATTTTTTGTATTTTTAGTAGAGATGGGGTGTCACCATGTTGGCCAGGCTGCTCTCGAACTCCTGACCTCATCATCTGTCCACATCGGCCTCCCAAAGTGCTGGGATTACAGGCGTGAACCACCGCACCTGGCCCACAGTGTTTTTTAGATAGTTCTCCAACCTTTAGCTCTTTATGGCCTGTCTCTTATTTTTCTTTATCTTTAAAAATTGAGGTGTAATTCTTACCAATAAAAAATGATAAGTATGCAAGGCAATAGATATGTTAATTTGATTTAATAATTTCAAAATGTATACATATATCAAAACATCACATTGTACACCATAAGTATATGCAATATTTATTCACCAGCTTTGAAAGTGGGAAAAACACAAACTGTGTTTCCTCTGCTCTCACACCACCACCAACACAAAACACTTCTGGTGACCAAATTAAGAGGGGAAGTTCTTCCCACACTAAGCAAGCAATCAGTTCTGCAGCAGACACCAGCTCGGTGTCCTCCGATTCAGTGCTGGCACTGCCTACCTGGAGATAGCATCAGATCCACAGACTAAGCGCGCAGTCCCTCAACACCAACCGCTCCTTCCCACAGGCTGCCAAGTCCAGGCCTCTGGAACTTCTGACCAACTGGAGCAAGTTGGAGTTGGCTACTCCTGTTTGGTTTCGATTAATTTGCAGGAGTGGCTGACTGAACTCAGGGAAACACCTTTACTGGTTTATTACAAAGGATATTACAAAGGATACAGGTGAAGAGGCGTGGAGGGAGAAGGAGCAGGGAGCTTCCATGCCCTCCCCAGCACTCCATCCTCCAGGAACCTCCATATGTTTTCTGAGCCCTGGCCTTTGGGGTTTTTACAGAGGCTTCATTATGTAGGTATACCTGATTAAACCATGGCCACTGGTAATCAACTTAACCTTCAGTCCCCTCTCCTCCCTGGAGGTTAAGGGTTAAGGGGTGGTGCTTTGGTCTTTCCGGTGATTAGCCCCCATCCTGTAGCCAACAGTTGACTCATTCGCATACAAAAAAAAAAATCACTTTTCAGTACCTAAGGATTTTAGGAGCTGCATGCCAGGAAATGTGCAGAAGTCCAAATATATGTTTCACGTATCAACTTAATACAGTTGGGAGAAAGGTTAAAAGTTAAATTACACTTAAAAATAAAAAGAACAGCCGGGCGCAGTTCTGTAACCTCAACACTTTGGGAGGCTGAGGCGGATGGATCATCTGAGGTAAGGAGTTCAAGACCAGCCTGGCCAACATGGGGAAACCCTGTCTCTACTAAAAATACAAAAATTAGTCGGGTATGGTGGCTTATGCATGTAATCCCAGCTATTCTGGAGGATGAGGCAGGAGAATTGCTTGAACCTGGGAGGCAGAGGTTGCAGTGAGCCGAGATCGTGCTACTGCACTCCAGCCTGGGTAGCAGAGCAAGACTCTGTCTCAAGAAATAAAAAAAAAATAAAAAGAACAATATTAATTGAAAAAAATAAATACTGTTCACAGATGAAAAAATTTTGAACTATAATTTACAAAAGTACACAAATATTATTTGTACAGCTTGATTAATTTCAAAATGTGTTAACACTTGTACAACCATTACCCAACTTAAAATGTAGAATATTTCTACCATCTGAGTAGTTTATTTTGTGGCCCTTCCCAGATAATACCCACTCCATCAAAGGTAAGCACTATTCTAGCTTCTATTTTATGAACTTTAAAAAAAATTTTTCATTTTAATTTTTGGATGGGGTCTCACTCTGTCACCCAGGCTGGAGTCCAGTGGTGCCGTCTTGGCTCACTGCAGCTTCTGTCTACCCAGAGATAGAGCTGGGTTCAAGTGATCCTCTCGCCTTGGCCTCCCAAAGTACTAGGATTACTGGCATGAGCCACTGTACCTGGCCTTATGAACTTTTATTTATTTTTACCTGACCTCATAGACATGCAACCTTTTTGGTTGATTTACACAATAAAAGATTCCCTACTCTTAGCTGACTCTGTTCCCAGGTACAGGATGCAAATTTACCTTGTCTTGTTTTTTTTATTTTTGTAGAGATGGGGTTTCACCATGTTGCCCAGGCTGGTCTCTGGAATGCCTGGGCTCAAGCAATCCACCTACCTCAGCCTCCAAAAGTTTTGGGATTACAGGCACGAGCCACCATGCCCAGACTTATCTTGTCTTGAAAGTTGAGCAGCATAGATCCCTACCAAGGTACAAGTATACTAATTAGGAAGACTGTTTTCTCCAATAAATAAATAAATAAGAGGAAGAGAGTCCTAAATATCATCCACACACACACACACACAGGAAGACTTGATGAGAAAATAGACAATATTGAAAAGTGAAAATTTATGAATTTTGATAATCCAAGGTTTAATGATAAGAAAGAAAAGGAGTTAACTACTAATATATATATTTTTCTCTTTTAGAAGGATCTTTCTTTACCCTGACAAATAGAGGCATTTATAACCTCCATGACAACAGCCTTGACCTTGGTTTATACCTGGACTCAGTCCTGGGCTCTGGGACATTCCACAGCCTGGGAAATGCACTCATTCATGGAGGGGGACTTGAGATGGGACACACAGGAACACATGGCTTTGGACATGGAGTGGGCCATGAGCTGAGCCACAGCCATGGAGATGGCTGTGGAGTGAATCATGGTGGGCGTTATGGACTTGGAGGAGGCTACAGCAATAATCATGAAATGCATCACAGAGAAGGTCGCCAAGGCAAAGGAGAGTATAGACATAGACTGGATAATGGAAGGTGCTATGGAAAAGAAAATCTTGGGGAAGAAGGGGGATCATGGAGGAGAAGGTAGTGACCATAAAATGGGTCAGGATGGGCTTCTCTGAGGTCTCCAAGGGATTGGCCATAGAGATGGTCATGATCAAAATCAAGAAAAGAACCAGAGAAAAGAGCACAGAGGGTTTGGCCAACGGGACAGTCAGAAAAATAGGGAGTGGTTCTGGAGGAGACCTGCAGCCTCACCAGCTTTGGGTGTGAGCTCAAGTGAAAATATCCCCTGAGCATAACCATGGTTCCAACTCTTGTGGGGAGGAGGGGTCACGATGATCAAGCTCAGAACAATTTCTCTTTGATCTCTCAACACACAAGTCAGAACTCTTTAGGCTTTGGCTTTCTATCGTTTCCTCAGGATGGAACCTGACCAGTAGGAGGAAGAATAAGATTATCACAGTTTATAATAATGGAGGGGGTAAAAAATTTCCCCTGAGAATTTGTAATTACACAACTTTCTTTATTTGGATTTGTAACTTCAAACTCTACAAACTGAGTAGATCAGAAAATCCTGTTAGACTCACTCAGTGCCCTCCAGTTCTTCATCTTTGGGAAGAGTCTCCCTCCCTACTTCTTTGCCTCTTTCAAATGCTATGTGATAAGTTAGAAGAAATTTACTGGGACAGTGCTACAAATTAAAATCTCAAAATACACCTGGCATCTATGTATTTATGTATTTATGTTTGTCTTTTTTATTTTCCCTTTGTCCTTTATTATTGCATGCTTATTAAGTGCCAAACACTATGCTAGTGCCTGTAAATACATCACCATTTATTTCTCAAAACAATCCAATGACAACTTAAACTTCTTGCTATATAATGGACTACGTGCCCTGACTGAAAATACACTGTAAAGCTAAGTTATGGACTTCAAAATCTTCTTAAAAGAGTCAGTGAATTGGCATGAAAGTATGGAATGCTAAAATTAAAGACTAAATAGGACCCAGGAGGTAAGGGAAGTAATGAAGCCAACTTTTGCAAAACCCAAAGAACTTAAGCTTCGGGTATTACAGCTTCAGCTGGATCAGCCCAAGGTCATGGGTGGGGAGGAATCACATAAATCTGTAACTTTCAGTGAGAATGTAAACTAAAAATAAACCTGCCCCTCCTCTAAGGAAATGTAAGCAAAATTGCCTGTCTCTAAATTTGGTGCAGAGGAGGGTAGAGGGAGTATCCCTTGAGAAATAAATTGTAACCACAACAACCAACAATACCTTACTTACATGGTTTGTAGCCACAAATCATGCAGTCTAGGTAATTCAAAAGACCGCAATCCTATAGTTTAGCTTAAAATAATCCTCAAATTATACAGCATATATATGTATTAAAACATTAAATTGTACCCCATAAGTATATACAGTAACAATGTTAATAAAATATTTTAATTAAAAATATAATAATAAAATAATCCTCAAATGGTAATGTCTCCATATGCTTGGAAAAAACATGCAAATTCTCTGTGAAAGATCGTAGCTTAATCTGTAATTCCAGAAATTTGGGAGGCCGAGGCAGTAGGATTGCCTGAGCCCAGAAGGTCAAGGCTGCAGTGAGTTATGCTAGTGCCACTGCAGCCTTGATCTCGACAGATAACATTCCAAGAAAAATAAATTTATAGTCATGATTCTCAAATCATAAGTGAAAACAGACACCCTGAGTGAAAACCAGCAAGGAAGAAAACAAAACCAAAAAGCTAGACAGCAGTATCAGATCCTCAAAGACTTTAGGTATTGAAATTATTAAATACAGAATATAAGGTAAGTAGGTTTAAATGTACGTCCTGGCTTTATTTTTAATTTTTTTTATTTTTACTTTTTGTGGTACATAGTAGGTGTATATATTTATGGGGTACATGAGATGTTTTGATACAGGTATGCAATGTGAAATCAGCACATCGTGGAGAATGGGGTATCTATCCCCTCAAGCATTTATCCTTTGAGTTACAAAAAATCCAATTACACTCTTTATGTTATTTTAATATATACAATTAAGTTATTATTCACTATAGTTACCCTGTTGTGCTATCAAAGAGTAGGTCTTATTCATTCTTTTTAATTCATTTGTTTTTTTAAATTAATTTAATTCATTTAATTAATTCATTCATTAACCATCTCTACCTCCCCCAGTCCTCCCCACTACCTTTCCCAGCCTCTGGTAACCATTCTTCTAGACTCTATGTCCATGAGTTCAGTTGTTTTTGATTTTTAGATCCCACAAATAAATGAGAACATGCAATGTTTGTCTTTCTGTGCCGGGTTTTTCACTTAACATAATGATCTCCATGTCCAGCGATGTTGTTGCAAATGACTGGATCTCATTCTTTCTTTATGGCTGAATGATGCTCTACTATGTATATGTACCACGTTTTCTTTTCTTTTCTTTTTTTTTTTTTTTTTTTTTTTCCGAGATGGAGACTTGCTCTGTCATCCAGGCTGGAGTGCGGGCAGTGGCTCGATCTGGGTTCACTGCAACCGCTGCCTCCCAGGTTCAAGCAATTCTTCTGCCTCAGCCTCCCGAGTAGCTGGGATTACAGATGCCTGCCACCACGCCCGGCTAATTTTTGTATTTTTAGTGGAGATGGGGTTTCACCATGCTGGCCAGGCTGGTCTCGAACTCCTGACATCATGATCTGCCCACCTGTGCTTCCCAAAGTGCTGGGATTACAGGCATGACCGTGCCTGGCTCTTTTTTTTTTTTTTTTGAGATGGAGTCTCACTCTGTCGCCCAGGCTGGAGTGCAATGGCACAATCTTGGCTCACTGCAACCTCCGTCTCCCAGGTTCAAGCAATTCTCCTACCTCAGCTTCTCGAGTAGCTGGGATTACAGGCGCCCGTCACCACACTGGGCTAATTTTTGTATTTTTAGTGGAGATGGGATTTTGCCATGTTGGCCAGGCTGGTCTTGAATTCCTGACCTTATGATCCACCCACTTCGGCCTCCCAAAGTGCTGGGATTATAGGTGTGAGCCACTGCGCCCGGCCTGTACCACACTTTCTTTATTCATTCATCCATTAATAGACACTTCCAAATCTTAGCTATTGCAAACAGTGCTGCAACAAACGTTGGAGTGCGGATATTTCTTTGATACACTGATTTCTTTTCTTTTGGCTACCTCCTCAGCAGTGGGGTTGCTGGATCATGTCACGGCTTTATGGTTGTCTGCTAACACCCATTCTCCACCTTTAGCAACAGATCTCTCAAGTGTCAGCTGAGCACACGTCTACCCAGCTAGAGACAGTCTTTCTCAGTTTCTCTTGCAGCTTAACATGGCTGTGTGACTGCGTTCAGGCTGAGGGTGTGTAAGCAGACAACAATAATTTTTTTTTTACAATAATCTTTCATGAAGTTAACAAACAAGAAGGAATTAAAATACTTGATGATATTAGGGTATGATTTGGGAGATGGGTAATACGAATTAAAATGTTCTGAGGTCTTTGTGTTATTTTGATAGCGAGTAAAGATATTAATTACATTAGGCTCTGATAAGTATGCGCGCTACAATTTTCAGAGTACCCTCTAAAAGGTGAAATTTGGACTTGAATCCAGGATCTCAGTTTCTAAATAATTCTGGAAGAAGAAAATTCTTAGAGTGCTATTGGCTTTTCAGCTGCAGAATACTGGCACATCAGAAGAATTGCTGGGAGTCCAGGACCCAACCTGTCACTGAGCGTTCCCGCATACCTGACCCTCTGGAACTTCCCATCACAGCCACTAGGCAGACTCACTTCTGAGCCTTTCCCAGCACACCGCTGACCCTTTCTGTTTCTCCAGCTCACTCATTCAGAGCTCCTTCATGTCTTCAGCCACCTCCTGCTTGCCAGCTTCCTTCTAACAGAACTTGCATGTCAGGAAAGCTCGTTCGCCTACAAATAAACTATCTGAGAGACTGTGTCTTCCAGGAAGCTTCTCGTCATTGTTGGGGGAAATGCAGACAACTCACTTTGGTCATTGCAATGGTTTGGATGTGGTTGTTAAACCCTGCCAAGTCTCATGTTGAAATTTGATTCCCAATGTTGGAGGTGGAGCCTGGTGGGAGGAGTTTGGGTGGTTGAAACAGATCCCTCATGAACAGCTCGGTGCCATTCTCAACCAGTGAGTTCTCACTCTTAGTTCCCACAAGAACTGGTTGTTGAAAAGATCCTGTCACCTCCTCCATTCCTTCTTTCCAGCTTCCTCTCTCTCGCTATATGATCTGTGCAAACCGGCTCCCCTTCTCCTTCGGCCACGAGTGGAAGCTTTTTGAAGCCCTCACCAGTGCAGACGTTGGTGCCATGCTTCTCATACAGCCTGCAGAACCGTGAGGCAAATAAGCCTCTTTTCTCTATGTCACCCACAGTCAGGGATTCCTTTATAGCAACACCAATGGACTATGACAGAAAATACAGACTGTATATTGGAACCCCATCAGCCTGGTCACAGATGCCATCTCAGACCTCCCCAAACCCTCTGCTCATTTGGGTCTCTTCAGTCACGCTCTTTTAGCTGACTGTTTCCCCTCTGCTGGCCATACCCAAGTGTCCAGACCAAATTCAAGCCTCCTCCAGGACTTGGACTGTTGATCTCCCTCCTCCCATCAGACTGTGTCCCGATATGGCACTGTGTCTCTCCCTAAGGTGTGTACTCTCCTGAGAGACGCTTCCTTGGAACTGATGCTAAGGCACATCAGAAGGATCTCAGGGTGGAAAGGCTCCTATACAGCCGTCTGAAAACAAAAACAAAACAGAGGGGAGCTCCTATGGTTGAGGGTCAGAAGGAGACCCTACCTTCCTTCTCCTGCTATGAGTCTGACAGGGGGCGTATTCAATACTCTCCCACACCCTCAGTTCTCATGCCCCAGAGACCCCAAACATGTTTTCATTATCTCTCTTCATTATGTCTTCTGGATCTCTCTTCCCCTGTTCCTTCAATGTGCATTGTTGAGTGCTTACTGCATACTCAGTAATACTCCATTTGTCTTCTGCCCATAACCCAGGAGCCCAGAGTCCTAGTTACTGGTCTCTTTTGCGTCACCTATTACTGTTTGCTGTAGAGATGTGAGGTCCTACTCTCTTGGCTCAGTTCATTAGGGCTTCTTTCATGCTAAAGCAGGCCCACAGGACTTCCTGACCAGAAAACAAATTCTTGAGCTGCAACAGGTTTCTAACCCGATCCCTGCTTCAAAGGGTGGGTCCCTTCCACTCTGACAACCATGATCTCCTCATCCCATTCTACTTCCTGCTGCAACCCAGCCAAGCACCCTGCCTAGTGTGGTCATGTCATTCTCCTTTCTCACCTTCCTCTTGACCCCTGCTCTATTCCGTCCCAGGCTTGGTATCGTTCTCTCACCTGCCTGTAGTTGGCAGACTGTCAGGTCAACTGCCCCACCCCTCCTCAGACCATATGAAGCTATAAAGGCCCCTGCAGCTCTTTCACAACAGAGAAAGAGGCAACTACATTGCCTGGAGGAAGCCTAAGGAACCCAGGCATCCAGCTGCCCACGCCTGAGTCCAAGATTCTTCCCAGGAACACAAACGTAGGAGACCCACGCTCCTGGAAGCACCAGCCTTTATCTCTTCACCTTCAAGTCCCCTTTCTCAAGAATCCTCTGTTCTTTGCCCTCTAAAGTCTTGGTACATCTAGGACCCAGGCATCTTGCTTTCCAGCCACAAAGAGACAGATGAAGATGCAGAAAGGAAATGTTCTCCTTATGTTTGGTCTACTATTGCATTTAGAAGCTGGTGAGTGATTTTATTTAAAATCGGGTGGTCTGAGAACCTTTGAGGAGTTGGGAGAGAAATGTGACCACTACTGGGGCCAGCTCTGCTTCTCTTCCATAGAGTGAGGATCATCATTTTACTCGAATCACTTCAGCCTAACAAGGTATGTCATGCAGGAAGCAGTCAGACACAGTGGTTAAAATTGGGCTCTGGTCTCACATTGCCTACATTTGAATTATGGCTCCATCTATTAACTGTGTACTTTAGGTCAGTTGCTTCTCTGCGCCTCGATTTCTGCATCTGTAAAATGGTAACAACCTGTGTAATATGGTTGGGGTTTTAAATATTAAGAACAAGAAGAGTCGGCTGCTTTTAAAATGTCACTCTTCTGGCGGGGTGCGGTGGCTCATGCCTTTAATCCCAGCACTTTGGGAGGGTGAGGCAGGCAGGTCATTGAGGTCAGAAGTTCAAGACCAGCCTAGCTAACGTGGCAAAACCCTGTCTCTACTAAAAATACAAAAATTAGCTGAGTGTGTTGGCTTGTCCCTGTACTCCCAGCTACTCAGGAGGCTGAGGCAGGAAAATAGCTTGAACCCGGGAGGCGGAGGTTGCAGTGAGCCAAGATGGTGCCACTGCACTCCAGCCTGGGTGACGGAGTGAGACTCTGTCTCAAAAAAATAAAATAATAAAATAAGGCCAGGCTCAGTGGCTCACGCCTGTAATCTCAGCACTTTGGGAGGCCAAGGCGGGTGGATGTCTTGAGGCCAGGAGTTTCAGACCAGCCTGGCCAACATGGTGAAACTCCATCTCTACTAAAAGTACAAAAATTAGCCTGGCGGGGTGGCTTATGCCTGTAATCCTAGCTACTCAGGAGGCTGAGGCAGGAGAATCGCTTGAACGTGGGAGGCGGATGTTGCAGTGAGCTGAGATTGCTCCACTATACTCCAGCCTGGGTGGCAGAGCAAGACTCCGTCTCAAAAACAAATAAATAAATAAGCAATAAAATAAAATAAAATAAAATAAAATAAAATAAAATACCACTCTTCTATATTCTACAAACTCAATTTCTCTCCTACCCCTACACCTAATTCCTCGTCAGCTTCCCACGTACAGGCTGGGGAGGTTGAATGTCTTCATCCTTCTGGGAAATCAAGGGCAAAAATTTGACATAACCTTAACTCCAGCCAAGCCTCCAAGAAGTTAAAAGCCTTCCCTCTACCTTTAGACGTTGGTTTACAGCCCTTATTCCTGGGAGCTCTTATGTATTTGAGCTACATATAACTCGTTCTTCTCTAGCCTTGGCCATAGTGATCAAGGGCCCCTGAAACTTGAATGCATATAGTCACCTGGCTTCTTGTTGTACATGCAGACTCCTGGGCCCCATCTCAAATTCTAATTCATTTAGTCTGGAATGATTTGCTTAAGAATATTTTCAACATGCTCCCTTAAGTAATTCTGAAATAAGTGTGTTCTGAATATTATTCTGAGAAATATTTTCCAAGAAGGAAGCAATACTACTTAAGAAAAAAATTGATCAGTATATACTAGTTTCACCTAGTCCTATAATTCTTTTATAATACTTTATATCTGTATTGTATCTTGCATAGCAGAATGTGGAAAAAGGTTAGCTACCAGTGAAACTAGATGATGTAACTCTGGCATTGTGGGTGGGTGGTTGACTTAGCTTAGTCTCCACAAGTGCAGATTTAGTAGCCTGGGTTCAGTTTCCTGTTCCACCACTCACTAGCTGTGTAAACTTGGGCCAGTGTCAACTTTTTTTTATTTTTTATTTTTGAGACGGAGTTTTGCTCTTGGCACCCAGGCTGGAGTGCAATGGCTCGATCTCGACTCACCGCAACCTCTGCCTCCCGGGTTCAAGTGATTCTCCTGCCTCAGCCTCCCGAGTAGCTGGAATTAATGCCCGGCTAATTTTGTATTTTTAGTAGAGATGGGGTTTCTCCATGTTGGTCAGGCTGGTCTCGAACTCCCAACCTCAGGTGATCCGCCCACCTTGGCCTCCCAAAGTGCTGGGATTACAGGCGTGAGCCACCGTGCCCAGCCCAGTATCAACATTTTGAAGCCTCAATTTCTTCATCTCAGCTGGTGATAATAATAGCATCTATGTTATAGCACCATAGTGAGCATTAAATAAAATTATGTAATGAATTTAGCCAAGCAATAAGCAGAAAGTATATACACACAATATATATTTGTCATTATATGATTTCTTCAGCAACAAATTCCAATGAGACTAGCACCTCTGCCAACACTGGATCCAGTGTGATCTCCAGTGGAGCCAGCACAGCCACCAACTCTGGGTCCAGTGTGACCTCCAGTGGGGTCAGCACAGCCACCATCTCAGGGTCCAGCGTGACCTCCAATGGGGTCAGCATAGTCACCAACTCTGAGTTCCATACAACCTCCAGTGGGATCAGCACAGCCACCAACTCTGAGTTCAGCACAGCGTCCAGTGGGATCAGCATAGCCACCAACTCTGAGTCCAGCACAACCTCCAGTGGGGCCAGCACAGCCACCAACTCTGAGTCCAGCACACCCTCCAGTGGGGCCAGCACAGCCACCAACTCTGACTCCAGCACAACCTCCAGTGGGGCTAGCACAGCCACCAACTCTGACTCCAGCACAACCTCCAGTGAGGCCAGCACAGCCACCAACTCTGAGTCCAGCACAACCTCCAGTGGGGCCAGCACAGCCACCAACTCTGAGTCCAGCACAGTGTCCAGTAGGGCCAGCACTGCCACCAACTCTGAGTCCAGCACAACCTCCAGTGGGGCCAGCACAGCCACCAACTCTGAGTCCAGAACGACCTCCAATGGGGCTGGCACAGCCACCAACTCTGAGTCCAGCACGACCTCCAGTGGGGCCAGCACAGCCACCAACTCTGAGTCCAGCACACCCTCCAGTGGGGCCGGCACAGCCACCAACTCTGAGTCCAGCACGACCTCCAGTGGGGCCGGCACAGCCACCAACTCTGAGTCCAGCACAGTGTCCAGTGGGATCAGCACAGTCACCAATTCTGAGTCCAGCACACCCTCCAGTGGGGCCAACACAGCCACCAACTCTGAGTCCAGTACGACCTCCAGTGGGGCCAACACAGCCACCAACTCTGACTCCAGCACAACCTCCAGTGGGGCCAGCACAGCCACCAACTCTGAGTCCAGCACGACCTCCAGTGGGGCCAGCACAGCCACCAACTCTGAGTCCAGCACAACCTCCAGTGGGGCCAGCACAGCCACCAACTCTGGGTCCAGCACGACCTCCAGTGGGACCAGCACAGCCACCAACTCTGAGTCCAGCACAGTGTCCAGTGGGGCCAGCACAGCCACCACCTCTGAGTCCAGCACGACCTCCAGTGGGGCCAGCACAGCCACCAACTCTGAGTCCAGCACAGTGTCCAGTGGGGCCAGCACTGCCACCAATTCTGAGTCCAGCACAACCTCCAGTGGGGCCAACACAGCCACCAACTCTGGGTCCAGTGTGACCTCTGCAGGCTCTGGAACAGCAGCTCTGACTGGAATGCACACAACTTCCCATAGTGCATCTACTGCAGTGAGTGAGGCGAAGCCTGGTGGGTCCCTGGTGCCGTGGGAAATCTTCCTCATCACCCTGGTCTCGGTTGTGGCGGCCGTGGGGCTCTTTGCTGGGCTCTTCTTCTGTGTGGTGAGTGCCTAATATGTAAGAAAATGCCTGGGGGAAGGAGCAGCAGAAACACAAGGAAATGGGTGTGAATAGAAGGGGTCTCAAGTCAGGGGTGGGTAGGGAGGAAGGGAGATCAGGAAAGAGTAACACAGAGACATGGTAGGTCAATGCAGAGGAAGCTGCTGACCTGCGGGAAAAGGGGGCCACAGAAAGGACTGGAGAAAGGAGAACTAGGTAAAGAGTATGGTTGGAAGTGGGAGAAGATTCCAGAAGGCGTACGTGGTAAAGGCGTGGGAGACAGGGATGCAATTCTGAAACTATTGACTCTTCTTTTTTTAGAGAAACAGCCTGTCCCTGAGAAACACCTTTAACACAGCTGTCTACCACCCTCATGGCCTCAACCATGGCCTTGGTCCAGGCCCTGGAGGGAATCATGGAGCCCCCCACAGGCCCAGGTGGAGTCCTAACTGGTTCTGGAGGAGACCAGTATCCTCGATAGCCATGGAGATGAGCGGGAGGAACAGCGGGCCCTGAGCAGCCCCGGAAGCAAGTGCCGCATTCTTCAGGAAGGAAGAGACCTGGGCACCCAAGACCTGGTTTCCTTTCATTCATCCCAGGAGACCCCTCCCAGCTTTGTTTGAGATCCTGAAAATCTTGAAGAAGGTATTCCTCACCTTTCTTGCCTTTACCAGACACTGGAAAGAGAATACTATATTGCTCATTTAGCTAAGAAATAAATACATCTCATCTAACACACACGACAAAGAGAAGCTGTGCGTGCCCCGGGGTGGGTATCTAGCTCTGAGATGAACTCAGTTATAGGAGAAAACCTCCATGCTGGACTCCATCTGGCATTCAAAATCTCCACAGTAAAATCCAAAGACCTCATTCTTATCTGTGTGTCTGCATTTTCTAATCCTTTTTGCCCCAGGCAAGGTCCCTGTATCTCTGAGACACCCCGATTGGCTGGAGAATTGACTTGGGAGAGATAAGGAGGGAGGGCGGGTGCCAGCATGCTATGGGCTCCTGCGTGAGGCCTGTGGTACACAGAGATTAGGTTGTGATACATGAAGAGCCAAGAGCAGGATGAGGTGGAGGCGTTACAACTACCTGCTCTGTGTGTGGGGGGGGAGGGGGGAGGGGGGTACGCATATTCACTTGAAGTCGAGGTTCCCAGGGCATTTCCATGTGCTCCAGGCCTGACTACCCATCAGGGTGGAGGAGCTGGTGACACTCATCTCCCTGAGTGCTCCCTGGTTTCCCAAGGGAAAGACTTTCTGGCCTGCTGAGGTCGAATCTTCCAAGAGGCTCTTGCAAAGACCCGAGATTCTCATAAATCCCCGCCCAGAAGAGCTGCACGTATCCCTTTCATGAGTCCAGGGAAGAGGGTCCTCCAGGTCTTGGAAGACAGAGGGGAGCTGCTTTAGAGGCTAAGTTGCTTTGAGCCCACAAGGTAATGGAGGGCTCCTACTTGGGACAGAGCCCTCAGCAGAGAATTAGCAGTCTGTTGGTGGGTTCACCCCAACTCACAGCAGTAGAAACTGCTCCATCTTCCACCACTTATTGGGTTTCTCCAGTGTCAGCAAACCAAAGAATTGGATCTTACCAATGCGGCTATAGGAAAACAGCCTGTTGCATGGTAAGAGTGATACCATCTTGAAGTGAAACCACCACAATGGCCATTTTTTTTTTAGATGGAGTTTTGCAGTGGTGCAATCATAGCTCATTGCAGCCTTCAATTCCTGGGCTCAGGCAATCCTCCTGCCTCAGCCTCCTGAGTAGCTGGGACTACAGTTTCGTGTGCCACCATGCCTGGCTAATTTTTAGAATTTTTTGTAGGGACAGGGCCTCACTCTGTTGCACAAGCTGGTCTTGAACTCCTGGCCTCCTTGAACTCCTCCTGCCTTGGCCTCCCAAAATGCTGAGATTACAGGTGTGAGCCACTGCACCTCGCCAGATGTCCAATGTCTGACTCCTGCATACCAAGGTGTTCTGTATCAAGGGCTTTAAAACAATGCCTGTAGCGTAATTAACCTCTCACAAAGATGCTTATCTAACCTCCCCAGCAGTCATGGGTTTCAGCAAGAAAGTCTGTGATGTGACCAGTTGCACATGTTTTCCCCTAAAAGCTTACTCTAGAAAGGATATTTTTTGGAGAGGGAGTGTGGGAATCCACCATCTTGTGGCCACCTCAGACATCACTTCTCTTTGGAAGACTCCATTAAATATTTCTCTGTGAGAAACTGGATTTGTCAGTCTCTTTCTTTGATCTCTTTTCCCCTCAAAATTTAGGGGTAGGTTTGTGTAGACCTGTTCATGGTAGAACATTTGGTGATCCCCCAGCCAGTAGCTGGGAGAACAAGGAATGGGTAAGGAGAATGAAGCATCTGTAAGGAAACCCCAGGGCGGCAGCCACGTCTGTGTAGGGTTGGATGGCACAACTGTTCGATACCTGTGTACCTCTGTGTGAGTGCAGGGATGCCTTGAAAATGCCAGGTGGCCTAGAGCAGTTATTAACTGAAAGCCGCATAGTGCACTGGGGTACGGAAGGTCGGCCAATAGCCACTGCAGAGGGTTGGGTGCTTCTTTTGGCAATGAAGATCCGGCTAGCAGCAGAAGCCAAAATTAAATGTCTAGAGAAGGAATTGCAACTAGAAAAAGACGTGTACCTCTCCATGTCTCTCCTCACATCCAACTTAGCAAACAAAATTGAAGACCAAGAGACAAAAATTGAAATGTTAGCATGTAGATTTGTCCACCTAGGGCGAAAGATATGGAAATGACCAAAAATCAGAGCTCTCATGAGAAAGCCCAACCGGGATGTGAAAACTTGGAATCCCTGGGATTGTTATGAAGAGGAAGACTGATGACATAGAAGTCACAGGTGTGGAGGGGGATGGGGATCATTGGCAAGCTCGCTGTCTCATGCAAAGGAAAGTGAAACCTAACATTGGCAGCAAAACGGGGGTCAGCTGATACAGGAGACTCTCACTGTCAGGGAACCTACCGCTGCAGAACTCTTAGAGATTGCAAAGGCCTTTAAACAACTACCGAGGAAATCCCTGGCTGCTTGGATGGTCTGATTGTGGGACACAGGGGCTGATGATATTTCCTTAACAGGAGAAGCAGAAAAAATGAGTAACATCACCACCCATGCAGCCCTGCAGAAGCATCTTTGCTAAGGCAAGGCAGACGCAAGGGAGTCATAGCTTATGGACTGGCTCATTCTAGCTATGAGGGAGGCTTGACCTAATGAGGGAAATTTACCGGGAAGGATGACCTCCTGGCAGTCAACAGAAAAGGCCCAAGGGCTTCTCCAAGAATTAGGAATGAGTCAAGTCATCTATGTTTGGGTTCTCACAGGACTTAAAACAGTTTTTTCCTGCAGGGATGAAAAATAAATTGCTGAAGGGTGCACCAGGAGAATGGCACAACCCTTGGCTCATGTTATTGAGTCCTATAAATGGGACAAGAAGTATATGATGTGGGAAGGCCAGGCACAGGGGCTCACACCTGTAATTCCAGCAATTTGAGAGGCCGAGGCAGGCGGATTACTTGAGATCAGGAGTTCGAGACCAGCCTGGACAATATGGTGAAACCCCATCTCTACTAAAAATACAAAAATTAGCTAGGTGGTGTGCCTGTAACCCCAGCTACTTGGGAGGCTGAGGTAGGAGAACTGCTTGAACTCAGGAGGCAGAAGTTGCAGTCAGCTGAGATTGGGGCACTGCACTCCAGCCTGGGCAACAGAGTGAGACCCCGTCTCAAAAAAAAAAAAAAAAAAAAAAAAAAAAAGGGCTGGGCACGGTGGCTCATGCCTGTAATCCCAGCACTTTGGGAGGCCGAAGTGGATGGATCACCTGAGGTCAGGAGTTCAAGACCAGCCTGGTCAACATGGTGAAATTCCTTCTCTACTAAAAATACAAAATTAGCCGGGCATGGTGACAGGCGCCTGTAATCCCAGCTACTTGGGAGGCTGAGGCAGGAGAATAGCTTGAACGTGGGAGGCGGAGGTTGCAGTGAGCCGAGATCGTGCCATTGCACTCCAGCCTGAGCAACAACAGCGAAACTTCGTCTTAAAAAAAAAAAAAAAAAAGATGTATATGACGTAGGAGAAGCCATCACAGATTTGGGAGCTACTGAGAAAGCTAGGGACGGGGTGTGCTTTGTAACCCGGCAAGGGCTGACAAAGGGGAAAGATAATGCTCCACAGGAAGAAGGGGGAAAATAAGGGAAAGCGACCAACTAGAGTCAAGAACAGGCAAATGTGGCATGACTTATTGGGAGCAGAAAAATTCTGAGAAAAAAATATGTAAAAAATGTTAAAATATGGAAAATATGAAAAATGCTGTGTTAGTAGCCTTATGGAGGGAAGTACAGACTGAAGGGCTGTTTTGTCCCTTCATTTCTGCCCCTCTAGCAGAAGAGGAAGATGACTCAACCCCTCATTCTAATACTCCAGCCTATCAGAGGGGGATTCCATGCTGGGCCCAAGATTAGCAGTGGGACCAAGGTCAACCCCACGTTGCAGGTGACCAGAGGCCCCATATTGAGCTCACCATTTACTGTTCCTCTCAAAAAAATAAGGAGAAGACTATTTCCTTAGTAGATACTAGGGCAGAATATACTTTAATTCATGGAAATCCATAAATACACCCTGGTCAATGGTCTGCCATCACTGGTTATGGGGACAAACGATCTGGATGAGAAGGACTTTAATACATCTAGGTATTGGGGAAGCTCCCCTGCCCCATATGTGGTGTTTATTTTTCTTATTCCAGAAAACATTTTAGGCACAGGTATTCTGTTAGGAAAGACTTAGCAAACTTCAGTGGAAAAATTCAGATCGAAGGTGCATGTAGTGAAGACTGTTTTTTTTTTTTTTTTTTTCTTTTTCTTCTTTCTTTTTATTTATTTATTTATTTATTTATTTATTTTTTATTGATCATTCTTGGGTGTTTCTCGCAGAAGGAGATTTGGCAGGGTCATAGGACAATAATGGAGGGAAGGTCAGCAGATAAACAAGTGAACAAAGGTCTCTGGTTTTCCTAGGCAGAGGACCCTGAGGCCTTCCGCAGTGTTTGTGTCCCTGGGTACTTGAGATTAGGGAGTGGTGATGACTCTTAACGAGCATGCTGCCTTCAAGCATCTGTTTAACAAAGCACATCTTGCACCGCCCTTAATCCATTTAACCCTGAGTGGACACAGCACTCGTTTCAGAGAGCACAGGGTTGGGGGTAAGGTCACAGATCAACAGGATCCCAAGGCAGAAGAATTTTTCTTAGTACAGAACAAAATGAAAAGTCTCCCATGTATACTTCTTTCTACACAGACACAGCAACCATCCGATTTCTCAATCTTTTCCCCACCTTTCCCCCCTTTCTATTCCACAAAACCGCCATCGTCATCATGGCCCATTCTCAATGAGCTGTTGGGTACACCTCCCAGACGGGGTGGTGGCCTGGCAGAGGGGCTCCTCACTTCCCAGTAGTGGCGGCCAGTCAGAGGCGCCCCTCACCTCCCGGACGGGGCAGCTGGCCGGGCGGGGGGCTGACCCCCCCACCTCCCTCCCGGACGGGTTGGCTGCCGGGCGGAGAGGCTCCTCACTTCCCAAACGGGGTGGCTGCCGGGCGGAGGGGCTCCTCACTTCTCAGACGGGGCGGCTGCCGGGCGGAGGGGCTCCTCACTTCTCAGACGGGGCGGTTGCCAGGCAGAGGGTCTCCTCACTTCTCAGACGGGGCGGCCGGGCAGAGACGCTCCTCACCTCCCAGACGGGGTCGCGGCCGGGCAGAGGCGCTCCTCACATCCCAGACGGGGCGGCGGGGCAGAGGCGGTCCCCACATCTCAGACGATGGGCGGCCGGGCAGAGACGCTCTTCACTTCCTAGATGTGATGGCGGCCAGGAAGAGGTGTTCCTCACTTCCTAGATGGGATGGCGGCCGGGCTGAGACGCTCCTCACTTTCCAGACTGGGCAGCCAGGCAGAGGGGCTCCTCACATCCCAGACGATGGGCGGCCAGGCGGAGACGCTCCTCACTTCCCAGATGGGGTGGCGGCCGGGCAGAGGCTGCAATCTCGGCATTTTGGGAGGCCAAGGCAGGCGGCTGGGAGGTGGAGGTTGTAGCGAGCCGAGATCACGCCACTGCACTCCAGCCTGGGCACCATTGAGCACTGAGTGAACGAGACTCCCGTCTGCAATCCCGGCACCTCGGGAGGCCGAGGCTGGCGGATCACTCGCGGTTAGGAGCTGGAGACCGGCCTGGCCAACACAGCGAAACCCCATCTCCACCAAAAAAAATACGAAAACCAGTCAGGCGTGGCGGCGCGTGCCTGCAATCGCAGGCACTCCGTGAAGACTGTTCTTGAGAGAGGAAGAAAATGGGAGCCCCTACAACTTCCTGCCCCTACATGGCGTTGTCAACATTAAATGATTCATATTGTCCAGGGGGTATGCTGAAATAAGTGCAATTATTATCCTCCCAATAAGTGCAACTATTATCCACCCAGCACAAAGCCCATGAAAGAGTCTTGTCTTTTTTCGCATTCCCGTCTTTTCTTCTAGTTTTGTTATCTTGTTGGCATTATGTCAGCCGCTGAAGCTTTTACTGTGCTGCAGCCATGGCTTTTCTTTTTTTAACTTTTATTTTAAGTTCGGGGGTTCATATGCAGGTTTGTTACATAAGTAAATGTGTGTCATGGGGGTTTTTTTGTACAGGTTATTTCGTCACCCAGCTATTAAGCCTAGTACCCATTAGTTATTTTTCCTGATCCTCTCCCTCCTCCCACCCTCCACCCTCTGATAGGCCCCAGTGGGTGTTGTTCCCCTCTATGTGTCCCTGTGTTCTCATCATTTAGCTTCTACTTATAAGCGAGAACATGCGGTATTTGGTTTTCTGTTCCTGCATTAGTTTGCTAAGAATAATGGCCTCCAGCTCCATCCATGTCCCTGCAAAGGACATGATCTTGTTCTTTTTGTATGACTGCATAGTAGTCCATGATGTATATATACCACATTTTCTTTATCCAGTCTATCGCTGATGGGCATTTAGGTTGATTCCATGTCTTTGCTATTGTGAATACCACTGCAATGAACACATGCATGCATTTTTTTTTTTTTTTGAGATGGAGTTTTGCTCTTGTTGCCGAGGCTAGAGTGCAATGGTGCGATCTCACTCACTGCAACCTCTGCCTCCCGGGATCAAGCGATTCTCCTGCCTCAGCCACCCCAGTAGCTGGGATTACAGGCATGTGGCGCCACGCCCATATAATCTTGTATTTTTAGTAGAGACAGGGGTTTCTCCATATTGGTCAGCCTGGTCTCGAACTCCTGACCTCAGGTGATCCACCTGCCTCAGCCTCCCAAAGTGATGGGATTACAGGCATGAGCCACCGTGCCTGGCCACGTCCATGTGCTTTTATAACAGAATGATTTATATTCCTTTGGGTATATACCCAGTAATGGGATTGCTGGATCAGATGGTATCTGTCTTTAAGTCTTTGAAGAATCACCACAGTGTCTTCCACAATGACTGAACTAATTTATACTCCCACCAACAGTGTATAAGCATTCTTTTTTCTCCACAACCTCGCCAGCATCTTTTATTTTTTGACTTTTTAATAATAGCTGTTCTGACTGGCGTGAGATGATATCTTATTGTGGGTTTTTGTTTGTTTGTTTTGAGATGGAGTTTCGCTCTTATTGCCCAGGCTGGAGTGCAATGGCACAATATCATTGTGGTTTTGATATGCGTTTCTCTAATAATCAATGATGTTTAGCTTTTTAAAATATGTTTGTTGGCCACATGTATGTCTTCTTTTGGGAAGTGTCTGTTCATGTCCTTTGTCCACTTTTTGATGGAATTGTTTGCTTTTTTAAAATAAATTTGTTTAAGTTCCTTATAGATGCTGAATATGAGCCCTTTGTCAGATGCATAGTTTGCAAAAATTTTCTCCCATTCTGTAGGTTGTCTGTTTACTCTGTTGATAGTTTCTTTTGCTGTGCAGAAGCTCTTTCGTTTAGTTAAATCCCATTTTCAATTTTTCCTTTTGTTGCAATTGCTTTCAGAATCTTCGTCATGAAATTTTTGCCCATGCCTATGTCCTGAATGGTATTACCTAGGTTGTCTTCCAGGGTTTTATAGTTTTGGGTTTTACATTTAAGTCTTTAATCCATCGTGAGTTAATTTTTGTGTAAGGTGTAAAGAAGGGGTCCAGTTTGAATTGTTTGCATATGGCTAGCCTGTTATCCCAGCACCGTTTATTGAACAGGGAATTCTTTCCCCATTGTTTGCTTTCGTCAGGTTTGTTGAAGATCAGATAGTCGTGGGTGCGTGGTCTTATTTCTGTGTTTTCTATTCTGTTCCACTGGTGTATGTGTCTGTTCTTGTACCAGTACCATGTTGTTTTGGTTTGCAGTAATGTCTTATGGTATTGGGTGCTCATCTATGGAATGGAGATGGGCCATCAATCCTCAGAAGATGCAAGGCCCAGAGCCCACAGTGAAGATTTTTTGTTTGTTTGTTTTGTTTTGTTTTGTTTTGTTTTGAGACGGAGTCTCGCTCTGTCACCCAGGCTGGATTGCAATGGTGCGACCTTGTCTCACTGCCACCTCCGCCTCCTGGGTTCAAGCGATTCTCCTGCCTCAGCCTCCCGAGTAACTGGGACTACAGGCACCTGCCACCATGCCCAGCTAACTTTTGTATTTTTAGTAGAGATGGGGTTTCACCATATTGGCCAGGCTGGTCTCGAACTCCTGACCTTGTGATCCGCCCACCTTGGCCTCCCAAAGTGTTAGGATTACAGGTGTGAGCCATTGCACCCGGCCCACAGTGAAGTTTTTAGGGGTTACATGGTTGGGTAACACTCCTTTGATACTGGGTGCAATAATTGACAAAGCCCAACAATGTCAACTCCAGAAACAGTCAAAGAAATCCAAACATTTGTGGGTCTTTTGGGTTATTGGAGAGTATGCATCCCATACTTAGCACAGTTTTTGAGATCCCTATACAGACTTATCAGAGAAAGGGCACATTGGGCCTGGGACACACCACAGCAGGAAGCTTTGAACAGGCTGAAGTGTTGGTACAGCAGGCACAGGCCTTAGGCACCCCTTTGGAGGGTACAGCTAGGACTTTGGATGTTACTGCTGCTCCTGAGGATATGAGTGGGGCCTTATGGCAACCGCAGTCTAGGGAATCAGTCCTTTTAAGAAAGGA
Organism: Homo sapiens; assembly: GCF_000001405.40. Taxonomy (NCBI): domain Eukaryota; kingdom Metazoa; phylum Chordata; class Mammalia; order Primates; family Hominidae; genus Homo; species Homo sapiens. The sequence continues at coordinate 2,253,173 of NT_167245.2, forward strand.
GCCAAAACCAGATACTCTCCTGTTGAACAAGAAGTGCTAGTAGTAGAGAATGCTTTACAGCAGGTGGAATTGCTAACAAAGACCCTTCCCATGACTGTGAGAATAGGTCTACCAATCAAGGGATGGTTAGAAGGATTTTTAAACAACCCACCTCCGCTGTAGCCCCAACACCTACCTTGAATAAATGGCATGATTATTTGCAACAAGGAAGAATGCTAGCAATGAGTCCCTTAAGCCCAGAATTACATACTGCATTAGGCTCTGTTATGACGTGAACAAACAAAGGATACCACCTGACCCTCTCCAACTCCAGCACCTGACATGGTAAGCATCCAGATGATGCTTGGTGTACAGAGGACTCCAGCAGGGGAAACCGCTGTTCTTGGACCGCTGTTGCTACACAGCCACAAACTGATACAATCTGGTTTGATACAGGTGGGCATCAGAGGAGCCACTGGGATGAGTTGCAAGCAGCCTGGTTAATAGTCACATATGAGCCTGGCCCCTGGTTCTTTGCACTGATAGCTGAGCTGTATTCAAAGGCCTAATTATGTGGCTGGCTCAACAGGAACTAGAAAAGTGGATGATTATGCACAAACCTATATGGGGCATGAACATGTGGCAAGACATACGGAAAAAGCCGCAAAGCCTTGTGGCTGATTTAACTGTATTTCAGGTGACTGCACATAAAAACCACTCAGTTCCACAAAACATGGAAGCTAAAACCCTAAAAAAAATTAGAAGCATCATGCCAGCTCAGGCCTCTGAACTATTGACCTGGGTACATAACAAAAGTGGTCACAGAAGTGCAAGAGTAGGCTGGGAGACAGTCAAGGAAGCAGGATTACTCTTAAAATGTAGTGACCAGGCTGGGCACGGTGGCTCATGCCTGTAATCCCAGCACTTTGGGAGGCCGAGGCGGGCAAATCACCTGAGGTTGGGAGTTCGAGACCAGCTTGACCAACATGGAGAAACCTGTCTCTACTAAAAATACAAAATTAGCTGGGCGTGGTGGCATGCACCTGTAATCCCAGCTACTCAGGAGGCTGAGGCAGGAGAACTGCTTGAACCCGGGAGGTGGAGGTTGTAGTGAGCCGAGATCACGCCATTGCACTCCAGCCAGGGCAATAAGAGCAAAACTCCGTCTCAAAAAAAAAAAAAAAATATATATATATATATATATATATATATATATAGTGACCTAGTCCTGGTACAGTGGCTCACACATGGGGAGGCCATGGTGGGACGATTGCTTGGGGCCAGGAGTTTGAGTCCAGCCTGGGCAACATATCGAGATCCCATCTCCACAACAACAACAAAAAATATATAGTGCCTTCCCAACAGCTCTTACAAATTGTTTACCATGTTCTCTATTGTAGATCATATTGAGCAGGACACATTCAGATATTCAGAAGGCTGTCCACCATGTAACAGATTGGCAAGTGGATTATTTAGATACTGTCCCTGTAAGCCAAGGAAATAAATACATGTTAACCTGCATGGACACCGCTACTGGACTGCTGCAAGATTCTCCCTATAAGCAAGCTAATCAAGCCAGTACTATTAAAGGCTTAGAGGCTCTCAGTACTATGTATGGATATATCTGGCACATTGACAGTGACCGAGGGACCCATTTCGCTGGATATGACATGCAGGACTGGGCCAGGAAACATGATACACTATGGCACTTTTATCTCCCATAGAACCTCCAAGCAGCAGGGTTAATTGAAAGAAATACCAGTCTGTTGAAAGCACAAATTCAAACTCTAATTTGGGAAACCTACCTTGCATAGGCAGATGAATGTGTTATCTCCAACCTTTATTTCTTTAAATTCAGCCAAAGCAGGGACGCCTGCCCCATGTGACCGTCTAGGACAACGGTCCCCCAAGCCTACCACTGTTCCCATAGGGGTAATTGAGACGACTGCTTTGCTTGCTCCCAGACCTCATTGACAACCAGTGTCTTTTGCACATGAAGATGCCAGCAGATATACTACCGAGGAGGAAACACACCGAGCTTGGAACGACAAATAGCCCCAGGCTGGATAGGCTATTTCCTGCTAGAGAGTGACAACACCCTAAATAAAGAACAAAACAACCTGATACCCAAAAACAGGCTGGGTTTATTTGGTTAATTCCGTCTTTTGGCCATGTTAGTCAACTTGCTCCTCAGTCTTGGGAACAAATGAATCATTCTAAAGATACTTGGCCAAATTGCACAAGGGATATGTGATGGATAGCAAGAGACTGATTTTTATATACTATGCTATAATATAATAAAATACTCATTGGGCATGTTACAGAACGGACACTGTGTGCAGGAATCTTTTGGTTGGCCCCAAATGGAACTTCCTGGATATGTGGTACCAATTTATGGCCTTGGTTACCCCCTGCATGTTTAGGAAGATGTTCTTTGGATTATACACGGGCACAGACTGAATAGTTCACACACTACAAAGCCTATCAATCTCCCTCATTTGAAATCCCACTGGTTCTGATCTGTTTTTTATTGGTATGATTGTTTGGCCTCCATTTGTCTTCCTCATCCGGTTATTGAAGATATTATCTGGCATATAGAAACTCTATAAAGCCTGTAATCCCTGCACTTTGGGAGGCCAAGGCAGGTGGATCAGTTGAGGTCGGGAGTTCGAGATCAGCCTGGCCAACACGGTGTAACCCCATCTCCACAAAAAATAACAAAATTAGCTGGGCGTGGTGGCGCATGCCTGTAATCCCAGTTACTTGGGAGGCTGAGGCAGGAAAATTGCTTGAACCTGGGAGGTGGAGGTTACAGTGAGCCAAGACCGTGCTACTGCACTCCTGCCCAGGTGATAGAGCGAGACTCTGACTCAAAAAATTAAAAAAACAAACTCTACAAAAAATAAAAAAAAAGAAAACTTTAAATGATAGCTGCATGGGAATCTCTCTTTTAAACATGGAAGTCACTGTCATGAGAAAGTCTGTCCTCCCAAATTACCAGGCTTTACATATACTCACGCTGCACAACGGGGCACTTGTGCAATTGGAAAAACTGCTGTGTTTATATTCCTGATGAATCAGTTAATATCGCTAAATTAATGACTGATATAAAAGCCCACATAACCAAGCTCTCAGACCCCTACTTTGAATAATTGGCTTCACAGCTGGTTTGGGTCCTGGGGCACCTGGTGGCATAAGCTGCTTCTTGGTTTAGGTGCTGTACTCGTACGTTCCTTACTGTCTTGTTTGAGCCTTTACTGCTGCTGTGTTATCTGCCTCCAGTGGAGCCAACGCACTGCTGCTAAAGCTATGCACTATCAAGGGTCCTCCCTTTAGGCCCAGGGACTATCATGGAAGAGATGAGCACGTGAAATTGTCAGGGCCAGTTTTGAGAGGTGGAGTGTAGGAATACAGCCTGTTGCACGGCAACAGGGACGCCATTTTGAAGCAAAGCTGCCATTGAGAGGTGACAGGGTGCTGGAAGTCCGCACAGCCCTTGCTCGCTCTCAGCGCCTCCTCTGCCTGGGCTCCCACTTTGGCGGCACTTGAGGAGCCCTTCAGCCCACCGCTGCACTGTGGAAGCCCCTTTCTGGGCTGGCCAAGGCCGGAGCCCACTCCCTCAGCTTGCAGGGAGGTGTGGAGGGAGAGGTGCGAGCGGGAACCGGGGCTGCACGCGGCGCTTGCGGGCCAGCTGGAGTTCCGGGTGGGCGTGGGCTTGGCTGGCCCTGCCGGTCCTGGGCAATGAAGGGCTTAGCACCCGGGCCAGCAGCTGCGGACGGTGTACTGGGTCCCCCAGCAGTGCCAGCCCGCCGGCGCTGCACTCGATTTCTCACCAGGCCTTAGCTGCCTTCCCGCGGGGCAGGGCTTGGGACCTGCAGCCCGCCATGCCTGAGCCTCCCACCCCCTCCATGGGCTCCTATGCGGCCCGAGCCTCCCCGACGAGTGCCACCCCCTGCTCCAGGGCGCCCAGTCCCATCGACCACCCAAGGGCTGAGGAGTGCAAGCGCACGGCGCAGGACTGGCAGGCAGCTCCACCTGCAGCCCCGGTGCGGGATCCACTGGGTGAAGCCAGCTGGGCTCCTGAGTCTGGTGGGGATGTGGAGAACCTTTATGTCTAGCTCAGGGATTGTAAATACACCAATCCGCACTCTGTATCTAGCTCAAGGTTTGTAAACACACCAATCAGCACCCTGAGTCTAGCTCAGGGTTCGTGAGTTCACCAATCGACACTCTGTATCTAGCTGCTCTGGTGGGGCCTTGAAGAACCTTCGTGTCCACACTCTGTATCTAGCTAATCTGGTGGGGACGTGGAGAACCTTTGTGTCTAGCTCAGGGATTGTAAACGCACCAATCAGCACCCTGTCAAAACAGACCACTCGGCTCTACCAATCAGCAGGATGTGGGTGGGGCCAGATAAGAGAATAAAAGCAGGCTGCCCCAGCCAGCAGTGGTAACCCGCTCTGGTCCTTTTCCTGACTGTGGAAGCTTTGTTCTTTTGCTCTTTGCAATAAATCTTGCTACTGCTCACTCTTTGGGTCCATGCTGCTTTTGTGAGCTGTAACACTCATCGTGAAGATCTGCAGCTTCATTCCTGAGCCAGCGAGACCACAAACCCACCAGAAGGAAGAAACTGTGAACACATGCGAACATCGGAAAGAACAAGCTCCAGACGCGCCACATTAAGTGCTGTAACAGTAACCGTGAGGGTCTGCGGCTTCATTCTTGAAGTCATTGAGACCAAGAAGCCACCAATTCTGGACACATCATGATGACCAGTGGTCCACTTTTGCATAGCAAAGTGCACTGCAGCACAGTCTTCAAACAATGCCTGCTGCATAAATAACCCTTCACAAACATGCTTCTTTAACCTCCGGAGTGGTTATGGGTTTTGGCAAGAAAGTCTGAGATGTGACCAGCTGCATATATTTTACCCTAAGACCTTGCTATAGAAAGGATGTTTTCTGGAGTGTCCATCGTCTTGCAGCTCTCCCAGACGTGGCTTCTGTTGCTTAGTCCTTGTTCAAAATTTCTTTTGGAGAAACTGGATTTGTTAGCCACTTATTTCATTCAGCCTTTGTTCCATAAAAGGGTCATACATGTAAAGTGGCTCCCAAACGCTGAAGGAGCCGAGAAACCAAAAACAAGGCAGATAGATCCAGTTTGTCAGTAAATGGTGATTTGCTGGGGAATTTACAGACAGAAGTGTAGTCTTGGGTGGCAGCAAGTCAGGTAGATCTCCACACCTGTTACCCCCAGACCCAGGGCTTACCCCAGAAAGGGTGTATACTTCCTGTAGAGACAATTAAAAGCAACCTTTCAGAACAGGCAGGAATGCTATGTGCGTCGTAGCCTGTAATTTATGCCATAATATCAAGGTTGCTTTGATCTAAAGGCAGGGGCTGGATGTGGTGGCTAATGCCTGTAATCCCAGAGCTTTGGGAGGGAGAGGAGGGAGGATTGCTTGGGGGCAGGAGTTTGAGACCAGTCTGGGAAACAAAACAACACCTCATCTCTACAAAAAAGAAAACCAAAATTAGTTGGGAGTGGTAGCATGTGCCTGTGGTCCCAGCTACTTGGGAGGCTGAGGCAGGAGGATCATTACAGCCCAGGAGTTAGAGGCTGCAGTGGGCTGAGATTGCACCACTGAACTCCAGCCTAGGTGACAGAGCAAGACCCTGTCTCTAAAAACAAAACAACAAACAAAAAACGAAGACAGGATTTACAGTAAGTACATGTCCTTACCAAGAACAGTAAATAAAGTAGGAATGAGGCCCATGTGACTCATGGGACCTGGGTTAATCAGAAGTCAACATGGCAGATTAGCATCCAAGATGGAGTCACTTTGTCTCCACAGCCTCTCAGCTCCCTCAGTCTTTGGGGGAAGGTTTGCATGCCCCTGCTCACTGAGGAACAGAGAGGCCACGCTGAGCCATATGCAGGCAATCATCATCATCTGCTCACTTAAAGGGATCCAGAAACCAGAAGGGAAAGACAAGTTGAACACCCTGAAAAGGTGCCTCCCACTGATAGGAACTGTGGAAACCCTTATGTGGAAAAGCATGAAAAGAAATAAGATCAGGCAAGGGTGTCCAGCTAGATCATTTTTTAAAAAAATAGTAAAACATGTATTTTCAAATTTTAATAGACAAATTGAAAGAGGCTGGCCATTATAGAGAATTATGCTAGTAATCCGGAAGAGCAAGCGCGAAAAATAACTCAAACAGACACAATTATACAGGAATAAAAATCACCCGGCAAATATAATACATTTGGAGGATAGATCCAGGAAGACTAACGTGCAAGTAATAAGGCTCAAAACAGAGAAAAAGAGACGAAATGGAAGAGAAGAATTAGAAGGGAAAAAAGAAGAGCTGGAATAGAGAAAAAAGATTTGAGTCTGTCTATGAAAAGCTTCACCAAGTACAACTCTGTAAATATACTAAAAAACACTGGTTTATTTATTTATTTATTTTAGACGGAGTCTTGCTCTGTCGCCCAGGCTGGAGTGCAGTGGCGTGATCTCAGCTCACTGCAACCTCCACCTTCCAGGTTCAAGTGATTCTCCTGCTTCAGCCTCCCGAGTAGCTGGGATTACAGGTGCGTGCCACCACACCCAGCTAATTTGTGTGTGTGTGTGTATTTTTAGTAGAGATGGGGTTTCACAATGTTGGCCAGGCTGGTCTCGAACTCCTGACCTCAGGTGATCCACCCACCTTGGACTCCCAAAGTGCTGGGATTACAGGCATGAGCCACTGCACCCGGCCTAAAACCACTGGTTTATATACTTTATTTTATTCTTATTATTTTTTTAAATTTGAGATGGAATCTCACTCTGTCACCAAGGCTGGAGTGCAGTGGCGCAATCTCGGCTCACTGCAACCTCTGCTTCCTAGGTTTAAGAGATTCTCCTCCCTCAGCCTCCCAAGTAGCTGGGATTATAGGCGAGTGCCACCATGCCTGGCTAATTTTTGTATTTTTAGTAGAGATGGGGTTTCACCACTGTTGACCAGGCTAGTCTTGAACTCCTAACCTCAGGTGATCCACCCATCTCAGCCTCCCAAAGTGCTGGGATTAGAGGCATGACCCACCTTGCCCAGCCAGGTTTATATACTTTAAACAGGTGAACTATATGGTATGTAAATTATAGCTCAATACAGCTCTTAAATTTTTACCAGGCACATTATGTAAATAAAAATTTTTATTTCCTGGCCGGACATGGTGGCTCACACCTGTGATCCCAGCATTCTGGGAGGCTGAGGCAGGCAGATCACTTGAGGCCAGGAGTTTGAGACCAGCCTGGCCAACATGGCAAAACCCTGTCTCTACTAAAAATACAAAAATTAGCCATGCGCGGTGGTGCGCGCCTGTAGTCCCAGCTACTTGGAAGGCTGAGGCAGGAGAATCACTTGAACCTGGGAGGTGGACGTTGCAGTGAGCTGAGATCATGTCACTGCACTCTAGCCTGGGTGACAGAGTGAGACTCTGTCTCAAATTTAAAAAAATTATTTCCAAAAATAAACAACAAATGACTCAAATGAATGGGCATTTTGAGCTAGAGGAAGGAGAAAAGGGGGGAGTCCCTGGTGAGCAATTTACCTTGTGATTGATTCACATAGTTGTGCTGTGAGTATCTCATTACTCCCAGCAACTGGGGTGTGCAGGTAGAGTTTGGAAGCATCATTACCCAGCTTTCGTCATGGAATACACCTACTCCTGTAATGTGACAAAGCCCCAGCCCACCAAGCATGCGTGACCCAAGCAAAAGTCCAGGAAGTGGACAGGGTTAAAGGGCTGCCCATCTAGACCTGTGCCTTTGCACTGTGGATTTAGCACAATGATCTTCACGTGGCATCTGTGCCCCCACATCTTGGGCGTACATAAAGACTTCCTGAAGAGTATTATGCAGGCGTGGGTTGTTTGATGGGAACCATTTTCCAGATCTTCAACTTCCGTATGTGCTTGTGGCCTAGAACTGATCTGTCTGAGGGCACCTCTGTGGTCAGGGCTACACTTTTCTGACTCTTCTTTGATGAACATCCAACATTTCCTCTGTAGCTCCCATATTATTATTACCACATTTCCGCAGGGTGTAGAACATTTCAGGGTGTCAAATAAAGCCTTTTAGTGAAGGGATACCTCAAAAACCACCTCTAATTTAGGGATCATATACCCAGAGTAGGACTTCCTGTTTTCTCCTGCCTCATATAAATTCCTGTGAAGGGCTACGTGGAGTGTAAGGAACTGGTAATTTTGGCATGTGTTAAGGTGTTATTTACGCAGATACACTGTAGAATGAAGTAACAGGAGTAATAAAAACTTCTTTTTTTCCTTTCTTTTTTTTTTAACAATCTCTTCTCTTCCATCCACTCTTTAAAAATGCATCCCTCTTGAGGGAGTATCTCATGAGATTGGAGCAAGAGCAGAATCAGCAGAAAGAATAGAGGAGGCAGTGGCTTATTTAACCAAGGAGAAAAATCCCATGGCAGCCAACCCACCTTATCTGTCTGTCTGCCTATTTTAGAATATTCAAGATTTGTCAACAACTTGCTGGGACAAAGCAATGTGCTATGAAGCACACTTCCCTGAATTGTACACCATTTTCTGTAAGGGGAAAGAGCTTCCTGTTCACTAGTTTCTTGGTTTAGGTAACAATTGTGTATTTGGCATGATTTCAAGGAGAAAGATGTTGTAAGCTCCAACTGATTAATGTTACACCTTAAGATAAAAGACACTTAGAGAGGCCATACGGCATGTCAGCTAAGAGCACAGATTGTGGAGCTCGAATTTCTGGTTTCAAATCCAATTTCATTGTGACTTTCCACAAATTCCTTAATTCTTCTGGGTCTCAGTTTCCATATTTGTAAACATGAGAGTGAAAATAGTACCCACTTCATGGGGTTATTGTGAAGCCTTAGAATAGTCCTGCATTTCGTAAGCGCTCTGTAAGTTGTGTTATTTTTAAAATGTTAGGTAAGTGGGCCAAGCGAGGTGGCTCATGCCTGTAATTTCAGCACTTTGGGAGGCGGAGGCGGGTGGATCACCTGAGGTCAGGCTTTTGAGACTAGCCTGACCAACATGGTGAAACCCCATCTCTACTAAAAATACAAAAACTAGCTGGCGTGGTGGCAGGCACCTGTAGTCCCAGCTACGTGGGAAGCTGAGGCAAGAGAATAGCTTGAACCTGGGAAGTGGAGGTTGCAGTGAGCCGAGATTGCACCACTGCACTCCAGCCTGGTCGACAGAGCGAGACTCCGTCTCAAAAAAATGAAAAATAAAAAATGTTAGGTAAGTTAATGATTCATATTTTCTTGAAAATATGGAAAGACGTATCATAAGAGAAGCATTTTTGCTTAATTCACCAAAAAGTTACTGGGGGCTATAAATTGAACACAGAGTCTTACAAGGCACAGGAAATTTTTTAGACGTTTATAAACATATCTTTTGATGCAGAGGAGTATGACAGGGTGATCAATAAAAGCTTTTCAAGCAAAAAATTATTACAGACCATATGACATCCCAGAAAAGACAAAACTATAAAGGCAGTCAAGAGTCAATGGTTGCCAGGGGTTACGAGGGTGGGGTGATGAATAGGTGGAGCACAGAGGATTCTTAGGGCGTGAAACTACTGTATATGATACTACAATGGTGGATGCCTGTCATTGTACATTTGTCAAAACCCATAGAATATACAAGAGTAAACCCTGACGTCAACGAGGTGGGGAGGTTGTGCTTGCGTAGGGGCAGGGAGTCTATGGGACCTCTGTACTTACCACTTAATTTTGCTGTGAACCCAAAACTGCTCTAAGAGATAAGGTTTATTAATTAGACATACTGTGATATATGTATAGCAGTAGAATATTTATGTTACTGGTATTTAATATGATATATGGAGAGAGACCAGTAGAATAATATGGGGAAAGTAAAATGGAACTATAAGTTCGTAGAGCAGGAGGAACCATTTAAAAACCTAGACTATTGAGGAAGAGCTTGCTTATATGTTATTCAAAAGGATAATGGAAGCTAGGTGCAGTGGCTCACGTCTGTAATCCCAGCACTTGGGGAGGCTGAGGCGGGAGGATTGCTTGAGCCCAAGAGTTCAACACCAGCCTGAGCAATATAGTGAGACCCCCCACATCTCTTAAAGTAAAATAAAATTTAAAAAAAGGATAATGATGAGTATTGAGATGCTGCTAGTGTTTAGAGTCTACTGGAAACATTTTAAAGAGTAGTAAAAACTTTTATTATTTCAATGTCTACATTTACAATATGGTAGAAATTACATTCTTTGCAATAATTAAATGTATGATAAAAAATTTAGATTAAACATAGACAGAGGAGGGAAAACAGCTTTTCAAAATTGTTTTTGAACGTATACACAACAGAAAATTTGAAGATGGGCACTCAAGCACATAGGACATTTCTACACAAATGGTGGCTCCAGATAGCTGAAGAAGCTTAAGCAGCTGTAGGAGAGATCTCCAAATCCAGGGACAGTGGCTGCCATCAGAGTGGTCCGTTTGTGGGAAAATGGGTCACAGACATAGACCATATCAGGCTATATTTCACAGAAAATCTTCTTCTTTTTGTTACTTTCTGATGAACTATATGCTATATGGAAGGTACCATTGAGACTCCTTGTGATGAAAATAACTCTACTTGAATTGGGGGTAAACTAAAATTAGAAGGGAAAGCAGACCCCTTGTCCAGCCAGGTTGAAGAAAATCTAAGCCGGTACAGGGTGAGGTTGAGAGAGATGGCAGCGAGAATCTGGAACACAGGCCTTTCCTAAATCAAACTTTCAGCACAGGTCATTCAAGGGCGAATTTCAAATCTATGCTATGTTTATAAATTGTGTACTCTACGTAATTGCCGGGTCCCTGGAATTCCCTACTCTGTGCGAAACTAATCTCTTACTCTCTAAAACAAACCCAAGTCCTAAGCCCACAACCCCTGTTTGCTCTTTCCTTCCTAGTCATCAGAACCCTCATGACTCAGACTCTCCAAGGAGGCATTTAAAAAAATGTTCTCGGACCAGTCAGCTCCACTCGAGCAACCTGCTCTTAACTCATTAATTTTCCCGACATGTCCCTTATGATGACTCGTCCATCTGTTTTTCAAATTCCACATAGCTGGGCCTCTGTAGCTTTGTGGTTTTATATTCCGCATACTTTCTAACAGTGACAGCTCCAGAATTTCTATGTCAGATGAAGTTGGGAACAGGCAGTCTGGTTGGAGGAAGATATTCAGGGGCCAGACTCAAAGTCCTGTTTGGACATGACAACCTCCTTTTATAATGGCGAAGAGCACAGGCTCTGCAGCTGGACTGATAGTTTAATTCCTGACTCCATCACTTACTAACTTTGTGAGTTTGGCCAAATTACTTGACTTCTCCATGGTTTAGTTTCCTTATTTGTAAAATGAAGACAATGGTAGTACTGTGTCTCAGAGTCGTTGGATGCCAATGCAGGATCCCAGTGACCAGATGGAACGAGAGGGAGCTCAGGAGAGACCAGCTTGAAGGGCCGAAGTCTTGTTCCCACATTGCCAGTAGGAGGCATAAATTCCCCCTCAGAGGACGTGCAGGAAAGAAGTGGAGGGGAGAGCCCTTGAAATGGGGGGAAAACAGTCCTGAGAGGGGCATTAAATTTCATATGGCCAAGTATTTACCCAAAAGAGACCTGAAACATTGTTTTCTTTTTCTTTCTTTTTTTTTTTTTTTGAGACGGAGTCTCACTCTGTCACCCGGGCTGGAGTGCAGTGGTGCGATCTTGGCTCACTACAACCTCTGCCTCCCGGGTTCAAGCAATTCTCCTGCCTCAGCCTCCCAAGTAGCTGGGATTACAGGCACCCGCCACTACGCCCAGCTAATTTATTTTTATTTTTATTTTTATTAGAGATGGGGTTTCACCATGTTGATCAGGCTGGTCTCAAACTCCTAACCCGCCCACCTTGGCTTCCCAAAGTGTTGGGATTACAGGCGTGAGCCACCAAAATTTTTTTCTTTCTTATTGTTTTTAATTCTCCCCCCAAGCTTACTGAGGTAAAATAGACAAAAATTATATGTTTTCAGCGTGTACAATGTGTTGATTTGATGAGTATACATTGTGAAATAATTACCACTATCAAACTAATGAACACATCACCAACACATATTTACCATTTCTTTTCTGTGTGTGTTAGCAAATTTCAGATAGACAATACAATATTGTTAATTATAGTCTCCATGTGATTAAAGTTCCAGAACTCATTCTTCTTATAACTGAAAGTTTGTACCCTTGACTGTTGTTTTTAATCTTTAAATTGAGGCTTAAAATATATGCAGTAAAATGTGCAGAGTGGACACATAAGTGCTCAAGTCGTTGAATTTTATTTAATTCTTTAATGTATTTATTTTAAAGAAATAGAGACAGGGTCTTGCTATGTTGCCTAGACTGCTCTTGAACTCCTGGGCTCACACAATCCTCCCACCTCAGCCTCTCAAGGTGTTGGGATTACAGGCATGAGCCACCGCACCCGGCCAATTGTTGAATCTTAACACATGCATACACTCACCTACCCACTTTCCAGATCAAGATGTGCCACATTCTTATCACCCCAGAAGCCTCCCCTGCCTCCTCCCCATCAGTGCCACCCTAGAGGTAGCCAGTATTTTGACTTTAATCATCATCAGTTGATTTTTCCATGTACTTGACTTTCATATAATTAGAACCATACAGTATGCCTTCCAAAAGAGACACTTTTAAAAGAAAATGAAATTTCATCACCAATATTTGGCAAGCTTATACCCGTATCCTCATTTCCAACCCCAGGCTTCCCTGCCATTGGTGGGAAAGAGAGTCTGGAAACTGAGTTGGGTGAGTTATAGCAAGCCAAACTACATTTTTCCTTGCATATCTGAATTACACGGGGTAAATTTCAATCAACTGCTAGTTGTGAGCCTAGAAATAGGGACGCAGGTGAGTCAGGGTCCCTGACCTATGCTTAAGAGCCATTGCCAAAGATTGACTCAGGGAAATGGGTAGTTCCGTGCCCCATCCTCTTCCCTACTCACTTCCGCTTGATACTAGAAGTGAGACTCACTCAGTGTCCACTTTCCCCACCCTTGGAGAGCTCACAGGGAGTGGAGTGTATCACTCACGTAGCCATGTGCTGCTCTGCAGCTGGGAAGGAGCACTCTGGAGAAAGCCGGGCGTGTGTCCTGATGCTCTTATCACCCTCCAAATCCCCAGCTTCCCCTAGATAGACTGCTATTGACCTTTACCATCCATTTGTTTCCTTTTCTTCTCTTCTTCCTTCTTTCTTCTACAAAGGCCTCCTGCTTTGAAAATGAGGCATACCCAGGGAAAACAGGTTTCAGGTCAGCTCTGGTTCAAAGGGTGGGTCCCTTCCACTCCGACAAGTTTGATCCCCTCATTCTGCCTCCCTCCCTGCCCCTCCTCATGTGTGCGCCCTCTGGTCTTGCCGACTCTGCTCTCTCCTCCGCCTTGATTCCTGTAGGGTACATCTCTCCAAACGGCCCTGCAGAAAGCACAGCGCAGAAATGCCCCTCCCTGGGGAGGGAGGACCCAAAGTTCTGGCCTCCCCTACTCAGTATCAGCTATAAATGCCACAGACACGTTTGCGAGGAAAAAAGAAGAAAAATAAGAAGCCAAACTGTGGAGCAATTTGGGGGCTCCCCCCAACCATGCCATCTGCCTACAAGGCTTACCCTGGCACTGGCTGGCCTTTGGGTCTTTTTGTGCAACTTTATTTTCTATCAAGGCCCAGGGGGTTTGCCCCTTGTCTCTCTGCCTCTTTGACCTATCCTTCCTTTGGAACCCAGGCATCTAAATGACAACTTCTATGTGCATCATTTAGAGATGAGAAGAGGAAATATCTCTCCTGCTTTCTGGTTCCTGTGGCTGCTTCTCTTTGGACTTCTGGGACCCAGTAAGTGACTTAGCAGTTAAGGAGGGAGAGGGGCATGGAGGCCACATAAGCCCTGAAGGAGATGGGGAATCCCCTGCCCAGGCATGACTCTTCTTCCAGAAACAATGATGATTCATTTTTTTTTTTTTTTTTTGCCCATTTCTGCAAAAGCCAGTACTGATCTCAATTCCACTGACCATGATTCTGATGCTGTCTTAGAAGCAAATCTGTATTAGTCTCCCCCAGCTGTGGTTGTGAGCACATGTGGTGGGGCGGTGGGGCGGTGCTGGGGAAATGGAGGGGGGTGAGATTTTACTTTCCTTTGTATCTTGGATAAAAGTTTTTTTTTTAAACCGGAAAACTCTAGTTCCAATAGCATTCTTAATTCCAAATTAAAACCAGGATCTCAGTCTAAAGTCAAGTAAAAATCCTTCAATCCTTCTTTGTTTTTTTTTCCATAGGTTATTTGGGTACAGGTGATATTTGGTTATGTAAGTGCTTTATTGGTGAATTGTGAGATTTTGGTGCACCCGTCACCAAGCAGTATACACTGCACCCACCCTATTTGTAGTCTTTTATCTCTCGTGCCTCCCCCGTCCTTCCTCCCTAGTGCCCAAAGTCCATTGTATCATTCTCATGAGTTTGAGTCCTCACAGCTTAGCTCCCACCTATCAGTGAGAACATACGATGTTTGGTTTTCCATTCCTGAGTAACTTCACTTAGAATAATAGTCTACAGTCTCATCCAGGTCACTGCAAATGCCATTAATTCATTCCTTTTTATGGCTGAGTAGTATTCCATCGTATATATATGCCAGTTTCTTTATCCACCGTTGATTGATGGGCATTTGGGTTCCATGACTTTGCAATTGTGAATTGTGCTGCTATAAACATGTGTGTGCAAGTGTCTTTTTTGTATAATGACTTCTTTTCCTCTGGGTAGATACTCAGTAGTGGGATTACTGGATCAAATGGTAGATCTACTTTTAGTTCTTTAAGAAATCTCCACACTGTTTTCCATAGTGACTGTACTAGTTTACATTCCCACTAGCAGTGTAGAAGTGTTCCCTGATCACTGCATCTACGCCAACATCTACTGTTTTTTGATTTTTTGCTTCAACCCTTCTTCGGATGCTGCCTGATTCCAAATCCATGTATAATCCCCTGAGAACTTCCCTGGTAGAAACAAACCGGAGTTCGGCCACTGAGGGGTTGGCTCTGACATTGGATCAGCAATGGCTGTGAAAGGAAACAGCCCAGGAGAGAAGTGAATTGGGCTCCGTGTGACTCCAATGGGCTGTCTGAGATAGTACTGTTCACTCCAGTCTTTGATTTCTTACATCAACATATCTTCCCTAATTATGAGACACCAGGTTAATTGGCTCATCCATTCCATTGCCTCTACTGTAGGATGGCTCGTCAAGAAGTGGGAGGTGCGGTTGAAAGAGAAGGTATAGGTTGGATGATGTGGAGGATTTGGAGTGCTTCCCCCTTCTTCCTCAGTATGCATCTGTTTCCTGCACCCCACTCTGGATTCGCTCCCTCGCCCGCTTCAGCACTTCCCTCGGCGTTCTTTTTCTTCTCTTTCCCCTTGCCTTCACCCTGAATGCTTCAACTGTTCTCTACCTACCCATGCCTTCCAGATCTGCCCGTCGCCTGTCCTAATCCTGAACTCCAGTCCTATCTGTCTGATTTTAAACAAGAGTCCCCTTACCTCAGAAGAAACTGTCATTCATGTAGTCATTCAACAAACATTTATAGAGCTCCTCCTCTGGGCCAGGCACTGCTGCGTGCTAGGCCATGGTGAGGAATGGAGTGGGAAATGCCATGGTCTTGACCCCCATGGAACACTTGGTCTACTGTAAAACATAGACTTAAATAATATTTCCTAACAAAAGGGAGCAAGTGTGCAAGGGCTGAAAGGCCCCTCCTCTTTTCCTACCACTAGATCTATAAAGTAACCAACAGTGTCTCCTGTAGCCCCATTACAGTGGATTAGCAAGGACCAACTCCTCCATCTGAATGCTGGGCGCCGTCTCAGGGGCTTTGCTCAGTGCATTTCTCCTTCCCCTCCCATCTCACTTTACCTTTCTTGGGTCCTTTCCATCAGCATCCAAACAAGCTCAGTTCTGTATGCACAAGTATCATCCAAGGAGACGATTAAAAACTTGGGTTTCCAGGCCCTGACACCCCACCAAGCAAGATCTTGATTCAGTAAGCTTGGTGGGATGGCGTGGGTTCTTCAGACAGTGTGATCCCAGAGGTCCCTGGACCAAACACTGAATGATGTCCATCCTAACGTCCCCGCATCACTCCTCAGCCACCACCTCTCCCTCCACTCTCCTCCTCACCCCCATTCTTTTTTTTTTTTTTTTTTTTTTGAGACGGAGTCTCGCTCTGTCGCCCAGGCTGGAGTGCAGTGGCGGGATCTCGGCTCACTGCAAGCTCCGCCTCCCGGGTTCACGCCATTCTCCTGCCTCAGCCTCCCAAGTAGCTGGGACTACAGGCGCCCGCCACTACGCCCGGCTAATTTTTTTTTTTTTGTATTTTTAGTAGAGACGGGGTTTCACCGTTTTAGCCGGGATGGTCTCGATCTCTTGACCTCGTGATCCGCCCGCCTCGGCCTCCCAAAGTGCTGGGATTACAGGCGTGAGCCACCGCGCCCGGCCCTTTTTTTTTTTTTTTGGAGATGGAGTGTGGCTCTGTCTCCCAGGCTAGAGTGCAGTGCTGCAATCTTGGCTCACTGCAACCTCTGCCTCCCAGGTTCAAGCGATTCTCCTGCCTCAGCCTCCTGAGTAGCTGGGACTACAGGCGCACACCGCCACGCCCAGCTAATTTTTTGTATTTTAGTAGAGACGGGGTTTCATTGTGTTGCCCAGGCTGGACTCGAACTCCTGAGCTCAGACAATCTACCCACCTTGGCCTCCCAAAGTGCTGGGATTACGGGTGTGAGCCACCGGGCCCGGCCCCTCACCCCCATTCTTGAAGGACTTCCCCACACTTGCTATGTCACTTCTCACCTCCCACTCACTTGTTTATTTTATTTTATTGTATTAGGTAATGGATGTAAGTAGTTCTGAAAAAGAAATACTTGTAGTCCTACAAGGCTTCTCATAAAACTTCAGGCCCTGATTCCCTTGCCCCAATTGCTTCTTATTCTGAGTCCTGCTTCCCAGGGTTCCTGTTGGCATTTACGTTCATACTGCATTTATCTATTTATTTAGAGACAAGATCTCACTCTGTCACCCAGGCGGGAATGCAGAGACACCATCATAGCTCACTGCAGCCTGGTACTCCCGGGCTCAAGGGATCCTCTCACCTCAGCTTTCCAAAGCACTGGGATTACAGGCGTGAGCCATTGCACCCGGCCATAAATTCTCTTACTACCATTACTTCTTTGTTGGTTGAGGTTTTTTGGTTTTTTTTTCCTGCTTTGGGCATGATTTATTGTCTTCCTTCTAATGAAAAGAAAGATTTAGGTTAGACCACTCCCCCTACACACTTACTGTCTCACATTCCTGCTCACAATTCTCCCCAAATGACTGTATCAAATTTTTGGTGTTAAACTAGCATTTAGTGTTTACATTATGATAACTATAAATTTTACCTCTAGTAACATTTATAACTGGGTCATATAATTGCATTGTGATGACATTATAATAAGTATAAATGACCTCTAGTAACATTTATAACTGGGTCATATAATTGCATTGTGATGACCATCCGTTCTTGTAATTTTTGTTTTTCTAGATATTAATAATAGCCTCATTTTTAAAATGTCCATAGTTTTCTTCATATATGTAATTAATTCATCCCAAAACCTCCACCAGAAGTATCCCTGTCTTTTCGATACACATGAGGCAATCTATCAGTTTCACTTTTTTCCCTTGAGCAATCCCATTTAGAAGCCTCTGTCCAACCAGTACTGGTTGCTTGCTAGGTCTCTTGTCCTGCAATCTGTATTCAGCAACATTCTGGAAATTCCCTTTTTTCCCTTGTAAATTCTTATCTTTTTTCTGGCTTTATTTTTCCATCTTGGAGCATCACTTTCTCTAGAAGCTTCCTGAGAGAGAGAGTTTATGGTGGGAAATTATTTTAAAACCTTATGCACTGTTAGGGTAATGCTAAGCTGCTGTAACAAGGAGATCCCGAAAGTGGCTTTGAAAAACAAGTTTATTTTTCTCCCTTGTACCAGTCCTAAGGTAAGTATTATAGGATGGTGGGAGCTCTGCTCCATGCAGTCATTCAGGGATCCTGGGTGAATATGGTTCTTCCATCTTCAACATATGGTTTCCAGTGTCATCATCATTTCAGCCCAAGGAGAGGGAAGAAAAACAGTATTTTGTATTATTTTATGATACAGTCAGTCAAAGTGCAGCCACAAGAGGAGAGGCTTACAGGCCCTAGAGACAGGAGGCATGGCACTGCCATGCGGGACCACCTGAGAAAGACACTAAGGTAGTCAGGAGGCAGAAGACAGGAGTGAAGGAAAGATTTATGTCTTTCCTTTTATTGGGTTTCTGTGGGAAAGGCAAGGAAAGGCAGGGTGAACAGTTTAGGATTGGCTGGTTTGAATAATTCCTGTGTTCTTTGAGCTATATGGCTGATTACCACCTAGTTGCCTAGTACTTGACTTTGGAATGACTAAGGCAGATAAATATTGTTTCCTGGAGTATATGGGCCAGATAGAGGAGCTATGGCTCTGGAATGGTTAGTCTGCATATCAGCTCATGCTCCTGGCTGGGCCCTTTGCTACTTTTAAGAATTGGCTAGCCCTGGAAGGTCCTGTCTCTCCCTAGCTAGAAAAGTTTGTTAAGATGTCAAAACATGATAATATACAGAAATTAAAAATATATATACAAGCAGAAATCAAGGAATAGGTATTTACTCTTAAAGAAATGAAGTGGAAATTAATATGTATTCCTTCCCTTCAGGGGCCTCTGACTAGGGCTTAGACATGTAGCCCTACCTAGCTACAAGAGAGGTTGACAAATATAACTTAGCCATGTGCCCAGGAAGAAGAGAAAAATGGGCCCAGCTGTCCATAGACCTTATACGTCTGAAAATGTCTTATTCCACCCTCACATTTGACTCATAGTTTAGCTGGTTATAGAATTCTAGGATGGATATGATTTTTCTCAGGATTTTAAAGGCGTTGATCCACTATTCCTAGATTCTAGATTGTGAAGTCTGATATTTAGATTACTGACCTCTTGTAAAAGACCCATTCTTTTTCTTCTGGAGGATTTCAGATTTTTAAAACTACTGTTCTAAAATCTCATGATATGGTGTCATAGTATGGATTCTTTCATTGTGTTAGGAATTTGCACAGTAGAAAGTTGTATCAGTCAGTTCTGGGAAATTTTATTGCATTTTTTTTCTTTGATAATTGCCTCTCGTCCATTTTCTCTGTTCCGTCTTTCTGAAAAAATCTTATAATTTGGATGTTTGACCTCCTGGGCTGACACTCTAATTTTCTTATATTTCTTCTTCTGTCTTCCAACTCTGTCGTTTTATTTTTCTTCTGGGGAGATTTCCTCAGCTTCTAAAGTCTTCAAATCCTTCTAGTGAATTTTGAGGTTTTTTTTTTTCAAAGAGATCTTTTTTTTCTCTACAACCATTTTTAAGATGGCATCTCTTACTTTTTTTTTTTGTGGGTGCTATACTTTCTCTTATATTGCTGAGGACATTTGAAGTTGGTTTTGCTGTTTGCATTGTCTCAGTTCTCTCTGGCTTTGCTTCA
Organism: Homo sapiens; assembly: GCF_000001405.40. Classification (NCBI taxonomy): domain Eukaryota; kingdom Metazoa; phylum Chordata; class Mammalia; order Primates; family Hominidae; genus Homo; species Homo sapiens. Next base: position 2,272,802 of record NT_167245.2, read on the forward strand.
TAGGGATATTTGTTTTGGTCTCTATATTTCAAGCTAGAGATTTTTCTCAAATATCTGGTAATCCCAGAATGTCCTTTGCATTTGAGTGAGGCACTAATATGATGCCTGGAAGCTTTGTGAGCAGGGGTAGGGCCTGTCAACTGGTGGACTTAGCTTTAGGGTAATTTAGCAGAGACGTGGCAGTTTAGATTGGGAAGATCCTCAAAATGTCAGTATCTAGTGTTGGCTAATTTCTTTCCACAAGAAGAATTCTCCAGATCCTGTCTAGAGCATACTAGCATAGCTGCTGAAGTGCTGGAAGCTGAGCAAGGGAATAGGTAATGTGGGTTTTACATTTCAGGGTGTAAGCATTTCCTTAATTGCATAGTTTCAGTAAAACCTTTTGAGAGGGGACAGGGTGCTGGCAGCCCTCGCTCAGTCTCGGAGCCTCCTCGGCCTCGCCACCCATTCTGGCTGTGCTTGAGGGGCCCTTCAGCCCCCCGCTGCACTGTGGGAGACCCTCTCTGGGCTGGCCGAGGCCGGAGCCAGCTCCCTCAGCTTTCAGGGAGGTGTGGAGGGAGAGGCACGGGCGGGAACCCGGGCTGCCTGCGGCACTTGCGGGCCAGCACTAGTTCCAGGTGGGCGTGGCCTCGGGGGGCCCCACACTCTGAGCCTCGGGCTGGCGTGGCCAGCACAGCTGGCCCCAGGCAGTGAGGAACTTAGCAGCCGGGCCAGCAGCTGCGGAGGGTGCGCCAGGTTCCCCAGCAGTGCCGGCGGGTGCTGCGCTCCAATTCTCGCCGGACCTCAGCTGCCTCCCTGAGGGGCACGGCTCGGGACCTGCAGCCCGCCATGCCTGAGCCTCCCCCACGCCGCCATGGGCTCCTGCGCAGCCAGAACCTCCCAGACGAGCGCTGCCCCTTGCTTTGCGGCACCCGGTCCCATAGACTGCCCAAGGGCTGAGGAGTGCTGGCGCACGGCGTGGGACTGACGGGCAGCTCCATCTGCGGCCCGGGTGCGGGATCTACTAGGTGAGGCCAGCTGGGCTCCTGAGTGTAGTGGGGACTTGGAGAACCTTTATGTCTAGCTAAGGGATTGTAAATACACCAATCAGCACTCTGTGTCTAGCTCAAGGTTTGCAAATGCACCAATCAGCACCCTGTGTCTAGCTAATCTGGTGGGGACTCGGAGAATCTTTATGTCTAGCTAAGGGATTGTAAATACACCAATCAGCACTCTGTGTCTAGCTCAAGGTTTGTAAACACACCAGTCAGCACCCTGTGTCTAGCTAATCTGGTGGGGACTTCGAGAATCTTTATGTCTAGCTAAGGGACTGTAAATACACCAATCAGCACCCTGTGTCTCGCTCAAGGTTTGTAAACATACCAATCAGCACCCTGTGTATAGCTCAAGGTTTGTAAATGCACCAATCAGTGCTCTGTGGGGACTTGGAGAACTTTTGTGTCTAGCTCAGGGATTGTAAACACACCAATCAGCACCTTGTCAAAACAGACCAATCAGCTCTCTGTAAAACAGACCAATCGGCGCTCTGTAAAATGGACCAATCAGTAGGATGTGGGTGCCACCAGATAAGGGAATAAAAGCAGGCTGCCCTGAGTTAGCAGTGGCAATCCGCTTGGGTACCCTTCCATAGTGTGGAAACTTTGTTCTTTCACTCTTTGTGATAAATATTGCTGCTGCTCACTCTGAGTCCACACTGCGTTTATGAGTTGTAACACTCACTGCGAAAATCTGCAGTTTCACTCCTGAGGCCAGTGAGATCACGAACCCACCAGAAGAAACGCCGAACACATCTGAACATCAGAAGGAACAAACTCAGGACACACCACTTGTAAGAACTGTGACACTCACGGCGAGAGTCCACGGCTTCATTGTTCAAGTCAGACCAAGAACCCACCAATTCTGGATACACTTTCACTCCTGCCTTCAGCAGTGCCTGGGATTACTGGTCTAGAGTTTCTTTGGTTTCAGTATCTCCAGAGATAAAACCCTAAGCTGTTAAAAGGGAGAGAGGTGTATTCATCCAAGTCCTTGAGTGGAAGGAGTGATCTGGAGCTGAGAGACAGTTCCTAGCTACATTGTATTTCAACTATCCTTCCTGTATTTAGTCACATGCCACACCCAAATCTTTAGAGGAACCCAGTTGCAATTCCCGAATCTTTCCAGGATTCCACAGAATTAATAATCTACCAGTAGTTGACTTACTCTCACCCCCAATGGAGGCCTGTATGTTGAAGCTTTCTCTGTTGTGTTGGAGAGTTACCACTCATCTGCCTATTACCTTCAAAAAAACAAAAATTAAATATCTCCTCTGCTGTTATCTCTCCATCGTTTGTCCTTGTGGAGGTATGTGTTTTGTTATTTCTCTACTTTTTATTCTTCTATGAAATCCGTAAGCCTCCATATATACTTATTCTTTTATTCATTCCAATTGGGGTCTACCCCATCATGCAAATCTGTTTTCAATAAACTAAACTCACTTCCATATTGTCTCTGAATCCAATGGACATGGCCCAGGCCATATCTTACTTGATCTCTCTGCAAAAATCAATTCAGCTAACTGCCATATTTTTCTAGAGCCTCTCTATTCTCTTGACTTCCTTGATTCACTTTTTAGAGTTTTCTTTCTGCCTTAGTGGATGCTCCTTCTCAGTCTCATTAATTTGCGTCTCCTCCTCTATCTGAGTGATGCAGTGGCCAGAGCTTGGTCCAGCGCCCTATTCTCCAACTATACTCTCCCAGACAAGTGATCTCAGTCAGCTTCATGGCTTTAAATACAATGTATATTTAAATGACTTCCAGTTTCACGTCTTTTGATCTGATTTCTCCTCTGAGAACTAAGTGCAGGTTTCCAACTGCCAACAGTCTCCTGGATATCTAATGGGCACAAAAAGTTCAAAGTCTAATATTTCCAACTTCCACTTCATCCCTATTCATTCAGATAAATAGAACTAATTTCCAACTCTGCGTAAGCCCCAAAGCTAGAAGTTGTTCTTGACTTCTTTTCTTGTCATCCACCACATGCAGCCTTTCAACACTTCCTATTGGTTCTACTTTTCTAATTTCAAAACATAGCTTGTATTCATCCACTGAAATGTATCTCCCCTGCTACCATCCTAGTTCAAGCAATAATTACTGCTCTTAATTTTTTCACTCTTGCCCTCCTACATGCCAGTTTTCACACAGCATCTTTTAAAAACATAAATCAGTTTTGTTTTCTACTTTCTCTTCCCTTCCTGAATGATTAAGCCCCAGATCATTAGGTGAGGCAGAGCAAAGCAGATATCAGGGTTGGACAGGAGGGGAGACAGCAGTGGCCCAGAGAAGGATATAAGAAACTGAACTGGGCCGGGTGCGGTGGCTCACGCCTGTAATCCTAGCACTTTGGGAGGCTGAGGTGGGCAGATCACCTGAGGTCAGGAGTTCGAGGGCAGCCTGGCCAACATGGCAAAACTCTGTTTCTACTAGAAATACAAAAATTAGCTGGGTGTGGTAGCGCATGTCTGTATTTCCAGCTACTCAGGAGGCTGAGGCAGGAGAATCCCTTGAACCCGGGAGGTGGAAGTTGCAATGAACCGAGATAGCACCACTGCACTCCAGCCTGGGTGACAGAGCAAGAAACTAAATTGGATGAAGTGGACTTCTCCACAGAGTGGCAGCCTGGCATGTTTTGTCAGAATCTTGTGAGGGTGAGAGGGAGTATGGGGTGGAGGGAGTATGGGCTGAAAATGAATGAATAGAATACCAGTGATTTTGTGAGACAATGTTTTGTCTACAATATGTGTTATTGAAGTTCCAGAAAAAAAGGGAACCGAAAACATGTTTAAAGAAATAGTAGCTGAAAAAATTAAATTTGATGAAAACTATAAACTCACAGATCCCAAGAACTCAACAAATATCAAGGAAAATAAACTTTAAAAAATCATACCAAAGTACAACGTAATCAAATAACTAAAAATCAGTGATAAAAGGGAAATCCTAGAACGAGCTAGAAAAGACACATTGTATAGAGAGGAGCAAAGACAAGCATAACAGACTTCCTGTGAAAAACCATGACAACCAGAAGATAAAGAAGCAACATCATTAAAATACTGAAAGAAAAAAATACTTTATCAACCTAGAATTACACGGAGTAAGAATATTTTCAATATGAAGATGAAATGAAGGCTTTTCTAGACAAGCAAAAACTGGAAGACCTTGCCTCCTGGAAATTGACTTTTTTTTTTTTTTTTTTTTTTTTTTTTTGATACGGAGTTTCGCTCTTGTTGCCCCAGGCTGGAGTGTAATGGCACGATCTTGGCTCACTGCAACCTCTGCCCCCCGGTGAGAGGTGACAGCGTGCTGTCAGTCCTCAGAGCCCTCGCTTGCTCTCGGCACCTCCTCTGCCTGGGCTCCCACTTTGGCGGCACTTGAGGAGCCCTTCAGCCCACCGCTGCACTGTGGGAGTCCCTTTCTGGGCTGGCCGAGGCCAGAGCCGGCTCCCTCAGCTTGCAGGGAGGTGTGGAGGGAGAGGCGCGAGCGGGAACCGGGACTGTGCGCGGCGCTTGCGGGCCAGCTGGAGTTCCGGGTAGGCGTGGGCTTGGCGGCCCCGCACTCGGAGCAGCCAGCGGGCCCTGCAGGCCCCGGGCAGTGAGGGGCTTAGCACCCGGGCCAGTGGCTGCGGAGGGTGTACTAGGTCCCCCAGCAGTGCCGGCCCACTGGCGCTGCACTGGATTTCTCACTGGGCCTTAGCTGCCTTCCCATGGGGCAGGGCTGGGGACCTGCAGCCCGCCATGCCTGAGCCTCCCACCCCCTCCATGGGCTTCTGTGCGGCCGGAGCCTCCCCGATGAGCGCCGCCCCCTGCTCCAGGGCGCCCAGTCCCACCGACCGCCCACGGGCTGAGGACTGTGAGCGCATGGCGTAGGACTGGCAGGCAGCTCCACCTGCGGCCCCGGGGCGGGATCCACTGGGTGAAGCCAGCTGGGCTCCTGAGTCTGGTGGGGACGTGGAGAGTCTTTATGTCTAGCTTAGGGATTGTAAATACACCAATCAGCACCCTGTGTCTAGCTCAGGATTTGTGAGTACACCAATGGACACTCTGTATCTAGCTGCTCTGGTGGGGCCTTGGAGAACCTTTATGTCTAGCTCAGGGATTGTAAATACACCAATCGGCACTCTGTATCTAGCTCAAGGTTTGTAAACACACCAATCAGCAACCTGTGTCTAGCTCAGGGTTTGTGAGTGCACCAATCAACACTCTGTATCTAGCTGCTCTGGTGGGGCCTTGGAGAACCTTTATGTCTAGCTCAGGGATTGTAAATACACCAATCGGCACTCTGTATCTAGCTCAAGGTTTGTAAACACACCAATCAGCACCCTGTGTTTAGCTCAAGGTTTGTGAGTGCACCAATCGACACTCTGTATCTAGCTGCTCTGGAGGGGCCTTGGAGGACCTCTGTGTCCATATTCTGTATCTAACTAATCTGATGGGGACGTGGAGAACCTTTGAATGTAGCTCAGGGATTGTAAACGCACCAATCAGCACCCTGTCAAAACAGACCACTTGGCTCTACCAATCAGCAGGATGTGGGTGGGGCCAGATAAGAGAATAAAAGCAGGCTGCCCGAGCCAGCAGTGGCAACCTGCTTGGGTCCTTTTCCACACTGTGGAAACTTTGTTCTTTTGCTTTTTGCAATAGATTTTGCTACTGCTCACTTTTTGGGTCTACACTGTTTTTATGATCTGTAACACTCACCGTAAAGGTCTGCAGTTTCACTCCTGAAGCCAGCGAGCCCACGAGCCCACTGAGAGGAAGGAACAATTCCACACGCACGGCCTTAAGAGTTGTTAACACTCACTGTGAAGGTCTGCAGCCTCACTCATGAGCCAGCGAGAGCACAAACCCACCAGAAGGAAGAAACTCCGAACACATCCGAACATCAGAAGGAGCAAACTCCAGACATGCCACCTTAAGAGCTGTAACACTCACTGTGAGGGTCTGTGGCTTCATTCTTGAAGTCAGTGAGACCAAGAACCCACCAATTCCGGACACACTGGGTTCAAGCGATTCTCCTGCCTCAGCCTGTCGAGTAGCTGGGATTACAGGCATGTAATTAGCCACACCATGCCTGGCTAATTTTGTATTTTTAGTACAGATGGGGGTTCTCAATTTTGGTTAGGCTGGTATCGAACTCCTGGTGATCTGCCTGCCTCTGCTTCCCAAAATGCTGGGATTACAGGCGTGAACTGACGGGCAAGACTGACATTTTTTTTTAAATGTAAAAGTTCTTCAGGAAGAAAAAATTTAGATCTATGCAAAAAAGAATGAAGTGTGCTGGAAATGATAAATATATGGGTAAAAATAAAATTTTTTTCATTTAAATTTTAAAAGATAATATACTTGAGTAACAATGAATTATGAGGCTTATATGTAGACATAAAATGTATGACAACAGTGGTACAAGGGATAGAAAAAGGAAATGGAAGTGTACTGTGTTGAGACTCTCATGCCTTTACAGGAAGAGGAATGAGCTCACTGGGAGGTAGACAGTGATAAAGGTGTATATCGTAAATCCTAGAGCAAAGGCACACAAATAAGAATGATATTTAATAAGCTAATGGTGGAAATAAAATGGGGTCAAAAATGACTCAGGTCATGGTGCAGCGGTTTATGCCTGTAATCCCAGCCCTTTGGGAGGCTGAGGCAGGTGGATCACTTGAGGCCAGGAGTTAGAGACCAGCCTGGGCAACGTGGTGAAACCCTGTCTCTACTAAAAATACAAAAATTAGCTGGGCGTGGTGGCACATGCCTGTGGTTCCAGCTACTCAGGAGGCCGAGGCAGGAGAATCACTTGAACCTGGGAAGTGGAATTGGCAGTGAGCTGAGATCCCATCACTGCACTCCAGCCTGAGTGACAGATCAAGACGCTCAAAAAACAAAACAAAACAAAAAACAAAATACTGGGTTAATTAAAAAAAAAAAAAGTAGGTGAAAAATGGAGGAAAAGGTAAGAAGATCAGACGAGAAAAATAGAAAACAAATATGAAGACTATTAAATTCAGGGCCAGCTACAGTGGTTCACACTTGTAATTCCAGCACTTTTTGGGGCTGAGGCAGGAAGATTACTTGAGCCCAGGAGTTCGAGACAAGCCCAGGCAACATAGGGAGACCCCATCTTTACAAGAAATAAAAATTAAAAAGTAATTAGCCAGGCATCATGACTCGTGCCTGTGATCCTAGATAGTTCGGAGGCTGAGGCAGGAGGATTTCTTGAGCTTAGGAAGTCAAGGCTGCAGTCAGCCGTGATTGTGCCACTGCATTATAGCCTGAGTGACAGAGCAAGACTCTGTCTCTAAAAAAGAATCAGACCCAACGTATTTATAATTACATTAAATGTATATGGTCCAGACACCACAATTAAAAGGCAGAGATTGACACATTGGTTAAAAAAGAAAGCCCCAAATAAATAATATTCAACCAAGAAATACATTTTAACTAACTATAACTACAAATAGGGTAAACAATAGGATAAAAATAAGAGGAAGAAAGATACGGCCATACTGTATGTTAGCCATGCTAACATCAATTTAGAAAAAAATTGAGTGACTATTTCAAAATCAGACAAAATAGGCTTAAGAAGAGGTATATTATTAGGGATAAAGAGAGACATTTCACAATTATAATCACAACACAATATTTACTAACTACAAAGGGAGAAAAACCAGCCTGGATACACCTTCTTAATCAAGTAATCCAAGAGAACATCATCAATGATGGGACACATTGATATTATCTGTCACCTGATAGTATGCAAAGAGAAGAATACAGCATCACTTCAGTGGTTTTCCTGGCAAAGATTAATAACATGAGCCTAATCATGATGAAACATTACAAAAACTCAGTTTAAGGAAAATTCTATAAAATAATTGACCTGTAATCTTCAAAGGTTAAAAGTTATGAAGATCAAAGGAAGACTGAAGAACTGCACCAGACTGAAGAAGACTAAAGAGACAGAACAACGAAAAACAACACACGATTCTGAATTGAACTGGTTTACTATTAAAGACATTATTAGAACAACTAACAAAACTTGAAAGGGATCTAAGGATCAGGTGGCAGCAATATATTCATGTGAATTTCTTGATCTTGATGGCTGTATTATGGTTGCGTATGAGAATATATAAAGTATTGAAGGATAATGAGACATCAGGTTACCAAGTAACTCCCAAATGATTCAGGGAAAAGGGTTCTTTGTGTTATACTTGTTACAAAAGAATTTGTGATTTTTTTTTCAAAATAAAAACAAAGAGAAATTAACCAGAGTATGTTATTCCAGTGGGTCTTCATTGTATTTGAGATGAAATTTAACCTTTCTACCATGGTATTTTGCTAAACTCTGAGTATACCCCTGTCAGCAAAAGAAATGTGGGCTTATGTTCTTGTAAAGAAGAGTTTAGAATATAAAGAATGTAAATACACCTTTGGGTTATGTGTTGTTAAAAAGGCAGGGGTCCTGCTTCAGAGATTATGGTTAGAAAAGGTCTCTCTACCGCCTCGTTTTCTCCTTCAGTAACTACATTCCAGCCACCCTGGTCTCCTATTTATTCATGAATCACATCGAGCTCATTAACAACTCAGGGTATTTGTACTTATGCTATCAATCTGTGATGTCCTTCTCCTGGCCTTTCAAATTGCTGCCTTCTTTTTTTTTTTTTTTTTTTTAAGATGGAGTTTTGCCCTTGTTGGCCAGGCTGGAGTGCAGTGGTGCAATCTTGGCTCACTGCAACCTCCTCCTTCCCGTTCAAGTGATTCTCCTGCCTCAGCCTCCTGAATAGCTGGGATTATAGGCATGCGCCACCATGCCTGGCTAATTTTGTATTTTTAGTAGAGATGGGGTTTCTCCATATTGGTCAGGCTGGTCTTGAACTCCCGGCCTCAGGTGATCCGCCTGGGATTACAGGCTTGAGCCACTGCGCCCAGCCCAAATGGCTGCCTTCTTATCCTTCAGATCTCAGTTCATATGTCAGTTCCTCAGAGAGACCTTTTCTGACTCCAGTATCTAAAGCAGCACCACTGCTTTCTTTAACAGCACTTAAGCCAATGTGTATTTATATTTTATGTTGTAGCTCTCTTCTTTACTAAATTATAAGCCCATATCCCTTTTGCTGACAGGAGTATGCCCAGAGTTTAGTAAAATACCAGGTACATGTTAAGCCCTCAATAACTGAATAAATAAATGAATAAGAAGTACTGAGTATATGTGAAAGTAACACTATACTAAACCTGCAAATTCGTCTTTAACCCATTCCCACCACCTTATTTGTTCTCCACCTCAGGCTCTGAGAATACCACAGCCTTCACAAAAGGCTCCGACACCACCACAGCCTCCATCACAGGCTCTGAGACCACCATGGCCTCCACCATGGCCTCTACTTCGGCCTTAACTACAGGCTCTAAGATCACCACAGACTCTACCACAGGCTCTGAGACAACCTCAGCCTCCACCATGGCTTCTACTGCAGCCTTCACCACAGGCTCTGAGACCAACACGGCCTCTACCACAGACTCAGGGACTACTATAGCCTCCACTGGGACCTTCACCACAGGCTCTGACACAACCACAGTCTCCACTGCAGGCTCTGAAACTATCGTGGCCTCCACCACAGTCTCTGGGACCACAACAACCTTTACTATAGCCTCCACTACAGTCCCTGAGACTACCATGGCCTCCAGCACAACCTCCACTGCAGGCTCTGAGAAAACGATGGCCTCCTCCATAATTTCTGAGACCACCATGGCCTCCACCACAGGCTCTGAGACTGCCACAGTCTCTACCACAGGCTCTGAGACCACCACCACCTCCACTGCAAGCTCTGAGGCCACTAAAGTCTCTACCACAGGCTCTGAAACCACCACAGCATCTACTGCAGGTTCTGAGACCACCACTACCTCCACCTCCATGGCAGGCTCTGAGGCCACCACAACCTCAACTGCAGACTCCAAGGTGATCACGGCGTCCAGCATGAGCTCTGAGACCACTGTGGCCCCCGCTGCAGGCTCTAACACCACCACAGCCTCTACCACAGGCTCTGAGACCACTACAATCCTGATTAAAGCCTCTGAGACCACCACAGCCTCTACAGCAGGTTCTGAGACCACCACCCCCTCCCCCACAGGCTCTCAGACCACCATAGTCTCTATTTCAGGTTCTGAGATCACCACCACCTCTACGGCAGGATCCGAGAACACCACAGTCTCTAGTGCAGGCTCTGGGACCACCACAGCTTCTATGGCAGGCTCTGAGACCACCGTCTCCACTGCAGGCTCTGAGACCACTACAGTCTCTATCACAGGCACTGAGACCACCATGGTCTCTGCCATGGGCTCAGAGACCACCACAAACTCTACTACAAGCTCTGAGACCACCGTCACCTCTACTGCAGGCTCTGAGACCACCACAGTCTCCACCGTGGGCTCTGAGACCACCACAGCCTATACTGCAGATTCTGAGACCACTGCAGCCTCTACCACAGGCTCTGAGATGACCACAGTCTTCACTGCAGGCTCGGAAACCATCACACCCTCTACTGCAGGCTCAGAGACCACCACAGTCTCTACTGCAGGCTCTGAGACCACTACAGTCTCCACCACAGGCTCTGAGACCACAACAGCCTCTACTGCACATTCTGAGACGACTGCAGCCTCCACCATGGGCTCTGAGACCACCAAAGTCTCAACTGCAGGCTCTGAGACCACAGTCTCCACTGCAGGCTCTGAGACCACTGCAGCCTCTACTGAAGATTCTGAAACCAACACAGCATTTACTGAAGATTCTAAGACTACCACAGCCTCTACTACAGGGTTTGAGACAACCGCAGCCTCTACTACAGGCTCTGAGCCTACCATGGCATCCACCATGGGCTCTGAGACCACTATGGCCTCTACCATAGGCCCTGAGACCACCAAGGTCTCCACTGCAAGCTCTGAGGTGACCACAGTCTTTGCTGCAGGCTCTGAGACAATCAGAGCCTCTACCGTAGGCTCTGAGACCACCACAGTCTCTACCACAGGCTCTGAGACCACCACAGCCTCCATCATGGGCTCTGAGACCAGCACAGATTCTACCACAGGCTCTGAGACCACCACAGCCTCTACTGAAGGCTCTGAGACCACCACAGCTTCCACTGAAGGCTCTGAGGCCACTACAGTCTCCACTACAGGCTCTGAGACCACTACAGTTTCTATCACAGACTCAGAGACCACCACCACCTGTACTGAAGGCTCTGAGATGACTGCAGTCTCCACCACAGTCTTTGAGACCACTACAGCCTCTACTGAAGGCTCTGAGATCACAATAGCCTCTACTTCAGACTCTGAGACCACCACAGCTTCTACTGAAGGTTCTGAGACCACTACAGTCACTACCGCAGGCTCTGAGACCAAAACAGCCTATACTACAGGCTCTGAGACCACCACAGCCTCTAATACAGGCTTGGAGACCACCACAGTCTTTACCATAGGCTCTGACACCACCACAGCCTCTACTGAAGGCTCTGAGACCACTGCAGTCTCTGCCACAGGCTCTGAGATGACCACAGTCTCTACTGAAGGCTCTGAGAACACTACAGTCTCCACCACAGGCTCTGAGACCACTACAGTTTCCACCACAGGCTTGGAGACCACCACCACTTCCACTGAAGGCTCTGAGATGACTACAGTCTCCACCACAGGTGCTGAGACCACCACAGACTCTACTGAAGGCTCTGGGACCACTGCAGCCTCCACTGCAGGCTCTGAGACCACCACAGTCTCTACTGCAGATTCTGAGAACACCACAGCATCTACTGCAGATTCTGAGACCACCTCAGCCTCTACTACAGGCTCTGAGACCACCACAGCCTCTACTACAAGCTCTGAGACCACCACAGCCTCTACTGAAGGCTCTGAGACCACTACAGTCTCCACCACAGACTCTGAGACCACCATGGTCTCTACCACAGGCTCTGAGAGGACCATCACCTCTACTGAAGGCTCTGAGACCACTACAGTATCTGCCACAGGCTCTGAGACCACAGTCTCTACTGAAGGCTCTGGGACCACTACAGTCTCCATCACAGGCTCTGAGACCACTAAAGTTTCTACCACAGGTTCAGAGACCACCACCACTTCTACTGAAGGCTCTGAGATTACTACAGCCTCCATCACAGGCTCTGAGACCACCACAGCCTCTACTGAAGGCTCCGAGACCACCACAGCCTCTACTGAAGGCTCCGAGACCACCTCAGCCTCTACTACAGGCTCTGAGACCACCACAGCCTCTACTACAAGCTCTGAGACCACCATGGCATCCATCATGGGCTCTGAGACCACTATGGCCTCTACCATAGGCTCTGAGACCACCAAGGTCTCCACTGCAAGCTCTAAAATGACCACAGTCTTCACTGAAAACTCTGAGACCACCATAGCCTCTACCACAGCCTCTGAGACCACCACAGTCTCCACTGCAGGCTCTGAGACCATCCCAGCCTCTACAGCAGGCTCTGAGACCACCACCACCACCTCTACTGAAGGCTCTGAGACCACTACAGCCTCTACTGAAGGCTCTGAGACCACCACAGCCTCTACTGAAAGCTCTGAGACCACTACAGCCACTACCATAGGCTCTGAGACCACCACAGCCTCTACTGAAGGCTCTGAGACTACCACCACCTCTACTGAAGGCTCTGAGACCACCACAGCCTCTACTGAAGGCTCTGAGATCACTACAGTTTCTACCACAGGCTCTGAGACCACCACAGCCTCTACTGAAGGCTCTGAGACCACCACAGCCTCTACTGAAGGCTCTGAGCTCACTACAGTTTCTACCACAGGCTCTGAGACCATCACAGTCTCTGCTGAAGGCTCTGAGACCACTACAGTCACTACTATGGGCTCTGAGACCACCACGGCCTCTACTGCAGGCTCAGAGACCACCACAGTCTCTACTGCAGGCTCTGAGACCACCACAGCCTCTATTGAAGGCTCTGAGACCACTACAGTCTCCTCCACAGGCTCTGAGACCACCACAGTCTCTACCACAGGCACTGAGACTACCATCACCTCTACTGAAGGTTCAGAGACCACTACAGTCACTACTGCAGGTTCTGAGACCACAGCAGTCTATACCACAGGCTCTGAGACTACCACCACCTCTACTGAAGGCTCTGAGACAACCACAGTCTCTACCACGGGCTCTGAGACCACCACAGCCTCTACCGCAGATTTGGAGACCACCACAGTCTCCACCTCAGGCTCTGGGACCACCACAGCCTCTACCGCAGGCTCTGAGACCACAACAGTCTATATCACAGGCTCTAAGACTACCACCGCCTCTACTGAAGGCTCTGAGGCCACTACAGTTTCTACCACTAGCTCTGAGACCACCACAGCCTCTACCACAGGCTCTGAGATGACTACAGTCTTTACCACAGTCTCTGAGACCACCACAGTCTCTACCATAGGCTCTGAGGCCACCACATCCTCTGCTGCAGGCTCTGAGGCCACCACCACCTCTACTGAAGGCTCTGAGACCACCACAGCCTCCACTGCAGGCTCTGAGACCACCACAGCCTCCACTGCAGGCTCTGAGACCACCACAGCCTCCACTGCAGGCTCTGAGACCACCACAGCCTCCACTTCAGGCTCTGAGACCAACACAGCCTGTACCACAGGTTCTGAGACCTCCACACCCTCCAGTGCAGGCTCTGAGACCAACACTGCCTTCATCATAGGCTCTGAGACCACCATAGCTTCCACTGCAAGCTTGGAGCCCACTGCAACTTCCCTCACAGGCTCTGAGACCACCACAGTCTCTATCACAGCTTCTGGGGCCACTGCAGCCTCCACCACTGTCTCTTCCACCACGTTTGTACTCACCAAGGCCACTGACGTTTCTATCCAGCCCATCACCAACACACCTATGTCAGGTACTAACCCCCATGTCTTCTTTGAGCCCACACATTTTAACTCCAGTGGCAACCACCAGCTGTTCACCTGTTTCTATCATCTCTGCCCTGGTTCAAGTCAAGCCAGCACACAGTTAGATATAATTTCCTCTTCTAGGCTGGGCGCGGTGGCTCATGCCTGTAATCCCAGCACATTGGAAGGCTGAGGCGAGCGAATCACGAGATCAGGAGATTGAGACCATCCTGGCTAACACGGTGAAATCCAGTCTCTACTAAAAATACAAAAAATTAGCTGGGCGTGGTGGCGGGCACCTGTAGTCCCAGCTACTCGGAAGGCTGAGGCAGGAGAATGATGTGAATCCGGGAGGTGGAGCTTGCAGTGAGCAGAGATCGCGCCATTGCATTCCAGCCTGGGCGACAGAGCGAGACTCCGTCTCAAAAAAAAAAAAAAAAAAAATGTCCTCTTCTGGAATCCTAATTGCCTCTACTCTGGTCTCACCTCTTTTTTTTTAAGTGCCCACCACTTCCATTGCAATCAGAACCACAATATAGTAAACCACAAGTGCATCATATCTGTCACATCTTCCTCCAGCAAGCCCGCCTCAACTCTACTGGCCCATCACAGTTTTGTGAAATGCTCCCACTTCGGTGCCAAGTAGATTATCTCTATTCAACCAACCATCTGTGACACTGCCACCTCCTATCAATGTATTGACTCTAGACCAGAGGCTGGCAGACCACATTTCATGGGTCAAGTCTCACCTGTTACCTGGTTTTGTAAAGTTTTACTGGAACATAGTCATGCCCATTCATTTATGGTTTGTCTCCAGCTGCTTTTCTGCTTTTCCGTGTATTTGCAACAGAGACAGCCTGGCCCAAAAGCCTAAATTATTTGCTGTTTGGACCTTTACAGAAAAAATTTGGCAACCTTTGCTCCAGTCTGAGACCAAACAATTTTGTTCATTCTCTGGCACTTGCCATCAGCAAGCCGGTTACATCTGATTCTATCCTCTTGGTTCTAAGCATACTCACTTCTATTCTCATGACTGGTGCTGTTTGTGATCCCATTTTAACCACTTCTGACCTAGGCACACCCATCGCTACCTAAGCCGCCACCACCGCCTCTGCTGTGTTGATTCGTGCTCACACCTGTCTGAGCCCACCCTCTCCTATCCCTGTGAGCAGCCTTCTCCACTTGGGTCAGGTCCTCCTACATCTGCCCAAGCACACTCACCTCACCTTTGCTGATCACCACAGTGTGGTAGATGATGTCACCTCTGTCCCAGCCACGGCCACTGGCATGCCCATGAGTGAATCCAATTCTACCATCTCCTCCTCCAGCTCCCTCCTTACACCCAGTGATCACAGTCACAAAAGAAGCAGGGCCTGCCGCTTTGTATACCAGCCCACCCACTTATTTGATCTGCTTTGATTTATTTATTTTCAATTTTTTCCATAAGTTATTGGGATGCAGGTGGTATTTGGTTATATGAATAAGTTCTTTAGTGGTGATTTGTGAGATTTTGGTGCACCCATCACCCTAGTAGTATACACTGCACCATATTTGAAGTCTTTTATCCCTCGCCCCCTCCCACTCTTCCCCCAAAGTCCCCAAAGTCCATTGCATCATTCTTATGTCTTCGTATTTCCATAGCTTAGCTCCCACATATCAGTGAGAACATACGATGTTCGGTTTTCCATTCCTGAGTTACTTCACTTAGAAGAATAGTCTAAAATCTCATCCAGGTCACTGCAAATGCTGTTAATTCATTCATTTTTATCAGCCCACCCTCTTCTATTTGGGTGGCCACTTCTGAAGTCAAATAGATCTTCCACTTCTGAACCCATCGCGATAACGTTTCCTCAAACTTCTGCCTCCTCCATCACCAACTCCACCAGGTGACACATTCTACCTCCTTCTCTGTATGACACCCACCTGCATTCTGGGGACATGGCCACAGCAGAATCGCTTTCTACCATCTCTCCTCCCCCACCACACCTCTCCTGAGCCACCTCCACCATAGGTTTGTTAGATTCACCCTCCTCTGGTCTAAGCACCCCCATTCCCCTTTAATCATCTCTGCTACAAATGCATCATCTTGTGTGACCTGTTTCATAGGCACCAGAACCACTGGAACCAGACTCACTGCCTCCAGCTCTGTCACCATGGCCCCTGGAATGGACTTCACGGCCTCTGCTGCCAGCCATACTGTGCCAGGAATAGTCTTAAACACCTCTGGCCTGGGTACATCCACTATGGGAGCATCATCTACCACCTCAGCCCACGGCGTCAGGACCACCACAGGATCCACCCGTGAGCCAACCAGCAGCACCTTCCAGGAAACAGGCCCGGTGTCCATGGGCACAAACACAGTTAGCATGAGCCACACACCCACAAACGTGATCAAACCAAGTGGATATTTACAGCCCTGGGCTATCATCCTCATTTCCCTGGCTGCAGTTGTGGCTGCTGTTGGATTGTCAGTAGGACTGAGTTTTTGTCTGGTGAGTACCCAGGGTGGGTTCATAGGGGAGCCTGGCAAGAAGGCAGGGGGGAATCATGTCAGCAGTGCTTTGGAAAAATCCAGAATGAGAAAGGGGAGTAAGTTGGTGCGCTCAGAAGGAAAGAATCACCTAGCCTGATATAAGGACCAGAGAGAATGCTTAAGTCAGAGAAAGTGAGAAGCAAAGTAGAAAAAGAGGAGGGAAAAGATGGAGTTGGGGCCAAAGTGAAGGGAAATACTGACAGAACAAGGGAAATACTGAGAGAGAACAAGGAGGACATAAACATAAAGAAAGCAAGAAGCAGCTGGGCGCAGTGGCTCACCCCTGTAATTCCAGCACTTTGGAAGGCCAAGGAGGGCGGATCACTTGAGTCCAGGCATTTGAGACCAGCCTGGCCAACATGGTGAAACTTGTCTTTACTAAAAATACAAAAATTAGTCGAGAGTGGTAGCATGGACCTGTAGTCCCAGCTACTTTGGAGGCTGAGGCACGAGAATTGCTTGAACCTGGGAGATGGAGGTTGCAGTGAGCAGAGATCGTGCCACTGCACTCCAGCCTGAGTGACAGAGCAAGATCCTGTCTCGAAAGGAAGGAAGAAAGAAAAGAAAGGTAGGAAGGAAGGAAGGAGAGAGAGAGAGAAAAAGAGAAAGAATGAGGAAGAAAGGAAGAAAGCAAGAAAGAGAAAGAAAGGAAGAAAGAAAGAAAGAAACTGAGAGAGAAAGAGAAAGAAAAAAGAAAGAAGGAAAGAAAGAGAGAGAGAAATAGAGAAAAGAAAGAAGCATAAGAATGTTCAGCCATCCAAAATGCGGGCTTCCGATCGTCTCATGTATGACAAATTTCTGGTCCTCACAGCAATTCCTTGTGTGGCCTGTGACTGTTACTCTCTGACCTCCCACTCCATCTCTGCTCTCTGGTCTTGATTGTTCTTTGAATACATATTTTTCTTACATCGATTTCACATTTATTGATGTTCTTCCTGTTTTCTTGTGATCCTGCGGGTAAGTTACCATTTGAGGAGTGAAGCAGAGTATAAATCAGTGGTGTGCTGGAGCTGGCTCATCCTGGCCCACAAGAGATTGTGCAGTTCTTCCCAATTCTGAGCTGAGTGATGTGACACTGGTAGCTTAAAATATGCTGGGTTGGAAATACTTACACCACAGCAATTGTCAAACACTACAAATCAGCACTTTTCCCTCGGAGAGCCTGTTATTAAGTGTTGGACAGCATACCACTGGTAAAAATGGACAAAATGAAAAATACGGAAGTCACAAAAGATTTGGATAATATAGTCAATTTGCTGAGGTTCTTTGTTTTAGAATTCTCAGCCTCTCTCCGTATGTGGACTACATAATAAATACCAGCATCTAAGAATTACTCCCTAAATTACTTTATTATTTCATTTGCAAGATCAAGAGAGAATAACGAAAGTGAACATTGAGTTTTTACTGCCTGCTAGGCTCAAGGCTGAATGTTTAAAATGCATAATGTTATTTAATCTGGCCTACAATCCCGTGGCCATATTATATTCATCTTACAAGTAAGGGATCTGGAGCTTCATGATCTTAGCTATTTGCCCCAGCACATGTAGTGAGTGGCAGATATAAGACTCTAACTCAGGTTAGTTGGATTCTGGAGTTCATGCCTATAATCTCAAGGCTCTGTGTAGACAGCTTTCTAGAGCTCTCAATTCCACGTACCTGTTCTGAGCTTTCTTAGCTGACTAACAAAGAGAAAGACTGTCTGTAAAGTGAGTCTCTGTGCCTTTCACATAGGGGTATGGATTTACCTTTGTCTTGGAAGTCCAAAAACACATAACCTTATGATCTGCAGAGCTAGGGCCTGAGTACGCACATAAAGATGATATGTTAATAAGGTAACAAGGAAGCTTATTTTGTCAGACGGAGAAAGAGTAAAAGAACAAGGAAAAAGAGAGACAGAGACAGAGATCATAGTAAGGATGGTGGTAAAGAGAAGAGAACATGGGAAGTTTGGAAAAGTGAAAATCTGACATTGGTGAAACAGGCATGTATGGTGATTAGGGAGAGGAGACTTAATTTTCATTTATCAATGTATTTATTTTTTTCTTTTAGAGAAACCTTTTCTTCCCCCTGAGATATTGTGGTATTTATTACCCCCATGGCCACAGCCACAGCCTTGGTCTGGACCTGAACTTGGGCCTGGGCTCTGGGACATTCCACAGCCTGGGAAATGCACTGGTTCATGGAGGAGAACTTGAAATGGGACATGGAGGAACACACGGCTTTGGATATGGAGTGGGCCATGGACTGAGCCACATCCATGGAGATGGCTACGGAGTGAATCATGGCGGGCATTATGGACATGGAGGAGGCCACTGAGGACACCATGGAGTGGATCACAGAGGGAGCCACCAAGGAGGCCACGGCAGGACAAGATGGCTGTGGCCATAGATTGGGTATCAAAACATATTATGGGTGGGAGGGGGTCATGGAGGAGAAAAAAATAATGATCATGAAATAATTAAAATGGAGCATAGGAAGCTTCCCAGGATGTGATCCATGGAGATGGACATGGACTAGGTCAAGAAAAGAACCAGCAAAAGGACCTCAGAGACTTTGACTGGCTTGGAGGGGACTTCAAGTCAAAGCTTCTGTGAGTTTTTCCTGAGTCTCAGCCTCTGTTGTGGGGAGTCACGACAACCACCCTCAGGACATCTTCTCTCCCATTTCCCGCCACATCAGGGTCAACGTTTCTCATCCCTGTGTTTCCTCATGGTGCTATAAATATTACCAAGACATGTCTAAGAAACAAAAGCACATAATGAATGTATTATCAGGGCCACACACGTATTCGTTTTCCTGTTTGTTCTTTCAGGTTTTGTTTTTTTTTTTTTTTTTTGAGTGCTTATTATGTACCAATCACTATCCCAGGAGCCTTTAAATACGTCATCATTTGGCTGGGTGTGGTGGCTCACGCCTGTAATCCCAGCACTTTGGGAGGCCAATGCGGGTGGATCACTTGAGGTCAGGAGTTCGAGACCAGCCTGGCCAACATGGTGAAACCCCGTCTCTACTAAATAAATACAAAAATCAGCCAGGAGTGGTGGCGAGTGCCTATAATCCCAGCTACTCGGGATGCTGAGGCAGGAGAATCGGTTGAATCTGGGAGGTGGAGGTTGCAGTGAGCCGAGATTGTGCCACTGCACTCCAGCCTGGGCGACAGAGGAAGACTCTGTCTCAAAAAAAAAAAAAAGGTCATCATTTAATCCTCAGAAAATATCTTGGTGACCTTGAGGTAGGCAAAGATACTTAGATACTTAAGCAAGACACAAAAAGCACTAGCTATTAAAAGAAAGTGTGATGACTTGGACTTCATTAAAGCCTAGTATCAGCATATACCTTTAAGAGGTATATTCTTAACTATAAAAGGAAAGTCAAAGATGGGAGAAGATATTGCAACACATATAGCTAACAAACGACTCATATCCAGAATGCAGAAAGAGCTACAATAAGAAAAAGATGATGCAATTTTAAATTGGGCAAAATATTTGATAAATAGTTAGCAAAAGAGGATATCAAAACAGCCGGTGAACATTTGAAAAGGTACCCAATATCACTGCTTATCAGAAGTGGAATGTAAAACCGCAATGAGATACCACTACATACACACACTGTAATGACTAGCATTTGAAAGACTGCCAGTACCAAGTATTGGAAAGGACATTGAACAACTGGAACTCTCACACATTGTTAGTGGGAGTGTAAATTGATACAATTATCTTGGGAAAATGTTTGGCAATGCTAAAATTAAACACATACCCTATGACTCGGTACTTCCACTCCTGAGAGTAAATATCCAGCAGAAATGAATACCTGTGTCCACCAAAAGACATGTACCATGCCAGCTTCATTCATACCACTGCAGGGTGGAAATTTAACCCCAAAGTCCACTAACATTAGAACAGGTAAGTAAATTGTGACATATTCATGCAGTGGAATGCTACCCAGTAGTGAAAAAAAAAACCTATGAAATCACACAATAACATTAATGAATCTCATAGTCAGTGTTGAGTAAAAGAAGTCAAAACAAAAGTGTACCTACTGTATAATTCCATTCACATGCAGTTCAAGGCCATGTGACATTAACCTGTTGTAATAAAGGTCAGAGTTGAGGATGCCTTGGGAGAAAAGGCTGACCGGGAGAAGGCATGAGAAAGCCTTCTTGCAGGGGCAGACAGGGGAAGCTGAGAATGTTCTGTGTATGATCTGGGTGGTGATTACAAGGGTGTATAGATATGTAAAACTTCATTAAAATGTGCACATGAGATCTGTGCACTTTATGGTATGTAAGTTATGTCTCAATTTGAAAAATGAAAAAGATATTCTGAGGCTATTTTCTCAGCATATTATGATTTCCTTGGTCAGAGAATGTGGTTGGAGACACATGACGATAAATGAGGCATTTGGTAAGCCCAAAGACAGTGGTGCTGCAGGAAGCATTGTGTGCAAGGGAGGCAAGCAGCTATTTTCAATGAGGACAAATCACCTCTCTCTTTAGGTTGAAATAGGTCTGATATAATTAATCTGCCATTCTCTCTGGAGAATGGTGCCACATAACGGGGCCAACACTGATCTCTGCTGTTAGCAGTTGAGGCACTCAGCCATGGATTATCTGTCCAGCTTGGCCTTGGTGAGGGGAAGGCCAGCTCACTGAGCCTTGCATACGCTTCATCCCTGCCAGCCTGTCTGCTTTGTCCATGTCCCTGCTGAGCGAGCACTAGAGCAGCTGGAAAAAGAGATTGACTGACGTCTGCAGAATGGATCGCTTGGTCAACCTCATCATGGAAGATTTCCTCTGTAGTGAACGCCCATTGGTGAACAGTCACATGGGATGCACATACTCTCACCATCTGTGCCCTTCCCAAGAGACTCGTCCACCTTCCTCTTTCCCAGACTTCCTTGTCATCAATTCACCATGTCTTTCCTCACCCTGAGTTATCTAGCCAAACTGTTAGCCACTGCCTATTGATCAGGGTTAACTGTAACTGGTCATCTCTTTGCCCAGGCAAAGTAAACAAAGCAGATGCATTCTTTACAATTCGGATCACTGGGAGAATTTTCCTTCCCCACTGTCCTGCAGGGCTGCCGTGAGTGGGGTGGTAATGCTGCAGCAGCCTGCTCTCTGTGGTGTTAGAATAGCATGCAGAACCACCCACACACCAGAGGAAACCAAATCTTTCCTTTCTCAGTCAACTAGACATAGGAAACCCTTCATGTGACTGTGATTATGGAGAGAGAGGTTAGGAATGTAGCTGGAGATGCCACTGGAGTTACAGCTGCCTACTCATGCCTCTTACTTGTGCCTTGAGGAACTAACTCAGCCAAATTCACAGGCACCACTTCCATTCAAGGAGGTGAGCACTGCTAAGTATGCCCAGTCTAGTGTGGTGGTGCAGACAACACCCAGTTCATAAAGGGCAGCTCATGTTTCATGAACCCTCGCATGCTGAGGACCCAAGATTAAGTCAGATGCTAGGATGTGGAAGAGGGCTTGCTTTTGCTCCAAAACTCTGGGGACCTGTGCCGTGGCTCTTCTACTAGCTACCCAGTGTCTCCACACAGCTTTCTGATGTACCACAGACATTTTAGGCAACATTGGATCTAGTCAGCAATGTCTCAAGCAGCCTTATGGCCTTGCTTTGGTTCCCACTTGAAAGTGGGGAAATATGCGCAGACGGAGCCTAGAGATGAACTTCGAGTAAGATGTTATTTATGTTCTTTTTTTTTTGAGATGGAGTCTTGCTCTGTCGCCCAGGCTGGAATAGTGGCACGATCTTGGCTCACTGCAACCTCCGCCTCCCGCCTCCCGGGTTCAAGCGATTCTCCTGTCTCAACCTCTCGAGTAGGTGGGACTACAGGCGCCTGCCACCATGCCTGGCTAATTTTCGTATCTTTAGTAGAGCCAGGTTTTTACCTTGTTGGTCAGGCTGGTCTCAAACTTCTGACCTCAAGTAATCCACCTGCCTTGGCCCCACAAAGTGCTAGGATTGCCGGCATGAACCACTGTGCCCGGCCACGTCATTTATGTTCTAAGCCCCATAAGCTCCACCCTGACTTGTAGATCGCAATGATGTCTTGTATGTTACCCTAAAGGTTTGGGTGTTTTCATTTCCCCATTGCACTGTCACGATGATAAATGGCTGAGATTCCTTTTGAAAGCTAGGAGGAAGATTCGCGGCACATCCTGGTGGTGGTGGTGGATCTTGCTGCCTTCCCTTCATTTCTAGGTCTGTGAACAGGTTCGGGCCTGGGAATTAGGTGAGAGTCTGTGGCAACTCAAGTCAGCTCTCTGTTCAACCACCTGGATATTTTCACTTATATAGATCAAGTAAGATTTTAGTGGTTAATTGATTAATGATTAATTAGCCATAGCCAAAGAGCCCTGATTACAGCTCTGGTCGTGATGCCCACATCGATAATCATGCCTGTCTTGTCTCTGGAGGGAAAGCCCTACCACCCACCTACTGTTTCCTGAAGATTCCACCATGCCCACTGAAATCAGGAAGCTCATTTCAATGGTCAGATCATCCACCATTGCATTTAGCAAAGAGCTGCTACAGAGCTTTTCAACGATGCTGGTCCTCTCCCTTCTAATGCCTTGATGAAGACAGTTTCAATGGAACCTTCTGGGAGGACGTAATGAAAGAGTGAGTGAGCAAGTTGCACATATTAAATCCATTCCAACATAACTCTCTTCCTAAGTCTTTTGATTTTTTTCTTCCGCTTATACTAATGAAATACTGGGATCTCAACTTTATTTAGTGTAGGCCACCACTAAGTCCACATTTCAAGCAACCGAGAGAACTATTAGTGCAACTCACACCTACTTGAGCTAATGTTTTGAATCTAGAACATGTGATAAGTTCACCCATGTATTTGTTTTCTATCAGTGATAACTTACTACAAATGCAGCAGCTTAAACCAACACCCATTTATCAGACCACAGTTCTATGAGGCGGGTCTGGGGCCAGCATGACTGACTCCTTTGCTCAGTCTCACAGGTTAAAATGAAGGTGTTAGTTGAGCTGCATCCTCATCTGGAGGCTGGCATCTCTTTCAAGCTCACGTGGTTGTGGCAGAGTCCAGTTCCTTGTGTTTAGAGTTGAGGCCCCTGTTTCCTTGCTCACTGTCATCTATGGTTGTTTTCAGCCCCTAGATCTGACTCAACGCATGGAGCTGGAGGCCACGAGGGGTATTGTAATAGGGCCTGTGGTAGGCAGAATAACAGCCCCTCAAAAACATCCACGTTTCAATTCCCAGAACCTGGAAATATGTTACTTTATATGGCAAAAGGGACTCTGCATGCATGATCGCATTAAGGATCTTGTAATGGGGAGATTATCCTGGATTATCTGTATGGGCCCAATGTGATCACAAAGGTCCTTATAAGAGGGAGATGAGAGGCCGGGCGCAGTGACTCACACCTGTAATCTCAGCACTTAGGGAGGCTGAGGAGGGTAGATCACGAGATCAGGAGTTCGAGACCAGCCTGGTCAAGATGATGAAACCCTGTCTCTACTAAAAATACAAAATGTAGCCGGGTGTAGTGGTGGGTGCCTGTAATCCCAGCCACTCAGGGGGCTGAGGCAGGAGAATGGCTTGAACCCAGGAGGTGGAGGTTGCAGTGAGCCAAGATTGCGCCCCTGCACTCTAGCCTGGGCAACAGGGCAAGACTCAATCTCAAAAAAAAAAAAAAAAAAAGAGGGAGACAGGAGTCAGAGTCAGAGAGATTTGAAGATGCTGCGATGCAAGCTTTGAAGATGGAAGAAGGGGCCACAAACCAAGGAGTGCTGGAAGCCTCTAGCGGTGGAAAAGGTGAGTAAACAGATTCTTCTCTAGAGCCTCCAGAAGGACCACAGACCAGCTGACACCTTGACTTTAGCCCAGTAAAACCTATTTTAAACTTCCGATCTCCAGAACTGCAAGATAATATATCTGTGCTATCTTCAGCCTGAATTTGTGGTAATTTGTCATGCAGCAATAAGAAACTAATACAGGGCCTGAGGAAAATCTGTGTCCCCTTGCCAAGGGAGTGCTGTGAGGGCGTCACTATAGGGTCTTCAGGCAAGAGAAAGTGACTTCCTCACAGAGGGGAGGAGGGGCTACTTCTGCTGGCAAGGAAAGCTCTGCGGGATTTGGAGGTTCAAAGTTTTTCAGACTCATCAAAATCTACCCAGGTGTCTCCACTCCAATTCTGGGCTTCCGTTAACAAATATTCCAAATGTCACACACGAGACTGGCAAAGATATAAATGCAAGTTGAATATAATTCTCCAATCTGCAGAATCAAACTGTGGGTCTGGTTTTTTCATACATAGTCCCTGTGGCTTTGAGAGATAAGCATGTCTTTTAGAATATTCAGAGAAAGCTCTGTGTTCGCTGGCAATGCCTTGACTGAGGATGCAGCAGAGGGGTCATTTTTTTTCTGTAATCTCCCAGTGCAGCCACCCACAGTCCCGGCAGTCAACACTCCCAGCTTCACGATCTGTCACAGCGACCACCTGGGCTCCCGGCCCTTCCCTTCAACAATTGCTTTATTCCAGGCACCACCACAGGTGATAACTTAAGTCACTTTTTCTATCTTTTGCTGTGTAATACAAAGACTTCATTTTATACTAGCATGAGGTCGCCCCTGCCCTCAAGCCTAATGGGTCAGGGAACCAATCCCAGATTGCCACCTTTGAACGTCAATTTTCTGAAACCTCTTGTTATACCAAATACTGTAACAGTCAGAGTTCACTTATGAAAACAGAAACCACTTTGGATATTTCAAGCATAAAAGGATTTAGTACAAGAAGTAGGTGCTTATAAAACCGCTCGAAAAGGTGGAGGAGTGAAAGTCAGGATGACAGCCAATAGCTTTCAGGTTCACTGCCACCGAGAGCAGAGATCTGCGGTCACCGGAGGCAGGGACGTGCAGGCAACTGCTGAGGCTCCTCCACTCCTCCACAGCCCCACAGTGTGCCAGAGGCAGGGAAATGCGGAGGCCACCGCAAAATCCTCCCCCAGGAAGCCATGCACGCATGCAGCCATTACTGCCACAGAACTGAGTCTCATGAGAGTTTGTTTCACTGGAGGAAGGTAAAATGTGCCTGGAGCCTCCTGGCAAGGGAGCCTGGAAAAGGTAGTTCCCAGGATCGGGGTCCCTGCCATCCAGGGGAGAGAGTGGAAACACGTTAAATGTGCTAAGTGCACATTAAGCTTGGCAGTCTGGAGGGCTGCAGTGGAACTGGAGATCGGAGATGAAAACTAGGAAGAGAAAGCAGACGACCTGTCTAGATGTCTGAAAGCGATCTGAATTAGGACATGCTAAAATTAAAGGACAGGGCAGAGAGAATCTGGAGTTCAGGCAATTCCTAAATAGGACTCCACCTTTCTTTTCTTTTTTTTTTTTCCCTAGGTTAGACTAATACAATTCCAAAATTACTCTGTGTCTTTGTGATTTTTCTGTTTGTATGCAACTGTTTGCATCCTAACATTTCTAATACTGAGGTAAATTAATCTGTCATTCTCTAAACAAGACAGAAGTTCTAAGCTCTTAGCCTCTGCATCCTGTCCCTTCACGGTTGTCAGCACTGACCCTCCAAACATGTATCAAAATACGATCTCTTTCAGTCAGCTTTGCCTGGAGAACCTGCTTCTAACTTACTCATTCTAATGGAATGTCCCTTCTGATAAATATTGCGTCTGTTTTATTTTAAACTTAACCTGGCTGAACCTTTGCTGCTTCTGTGGAAGCTCCAGAATTTCTCTGGGGGAGGGGTTTAGGTACATGCAATATTTTCAAGGGGGCAGCTGGGACCAATGTTTGTAATTGATGCCTTCTTTTTATAGTGATTAAGAACATGGCAGGCCGGGCACAGTGACTCACGCCTGTCATCCCAGCACTTTGAGAGGCCAAGGCAGGTGGATCACCTGAGTTCAGGAGTTCGAGACCAGCCTGACCAACAAAGTGAAACCCCATCTCTACTAAAAATACAAAAATTAGCTGGGTGTGGCGGCATGCACCTGTAATCCCAGCTACTCAGGAGACTGAGGCAGGAGAATAGCTTGAACCTGGGCAGCAGAGATTGCAGTGAGCCGAGATCATGCCACTGCACTCCAGCCTGGGTGACGGAGCGAGACTCCATCTCAAAAAAAAAGAAAGAACGTGGCACAGGAGTCAGACTGCCTGAGTATGAATCCTGATTCTGCCACTTGTTAGCTTTACAAGTCTGGGCAAGATGAACTGAGGCATCTTAAATTTGTAAAACAGAGATTGTGGCACCTAAGCATAGAGTAATATAAATACTAAATAAACTAATATCTGTAAAACACTTTGAATAATGTCTGGCACATGGAATACTCAATAAAAGCTAACTATTATTAGGTATCATTAGATTGTTCATTTGTGGATATCTTACAAAGGAGGGAAGGAAATACTTTTTAGGGGTCTTTTATAAAAGCTGTATTTGTATAGCAACCATATTGTTTCAAATTAGGTTTTATGTATATTCAGGTGGCTTTGAAGGGGCCAGATGGAGATTGGAGGAGGTAGGGCAAATCCCTTTTTAGCCCCTCCAAGTGCTGCTGTCCTTTCCCAAAAATGTTGTATCAGGGCCATTTAAACATTTTTGTAGATATAAGTAATTAGGATCATATTGTTAGAACATACTCCAATATATTTTCCCCTCTAGATAATTTGACGTTTTTCTCCTGCAACTTTTCCAAATTCAAACTTAGCCAAAAGCTGGAAGGAAATGATTTGATGCTTAAGAAGTCCCCTGGTGGCCAGGTGCAGTGGCTCACACCTGTAATCCCAGCACTTTGGGAGGCTGAGGCAGGAGGATTACTTGAGCCCAGGAGTTTGAGACCAGCATGAACAACATAGTGAAAACCCAGCTCTACAAAAGAGTACAAAAATTAGCCAAGCGTGGTGACACATGCCTATAGTCCCAGCTACTTGGGAGGCTGAGGTAAGAGGATCACTTGAGCCTGGGAGGTTGCAGTGAGTCAAGATTGTGCCACTGCACTCCAGCCTGGGCAACAGAGCAAGACCCTGTCTCAAAAAAACAGAAAACAGGCCGGGCACGGTGGCTCGCGCCTGTAATCCCAGCACTTTGGGAGGCTGAGGCGGGTGGATCACAAGGTCAGGAGATCGAGACCATCCTGGCTAACACAGTGAAACCCTGTCTCTACTAAAAATACAAAACAATTAGCAGGGCGTGGTGGCGGGCGCCTGTAGTCCCAGCTACTCGGGAGGCTGAGGCAGGAGAATGGCGTGAACCTGGGAAGCGGAGCTTGTAGTGAGCCGAGATCGCGCCACTGCACTCCAGCCTGGGTGACAGAGCGAGACTCAGTCTCAAACAAACAAACAGACAAACAAAACAGAAAACAAAAAAACTCTCATGGAGTCTAGCCCCAGGTTTTTTTCATGACCTGCGAATGAAGGAACTGGAAGCCAATTACCCCGTTCCCATCTTTGTTTTCTGCCGCTCCTTCAGTTGTCTTTGGGCTCTCTCTGTTGGCCTCAGCCAGAGTTGAAGCAAGCTTGGACTGTAAGCTCTCAGTCCCCAGGCAAACTGACAGTGTCCAAAGTGTAGGTACTTCCTTGATCATCTGGCTTGTCTGGCACACAGCACTGATGAGAAGACCTAGCTGAAGCTCCCCGGTGGAAAAGCTTCTATAAATTCTTCAAAAACAAAAGGGGAGCGCCTCTATCAAGGAGGATTAGAAGCAGGAGCATTCCTCTTTCCAGTGCCATCACTCTCCTTAGGTCCCCTGCAGCGTGTGTGCTGGTAAATGTTTAACAACTCACTTCTCGTGGCGCAAATGCACCCGCCAGAGCTGACTGCGTGTGACCAGCGTGAATCACTGTGTATAGAATGGGAAGCGATGGGCGGCACACCATTCCATACCATTCCCACCAGGCAGATGTGATAGGCGTACGTAACTCCGTGCGCAGAGATAATAGTAAAATGTGGTAAAGCAATTAGAAAGTAATGAGTTTGGAACATTTTTACCTTTGTTTTAAATATAATTTAGTTCACTGTAAGTTAATACACGTTAATTTTTAATGATGGCTGTGTTGCCAAAAATCCTGAAAATTCAGCAATGAGCTCTAGCACACAGGCATGCACTGACCCAGTACACCATTGGTTCCATCTCCTCAACAGCTCACACCACCACCCCCAACTCTCCCACCCCCAGCTCCCACGCTGCGGAGACCCCAGAGTCTATTTCCCTCCCCCGGGTCTCTCTTCCCCACCTCATTCAAGGTATGCTTTGCAGGCTTACTAATTATTCAGCAATGCCCAGAGGTCCAGTCTCCAGTGCCTATTCACAGGGATCTCACTTCCTGTGCCCTACCTGCTAAGCTCTGTTTGCAGGGGCTTCCTTCTCACACACCTGCTCCTGCCCAGCTATACTGGGTTCTCAGGACTTCTTGTCCAGGAAAGGAGGCCTCCAACTAGAGCAGGTTTTCTGCCCCATCCCTGCCTCAGAGGGTGGAGCCCCTCCACTTTGACAGCCTTGATCCCCTTGAACTATTCCACTTCCCACTCCTCCCCAGGCCCTTCCTAATGGGACTAAGTCATCCTCCACCCTCACCTACCTTCTGGCTGCTGTACCCTCCTCTCTAAGCTTGGGGATTCTGCCACTGCTCACAGCTGGAAGAACAACAGCCTACATGTCCAGGCCTTGCCCAGTCCAGATGATGCTTTAAAGGCCTTCTTCTTCTTCCTTTTTTTTTTTTTTTTTTTTTTTGAGATGGAGTCTCACTCTGTTGCCCAGGCTGGAGTGCAATGGCGTGGTCTCAGCTCACTGCAACCTCTGCCTCCTGGGCTCAAGCGATTCTCCCGCCTCAGCCTCCCAAGCAACTGGGACTACAGGCATGTGCCACCACACCAAGCTAATTTTTGTATTTTTAGTAGTGATGGCGTTTCACTATGTTGGCCAGGCTGGTCTCGAACTACTGACCTCGTAATCTGCCTATCTTGGCCTCCCAAAGTTCTGGGATTACAGGCATGAGCCACTGTACCCGCCCTAAAGGCCTTCTTTGAAAGAGAAAAAGAAGAGGTGGCATTCTGTGAAGGAACATCAAGGACCAGACATCCAGCTTCCCCTGTAGCCCAGGTCCCCCTAGCGGTGCTTCTCTTCAGATTGAGGACCTATTCTTTGGAGTTCCGAATTCCTAGTAGTCCAGCCCTCAGATCTCCACCTTGAGACTCCACCCTCAAGATTCTCATTTTCTGCCTTTCCCTTCTAAGGCTTAATCCCATCGGGACTAAGGGAGGAGCCTTCCCTTCCAGCCTCACACAGGCAGACTATCTCAAAAGAAAGAGAAAGCAATTTTCCCTTGCATGCTGGCTGTTTCACTTCCTTCTACTTTTAGGAAATGGTGAGTGATTTTGTTTAAAAGAGAATAATCTTGGAGTTTGAGTAGAGTTTGGGGAAAATGTTGACAACTTCTGGGACACACACTCTGTCCTTGTTGCCCCCATTCTCTTCAAGGCAGGAGGGATGATTATTTTGCTTCTTTCTCTCCAATGCAACCCAGCATCTGTCCTCCGTTCTGTTCTCAGTGGCAACTCTTCTGCCCAGAAGATGGACCTATTTACTCTATAACACATCATTCCCAGATATAGGCGCATTAGAGTTGGAAGAGAACTTGAATTAGTGTCTGACCACCTGTAATAGGCAGGGATCTATTTCCAGCGTCTGTGACAGCAGTCATCTAGCCTCTAATTAAACACTTCATGAGACATTGCTGTTCCACACTCACGCAGATTTAATTCTCTCTAGAATCTGCCCCAGCATGGCTTTGACTCTTGTGTTTTATGCCCCAGACCAACACAAAACCAGTCTATTCCCTCTCCACAGGCCAGCTTTTCATCTCAACTTCTCACTTAGTTTCTCTCTTGGCTCTGACCCTAACCTAAGGCATCGACACACAGTTTTGGGATTCTTCCCTCAAATCTAAATTGGCAATCCTTATGTTAGTCCAGACAACACCAAGGCAAGAACATATGTGGAGGGTGAAGGGCAGCACCTACATCCAGGGAGAGAACAGGGCCATCGATGAGGAGAGGGTCTATAGGGATCTGGGAGGTCAAGGGCTTGGTTGTTAATGGGATGGAAAATCAGAACAGGGTAGAAAATAGGCATGACAGGGAAAGAAGCTCAGTCTCACCTTAACTCTAACTGATCCAACAAGAAAGCTGAGCCACTTTCCTGAATCCCAGAAGATCTTATTTCTTCAAGCTGACATGACTGATTCTTTACTAGTCCATGTGTCAAGACCATCTGGGGTCCCTTAAACCAGTGGCTCCCAAACAATTTTTTTTTTTTTTTGAGACAGAGTCTTGCTCCGTCGCCCAGGCTGGAGTGCAGTGGCGTGCTCTCAGCTCATTGCAACCTCCACCTTCCAGGCTCAAGCGATTCTCGTGCCTCAACCTCCCGAGTAGCTGGGATTACAGGCTTGCACCACCATGCTTGGCTAATTTTTTTGTATGTGTAGTAGAGACAGGGTTTCTCCATGTTGTCCAGGCTGGTCGAGACTCCTGGCCTCAAGTGATCCTCCTGCCTTGGCCTCCCAAAGTGCTGGGATTACAGGTGTGAGCCACTGCGCCCAGCCCCAAACTTTTGTGTTCAGAAGAATTACCCGATGTAGTAAAAATGCACATCATGGTCCCCTCCCAAACCGATTCCCCTTGATTATCTGCCCCCTAGAGGAAGGGCACAATACTGTTTGGAGAGGAGCTTGATGGGCCTTCAACTTTTCTCTTACGTTCTTTAGTCGGAGAGTATCATGAATAGTTAAAAGAATAACACCATCCCCTGTAAACCCTGGTCTTGTAACTCCCCCATACCTGGGATATGGAATAATGCATGGGTTAAGGGCTTTAGGGGCTAGCTCTGGGGTCAGACTGCCTTGATTTAAATCGTTGTTCCACTACCTACTAACTGTCTGACCTGGAACTAGCTGCTTAACTTCTTTAAACCTCAATTTACCTATCTATAAAATGGGGGTAATATTAGTTTCTATCTCAAGGAGGTATTGTAAGGATTTTAGTACTAATTTATATGTGGCACTTAGCACAGTGCCTGGAATATAGTGAGCATTCTTAAATGACAGCCACTATTATTATCACTAGTATTACTCATAGTAGCGGTAGCGGTGAACAAAACCAAATTTCCAGTGGAGCCAACCAGCCACCCTTTCTTAACCAGCTGTAACTTCCAGTGAAATCACCACGATCATCCCCCCAGATTAACCCCACCTTCCAGTGGAATCACTGTGACCACCCCTCCAGGATCAACCACATTATCCAGCAGAATCACCGTGACCACGCCCCCTGGACCAACCACACCTCCCAGTGGAATCACTACAACCCCCCTGCCCTGGGTCCACTATATCTTCCAGTGGAACTAACACAACAACTGCAACCTCCAGTGTCACCAGCACAAGTGCAGCCCCTCCAGGGAATGAGGGAAGGTCTAATGGATGCCTGAGGCTGTGGGAAGTCATCCTAGTCACTCTGGCCTTGGTTGCAATGGCTGTGATTCTCTTCACAGGGCTCTTTTATTTCATGAGTGCCTGATGTGTGGGAAATCCTTTTTCTGAGGGAGGGAGTGCAGGGAACTGAGGAGGGAAGCAGGGTAGAGAGAGTAGGGTCATTGTGTGGCTAATAGGGAATGAGAAATCAGGAGAGGGACAAAGCAAGACAGAGACAGCAGGTGAGAACCAGCAAGAGAGAGGGCTAGAAAAGCTGGTACATGTTCAGAGGAAATTGATGAGGAGAGAAGGGGCCAAAGGAGTACTGAGGCTGGGGAGGCCGAATGGGGAGTGGGGACACGTGGGATGGGAGAGCACTGGAAGAGGGGCATAACTCTGAACGATCCATCCTTTTGTTTTCTAGAGAAACTCTCTGTGCCTAAGAAACCTCTTCACCAAAGATCTTCACATCCCAAACCTTGGTCCATGTCCTCAAGGATATCATGGAGTCCAAGATGGGTCAAGTGAGACTGAAACGGATTTTAGAGACCAGTGTTCTCCCACAGGCATGGAGCTGATGAGGAGACACAGTATCCCTAAAGGCAGGCACTTCACTGTCCTCAGGGTGGGGAGGACCAGCGGTCTCGGTTTTCCTCACTTGCCCCCAGGGCTGCTCCTCCCAGCTCTGCTCCAGCCCCTGACACTCCTACCTTCTGTTTAGTTCTCCCAGA
Source organism: Homo sapiens (assembly GCF_000001405.40). Taxonomy (NCBI): domain Eukaryota; kingdom Metazoa; phylum Chordata; class Mammalia; order Primates; family Hominidae; genus Homo; species Homo sapiens. Next base: position 2,305,471 of record NT_167245.2, read on the forward strand.
CCTGAAACAGGAGGCTATCGCTAGTGCTGAATGATTAAATAAGTGCATCTGCTCTATGTGACAGCCAGACTGTGGGTGTGTGCTTGTATATTGCTGTGAAGAGAGGTTTCCTATATCATGAGGACACTCTTTCGCTGTGTACTCCCAGTTCTCAAATCCTAGCATGAAATCCAGAGACCTCACATCTGTCCCATTTTCTTCCCCACTCCTTCCCTGCTCCCCGAGGCCTCTGGGTCGATGGAAGAATGGAGTCAGGAGAGATGGGGGAAGGCAGGTGCTGGTCTTTACAGACGTGTGTTGCATGGCAGGAAAACAGCCTCTGCGTGAGCCTAGAACATGAACTGGAGGAAAGTGATCCTGTTTTCATGTTGTGAGGTAGGAAAGAGCTTGCTACTGGGGCCACCCTTAGACATGGCCACTTTTCCTGGCCACTCACGTCTGCTCTGGGCTGCAGGTGTGAGTTGCCACCTTTCTCTCCTGTGGGCTCCCAGCCCAGCAACTGTCCTGGGCAGGGAGAATGTGCTCCCAGTTTTTGCAAGGGCAGGACTGGCTTGCCCTGCTACGGTCTAGATCCTCAGCAGCTCCCCCAAAACCAGGCCTCAGAGGGCACACATGCCAGTGTCAGCACCATGCTCAGGCCTGGTCCCACCCAGGCTTCTGGTGCAACTTGCTCTCGCACACGCACCCCACTGATTCTTCCTCCCTGTGAATCACTCGCCTCTGCTTTATCAGTTTCACCCTCTGCTAAGTCTCTTCAGCTTCTGGGATTCTCCTGGGTCTTTGGGAGAGCCTTAACAGGACCAAGCTGTTTCTCTAAGAACATTTTACAATATGATGAACAAAACTGTTTTTAGGCTGGGTGCGGTGGCTCATGATGCCTGTAATCTTAGCATTTTGGGAGGCTGAGGCGGGCGGATCGCCTGAGGTCAGGAGTTCAAAACCAGCCCAGCCAACATGGCAAAACCCCGTCTCTACTAAAAATACAAAAATTAGCCGGGTGTGGTGGCACATGCCTGTAGTTTCAGCTACTCGGGAAGCTGAGGTGGGAGGATTGCTTGAACCTGGGAGGCGGAGGTTGCAGTGAGCAGAGATTGCGCTACTGCACTCCACTGTGGGCAACAGAGAAAGACTCTGTCTCCAAAACAAAACAAACAAAAAACATAACAACAACAACAAAATCTATTTTTAACAGATGCAAGAGAGTATCTACTGTACAATTTATTTGCATGAAATTCAACAATAGGCAAAACTAATCTATGGTGGCAGAGATCAGATCTCCTATGAGGGTGAGGGTTTTTAGGAAGGGAGCACTTTCTGGGTGATAGGAATGTTTTCTATATCAACTGGTCTGTTGGTTACACAGGTAAATACACTTGTCAAAACTCAGCTAACAGCTGGGTGTGGTGGCTGACGCTTGTAATTCCAGCACTTTGGGAGGCTGAGGTGAAAGGATTGCTTCAGCCCAAGAGTTTGAGACCAGCCTGGGCAACATGGCAAGACCTCATCTCTACAAAACATACAAATATTAGTCGGGTATAGTAATGCACACCTGTAGTTCTAGCTACTTGGGAGGCTGAGGTGGGATGATTGCTTGAGCCCAGGAGGTCAAGGCTGCAGTGAGCCGTGATGGTGCCACTGCACTCCAACCCGGGCAACAGAGTGAGACCCTGTCTCAAAAAAACAAAACAAAACAAGAAACCTCCACTAACTGAATTCTTAAGATCTGTGCATTTCACTTTTTGTAAATTTTACCTCAATAGGAAGAAAAAATGTATATTCGGGTTTTTTATTTTGGGATTTTTTAATTTTTATTTTTATATTAGGGTTTTAAAATAATACCTTGAAGATATTTATCAGTGTATCCATTATCTCCTCTTCAGTTTTAAGAGCCCCCAGACCTTTTCGTAAAATAATTATCATCTTTTGCACTCATTTTTTCATTCATTCATTCACCATATTTACTGGACACCTGCTTGGCATGAGGTCTCAAGGAGCTGGGGCAGCTAGGATGGCCCTGTAGGTCACAGTTGGGTGAGGGAGGTACATAAGTTACAGGCCAACGCATCAAGTAGTATGAATGGAAGCACCACAGGAGGAAACATCTAACTTGATGAGGGGAGGAGAGGCTGACTCACATAGAAGGTGACATTTGGATTTTGAGGAGTTAGCAGGCATTTACGAGGAGCAGAAGAGGAAATGCCAGGCAAGCAAGCAGCTTGTGCAAGACTGGGCATGGCACGGCCAGTGAAGGTCAGAAGACCTGTGGGGCTGGAGAGCACAGCAGAGGGAGCTGGGGCTGGGGGCTAATGCGTGGCTTTGAACACCACTCCAAGGAGGCCAGATTTCATCCTTTAACAGCACAAAGCCCACAGATCACTTTAAGGTGTAGTGGGACACAATTTTTTCCCCAATAAGAACACTTCAATCAGCTGAGTGAGTAGAAAATAGAGGCTGGAAACCAGCAAAAATGGTGTTGTAATGCCCCTGCAAAGAAAGAAGCAAATAGACAAATCTAAGACCACAAAACATGGAAATGGGAAAGAAGAAAAGAAGTGGAGGCTGGGCACAGTAGCTCATGCCTGTAATCCTAACACTTTGGGAGGCCAAAGTGGGAAAACTGTTTGAGCCCAGGAGTTTGAGACCAGCCTGGGCAACAGAGTGAGGTCCTGTCTCTACAAAAAGTTAAAAAGATTAGCCAGGTGTGGTGGTGCACACCTGTAGTCCCAGCTGAGGTGGGAGGATAACTTGAGCCCAGGGGGTCAAGCCTTCACTGAGCTGTGATTGTGCCACTCACTCCAGCCTGGGTAACAGAGTGAGACCCTGTCTCAAAAAAAAAAAAAAAAAAAAAAAACGAAAACGAGAAGAAATGTGAATTTCAAGAGATTTCTGCCTAGCACTTTTTTAAAAATCCCCAACTCCAGAATTTATGGTGACTTTTGTTAAAAGTCCTGTTTTAGGGAGGTCTTCATCTAACGAGCTCTAGGCAATTTTCTTAAAACTAATTCATCAAATGACTAATTCTTTGAATTTTTAAATTTTGTTTAAATCCTATTCAGTGTGATTCCCTCCTGCTGCAGGCTGGAGGCTGGGAGACAGAGGGAGACTGGGGAATGTCTTCTTGATTTATAGCATGTTTTCTAGTTAAGAAAATACTCAAGATAAATATATTTATTTATAACAATTTTCACATGAAAGACTTTATTCAAAAATATGTGCAAGAAAAAATTATTTATTCTTGACTCTGATGAATAATTGCAAATATGATTCCTATGAATAGTATATAAATTATATCTAAAACTATAAGGCTACAGACTATACGATTCCCTTCATATGACATTCTGAAAATGGCAAAATTATAGGGAAAGAAACAAGATCCATGTTGCCAGGGTTTGGGAAGTGGGAGAAGGGTTGGCTCTAAAGGAACGGCATGGGGGGAGATTGAGGAGGATGAAGGGATTCAGTGCGCCGAATATGTGACTCTACCATTTATCAAAATCCATAGAACTGTACACTACAAAAAGTGATTTTTAGGGTATGGAAATTCAGCAAATCAACCAGGATGTGGAGGGAAAGATGGAAAGCAGACTCTGACAAATGACTCATGTAAGCACAGTGAAACGGATGGAGAAGAAGGAGCTGGCCTAAGTAACTTTGAAAAACTGTTTTGAGTCAGGCATGGTGGCTCATGCCTGTAATCCTACCACTTTGGGAGGCCAAGGCAGGAGGCTTGTTTGAGTCCAGGAGCTTGAGATCAGCCTCAGCAACACAGCGAGAACCCCGCCTCTACAAAAAGTTAAAAAAATTAGCTGGGCATGATGGTGTGCCTGTAGTCCTAGCTGCTCAGGAGGCTAGGATGGAGGGATCGCTTGAGTCCAGGAGATCAAGGCTGCAGTGCTACTGCACCCCAGACTGGGTGACAGAGCAAGACCCTGTCTCAAATTTAAAAAAGAAAAAGAAAAGAAAAACTGTGTTTTGACCATAAAGCTAAAGACAAAAAAAAAAAAAAAATACAGAAACACTGTACTGTAGTTGGTAAATGTGTTTCTGGCAAGGGTATGAATTAGCAGTTCTGAAACCACTATTTGTTTATTAGGGTTGAAAAAATAAGTAAAAAAATATGTTTATAGACATTCGTAGCCATGTCAGAGAAAGGAGTTACAAATAAAGAAAAGGGAGAGACTAGAATGAACCCCATGTTGCTGGATTAAAGCTGGAGGTGTCAAAATGCACCCATGCTTGTGTTTAAAACACAGGTTGAGCAACCCTCATCTGAAAATCCAAAATGCTCCAAAATCCAAAACTTGCTGAGCACCAACATGACACCACAAGTCAACATACACAAACTTTGTTTCATGCACAAAATTATTTAAAATATCACGTAAAGTTACCTTCAGGCTACATGTATAAGATATATATAAAACATAAACAAATTTCATGTTTAGACTTGGGTCTCATCCACAAGATATCTCATTGTGTATATACAAATATTTCGAAATCCAAGAAATTGAAAATCCAAAACACTTACGGTCTCAAACATTTCAGATAAGGGATTCAATCTGTATATGCAGACAGGTAATTGCAGAAATAAATACAGACCTGTGTTTATGCATGAGTTAGTTTACATACATACGTTTCCTAGCTCTAACTTCCGTGGGGGCAAGAAGCAGTGACACCCACTATGAATGAGCACACCTAGTACCCAAATCTTGGTTTCTAAATATTATTCTCTAATACAAAGAGGAGCCAGAGCTCTGTGGAGAAATAGTTGATTCCAGGGCCTGGATGGACAAAATAAAAAATGAGCATGAAGCATCTTGTAATACCAGAATGCAAGAAAGTGTTTTAAAAAGGGATGGAGAGGGCCATGCACAGTGTCTCATGCCTGTAATCCCAGCACTTTGGGAGGCCCAGGCCCGGGGATCACCTGAGGTTCGTGAGTTGGAGACCAGCCTGACCAACTTGGAGAAAACTCTCCCTACTAAAATAATACAGAATTAGTTGGGCATGGTGGTGCATGCCTGTAATCCCAGCTACTTGGGAGGCTGAGGCAGGAGAATCACTTGAACCCAGGAAGCAGAGGTTGCAGTGAGCCGAGATTGCACCATTGCGCTCCAGTCTAGGCAACGAGAACGAAATTCCATCTCACACAAAAAAAACAAAAAAACAAAATACCACGGATGGAGAGGCTGGGCACAGTGGCTTGAGCCTGTAATCCCAGCACTTTGGGAGGCCAAGACAAGTGGATTGCTTGAGCCCAGGAGTTTAAGACCAGCCTGAGCAATATGACAAAACTTTGTCTCTACAAAAAAAAAAAAAAGTTAGCTGGGTGTGGTGGCGCACACCTGTTGTCCCAGCTACTTGGAAGGCTGTGGTGGGAGGATTAGTTGAGCTCAGGATACGGAGATTACAGTGAGCCAATATTGCACCACTGCACTCTAGCATGGGCAACAAAGTGAGACCCTGTCTCAAAAAACAAAACAAAATAGCAATGGAGATATCAGCTGGGTGTGCTGGTGCATGCCTGTAGTCCTAGCTACTTGTAGGAGGCTGAGGCAGGAGGATCCCTTGAGCCCAGGAGTTTGAGGCTGTATGATGATGCCACTGCAATTCAGCCTAGGAAACGCAGTGAAGTCTTGTCTCATAAATAAAACAAAACAAAAAAAGGATGGAGGACATTAAAACGGCACTGGAGCCCATCTGAAAGAGCTCCCAGTGGCCAAAGTTTGAGCAACAAAATAAATAGTGATAGTATTGGATCATAACTCACAGAACAAAATAAACATTTATGAGTCCATTCTGATATAAACAAATAGTTGAATAAATAAAATGGGGAGAGGGCACGACTTTTTCTTACAGAAGAATTTCAATTAATAAATGTAGAAGGAATCTAATCTATCACCATTAGGATTACACACCTGTAATCCCGGGTGCTCGGGAGGCTGAGGCAGGAGAATTACTTGAACCTGGGAGGGGAAGGTTGCTGTGGGCTGAGATCGTGCCATTGCACTCCAGCCTGGGCAGCAAGAGTGAAACTCTGTCTCAAAAAAATATATATAGTATTGTACCAACAATAACTTCTTAGCTTCTATAATTGTATATATAATCTCTCAGTTTCTATAATTGTACTATGTAAGATATTGACATGAGGAAAAGCTAGGGGAAAAATATACGGGAACTCTGTTAATTATTTTTGTAATTCTCTGTAAGTCTAAAATTATCTCAAAATGAAGTTTTAAAAATTCTAAAACAAAGCCAAACCAAAAAAATTCTATTGACCTGTACATGAAAAAGGGTGAATTTTATCATATGCAAATTATACCTCTTGACTTAGAAAATCAGATATTTTCCTTACTATACTCTTTTGAAATCTATTCATTAGTTATACTAAATACATACAAATTCTTTTGAGTGTGTTTAAATACTATGTTTGAAAATGTTGCTGGGTGATGTGGCTCACACCTGTAATCCCAGCACTTTGGGAGGCTGATGAGGGAGGATCTCTTGAGCTCAGGAGTTCGAGACCAGCCTGGGCAACATAGTGAGACCTTGTCTCTACTAAAAATAAAAAAACAATCAGCTGGGCATGGTGGTGCATGCATATAGTCCCAGCTACTCCGGAGGCTGAGGTGGAAGGATCACTTGAGCCTGGGAGATCGAGGCTGCAGTGAGCCGTGATAGCACCACTGCACTCCAACCTGGGCAATACAGCAAGACCCTGTCAAAAAGAAAGAAAGAGAGAGAAAGAGAAAGAGAAAGAAGGAAAGAAAGAAAGAAAGAAAGAAAGAAAGAAAGAAAGAAAGAAAGAAAGGAAGGAAGGAAGGAAAAGAGAAAATATTTAATACATTCAAATAATACTAGTAGTTAACATAGTCAGTTACATGTGGTAAACTAGCCATTCATTAAATTGATTTTCAGGAAATCAGCTGCCTTCTAAGAGAGGAACAATTCCCGGCCCACCTGCAATTTCACACTCCTCTTTTAGTTAGAAGGACACTGGGAAAGAGAGAGGCCCCACAAATGGTGAGAGACATCTCTGAATGAAGATGGGAACCAACAATGATCTTCTAAAGAGTGGGCAAGGCAGGGATAAGGGTCAGAGAAGGAGGAAAAGATGTGGGTATTCTCATTCAGGCCTGACCTCACCACAAGTGGACTAATTTTGTGCAGTGATATGGCTTGGCTCTGTCCCCACAGAAATCTCAACTTGAATTGTAGCTCCCACAATTCCCCTCATGCTGTGGGGAGTTTTTCTCTTTTCGCCAATCATCTTTCTCTTGCTATTCTCATGACTGTGAATAAGTCTCATGAGATTTGATGGGTTTATCAGGGGTTTCCGCTTTTGCTTCTTTCTCATTTTCTCTTGCCGCCACTGTGTAAGAAGTGCCTTTTGTCTCCCTCCGTGATTCTGAGGCCTCCCCAGCCATGTGGAACTGTAAGTCCAATTAAACCTCTTTTTCTTCCCAGTCTTGGGTATGTCTTTATCAGCAGCGTGAAAACAGACTAATACATGCAGTAATTGAGAAAGCTCACTGGGGTGAGGGCACTCGAGCAGGGGGAGCAAGGAGAGAGATCCGTGGGCTGGAGAGAAGCCAAGGAAGAGGATTTGGGTGGATGATTGAGCAAAGAGCGAGGTTTTAAGAGACAGAGAGATTGGGTGTTTTAGCCCCCTCGTGAGTGTTCCTCTCCTTCTGTTGGAGGACCTTCTCTTGGTCCTTACCAAATGTCCTCTACCCTCTGACACCCAGCTCTCCTCTTGCCAAGCATCATCCCCCAGGCAGGCCTGGCCTATGCCCTCCTTGGTCATCCTGACTTTACTGTGGCCACCTGTGGGAAGGAAGGCCGAGGCCCTCCCTGAGCACTGAAACACCGGGTGGAGGATGGTTTTCAACTAGGCTCCACATCAGAAAGCAGTGCACTCACGCTGACAGGCTTGATCCCCTGTGGCTGCTCGACTCTGGGCTCTGGTCCAAAGCTGAGAGCCCCCCTTCCCCTCATGACAGCCTCTTCTGCCCTGCCCGGCCACTCCTTTGAGTGACAGGGGGTAATTGAGAAGCTGCTCCTCCCTCCAGGAAGGAAGACCCGGAGCTCTGGCTTCCCTCGGCAAAGCACATATAAACCCACAGCCACTGCGGGTGGAAGGAGAAGGGCAGGGTGGAAAAAGTTTGAGAGAAGGAGGGAGGAAAAGGTGTCCTGGCTAGCACCATGTGGATTCTCTTGAGATGAGAAGAAAATGCCCCGCTACGTCCCCCTTCTGCTGCTCCTGCTTCTCCTGAGGTGTTCAGAACGGGGTGGAGGAGTTAATTTTGGTGAGAAGGATGCAAAAGTCCCCGGGACCTGGAGAGATGGAGTCAGGGTCCCTGGAGAAGGAGCCTCTTGGGACTCAGACAGGGCCAGTCCCGAGCGAAGGTACGGAATAGGTGAGTGAACCTTGGGAACTCCGGACCCTGTTATCTACCCTCAATCACCTGCCACAGGGAAGCAGGGACCCCAGCGTCTTTCTCATATCCCCTTTTAAGGAAATGCTCTGCTTTTGATTTTGTGCATTTTATTTAAGTTTCTTTGTTTCAACTTTCCTGGAGAAATGAAAAATTTGGCACTCCTCTAATCCCAGCGCTTTGGGAGGATGAGAAGGAGTGGGATCCCTTGAGCCCAGGAGTTTGAGACAAGCCTGGGCGACATAGTGAGACACCATCTCTACAAAAACCAAAAAAATCAGCCAGGCGTGGTAGCCCATGCCTGTAGTCTAATCTACTCGGGAGGCTGAGGTGGGAGGATCACTTGAGGCCAGGAGGCCAAGGCTGCATTGAGCCATGATTGTGCTACTGAACTCTAGCCTGAATCACAGAACAAGACCCTGTGTCAAAAGAGAGAAAGAAAAAGAGAAAGAAAAGAAAGAAACGGTCAGGTGCAGTGGCTCATGCCTGTAATCTTAGCACTTTGGGAGGCTGAGGCGGGTGGGTCATCTGAGGTCAGGTGTTTGAGACCAGCCTGGCCAGCATGGTGAAACCCAGTCTCTAGTAAAAATACAAAAATTAGCTGGGTCTGGTGGCGCACGCCTGTAATCCCAAATACTTGAGAAGCTGAGGCAGGAGAATCGCTTGAACCTGGGAGGTGGAGGTTGCAGTGAGTGGAGATCGCGCTATTGCATTCCAGCCTGGATGACAGAGGGAGACTCCGTCTCAAAGAAAAAAAAAAAAAAGAGAGAGAGAGAGGGAAAGGAAGGAAGGAAGGAAGGAAGGAAGACTTGAACCCTATTAGAAAAATGTGGAGCGTCAGCAGTAGGGAGGGATGACTAGATTTGGGCAGAGTACCAAAAGTTCAAAATTTATGCCATGTAAGCTACATGTATTCCTAAGAATAAGAATACTCCCAAGTCCTGACGGCTGCCTGGGGCAGTGAGGGCTGGAGACGAAGAGGACTCATCTCTTCTTTGTACTTATACCTGACTCAGTGTTGCCCTCAGTCCAACTAGATCACACCCACACCCCTCATGACTCCTCCCCTAAGCCTGCCCCCATACCACCTTGAATCTTCCCTGCCTCCAAGCCTACCACGTTAGCCCCAGATCTGACCCAGAAGCTGTCTCATGCTTTTTTTTTCCTTTTTTGAGATGGAGCACCTGGCCAGCTGTCTCATTTTAAATCATATACCAAGCATGACCTGAGTGTAATCTCTAACATGAATCACAGCTTCTGCCTCATTGGTTTGCCAGAACCGCAGGCACAAATGGATGAGAGGAGACACCTATGAACATGGAGCCAGAATACCCCAATTGCTGAAACACCAGTTCAGAGAGGAGTGAGCTTGAGAAAGAGTCAGGTTTAGTGTCCCACGGAAAGAGACCAGACCTGGAAAAGACAGAGTCAAAGCTGGGTGAGCAGGCCTTCGAAGGGCGTGGCTCAGCAAAGATAATCCATATTGTAGTGCAAGAGGATTCTTTGTGGAATATGTTTTACCAGAATTAAACCAAAAATGCCAAATGATCCCTAACTGGAATAAATCTCACCACATTACCTGGGGAGAGGTGTCATTTGGATGTGAGGATAGTTATGAAAATACTGAGCAGAGCAGATGAGGATAGGCCATCAACAATTCACATTAAATGAGATTACTTTTTAGTAGGACTAAGCCAAAGCATTTCCACTAAGCACCCAGAGACCAGCCCTAAAGACTCAAGAATAAGAGAAAATGATGTAACTGCAGATGGAAGGACCACTGAGGACCACATCACTGCAGACCCAGGGACCACCGAGGACTCTGTCACTGCAGACCCAGGGACCACTGAGGACAATGTGACTGTGGACCCAGGGACCACCGAGGGCTCTGTCACTGCAGACCCAGCGACCACCAAGGACTATGTGTCTGCAGACCCAGGGACCACCAAGGATTCTGTCACTGCAGACCCAGGGACCACTCACTGAGAACTTTGTCACTGCAGACCCAGGGACCACCAAGGACTCCATCACTGCAGACCCAAGGACCACAGAGGACTCCGTCACTGCAGACCCAGGGACCACCAAACACTCCATCACTGTAGACCCAGGGACCACTGAGGACTCTGTCACTGCAGACCCAGGGACCACCAAACACTCCATCACTGCAGACCCAGGGACCACCGAGGACTCCGTCACTGCAGACCCAGGGACCACAGAAGATGAAACCACTAAACATGGTGACACTCACCTTCTGTGAACTACTTCAGTCACAGCAGTGAAACCCACCAGGCTCCTGACACCCATGGGAATTATCCTCATATCCCTGGCTGCAACCACAGTCACTGTTGTGCTCTTTGTTGGATTGGGCTTCATTGTGGTGAGTATTTGGTCTGGGAATATTCAGGGCATCAGGGGAACGAGGCCAACTGAGGATAAGCGGTGGGCATGGAGAGCTGAGGTACAGAGGCCCAAGAAATCGTCAGGCGTGAGGAAGCCTACATAGAGAGAGCTCTGCAAAGACTCCTGGAAAGACAGAGGTGGAGAGAAAGGAAAAGAGCACCTGGCACAAAAGATGCAGAAAGCATTGGGGACAGAGGAAGCTGTGAGAGACAGGAAGGAGAGAAAGGGAAGAGAGGCTGAGAGTGAGAAACATAAGAACACAAACATGGTAAGACACAGCGGGAGTCAGGGCAAAGCATGAACCGTTAGGTACAGATGGATGTAAAAGAGGAAATTTTCCTAAGAAGACAAGGAACTGGGGACCAGAGGAGTGGATGAATTAGAAACATTCTGGGTGGTCCACTCATATCAGAAATTACATATTCTTGTGTTAATTACTACCTACTCTGAAGTTCTGAAGAAGATTTTTTTAAAACCAAAATTGAGTGGGTTTTTATGAGCCACCACTACCCTGCACCAAAGAGACAGTTTGTACCAGCTCTCAAAGAGGAGCTCTGGGTATTTTTCTGTCTCTGAGGGTCCCTGTTGTTTCTACAAGAGGAGACAAAAGAATTCCATGCCAGCCCTGCATGTTTCATCTCACCAAACTCCCAGCTGGAATCATCCCAAAAGCAGCAGCAGGGAAATTCCCACAGGGAGTGGCCCAAACCCTCCAGAGATGGGGCCAATTGGGATTCCAAAGAAAGAAGCCCAGATGTCAGGGTGATCAATTCAAAGCATTTATTAGGGGAACTTACAGAGGACTGCAGCAATCCTCCCTGCCGACAGGGAGGGAAAAGGGATGTTCTGCCTAAGCATGTCTGTAGCAAGGGGGTCAGGGTATGGAGTTTATATGAGGGTTTAGGGAATTTGACTCAGGGCTGGAGCCAGTTTCTTTCAACGTTTTGGGCAACAACCTAGATACCTTTATTAGTGCCTGGGAGTGTTCAAGGCCCTGGTTTGAGTTCAAGCCTGCTGGGGAAAACCTGCAGCTGGCTGGGTCACAGAACGGTCAAGGCAATCTGTGATTTTTGGTCAGTCTGATCAGAAAGAAAAGGAGGTGATCTGGGGGACCCCACATTGTGGCTTCCTCTCGCTAACATTTGATCTAAAACCCAAGCCTCCTGCTTCTGGCCTGCTGCTTGAGGGGGAAGGGCTGGTCCTTTTTGGCCATCCTGACCTACGGATTAAGTGCATGTCGAAATTTTAACAAGTGGCGGCTTGCAGGATTAGCCAACTCGGGCAGGTCATTAAAGCCTCGTTAATTCTTGCGGTCATTGATGCCATTGTGCACTGACCCCTGCTCCAAGATGCAAATCCACAGCTTTGGATCAGTTTGTAAGTGTGAGTAAAGCCGAAAGTAATGCATGATACAGATGAGGTGTTCACATTTAATTCTGCTAAAATGACACCATGAAACTAGAGCATTCTGAAGGATGCTGACAAGAGGAAAATGGAATGAAAGCGTCCATATGTACCTGACTCATGCATGAGTCATGTTCAGTATTCACCAGTAGAGGGAGGACCTTCTGGACTTCGCTGTTACCATAAACAATTGGATTTCTGATCATGTGGATCACCATGAAAAGTTGGACACTCTTGCTCTAGAACAAAAGATGCTTTCCTTCCTCCAAACCAGGCATTGGCCCAGAGAGGTCACTAGCATTAGCACCTTCTTAATTTCATGTAGAGACTAAAAACAAGAGATGGCTCAAAAGGCTCAGGGTGTGGGAAGTAAGAGGAAAGTCTATGCTCCCAAACTTGCTAAATTTTTGACTTTTAAACCTTTAACTCGAAAAGTTTTAAAAATAAGAACTATATTACCATTCCTCCCAAGTTTCATTTGTCAAAATGCTTTTTTCTTTAAACTTTAATGGTTTAAGTTTTTTTTAAGTTGTTTTAAAAAAAACAAAAAAGGTTTAAGTTTTTTTTGGCAGGGTGCGGTGGCTCACGCCTGTAATCCCAGCACTTTGGGAGGCCGAGGTGGGTGGATCACGAGGTCAGGACTTTAAGGCCAGCCTGGCCAATATGGTGAAACCCCATCTCTACTAAAACTACAAAAAAGTTAGCCAGCCATAGTGGTGGGCACCTGTAATCCCAGCTACTTGAGAGACTGAGGCAGAGAATTGCTTGAACCCGGGAGGCAGAGGTTGCAGTGAGCTGAGATCGTGCCATTGCACTCCAGCGTGGGCAACAGAGCGAGACTCCATCTAAAAAAAAAAAAAAACAAAAGGCTTTTTTTTCCCCCTAAATGTCGTCCACATTTTTGGCAAGTATTGATCTCTAGTAGTCAGTGTCAGGATCTGAAGAAAACAGTGACATCTAGCAGACTCCCAGAGCCAGGGAAACAGGCTGGGCAGAAGTGATAAATTACAAACCACCAGGGTTAAGAGAAGAACAGAGTGTTAAAACCAAACCATTTTCTTCCTCCCTAGAAAGAGTGTTTCCTGCCTCCATTAAATCCATCCACCAGGGTTATTTATCATCCCCATGTCATGGACTACAGTACACCATAAAGAGGACCCCAGCAGTGACTACAGTTGGTTCTAGAAAAAGGAGACCCCTCATCCGCCTCTGCAAGACTATGCAGCATGATGTGTATCCTCAGGCCTCCACTCCTCCGCCCTAGTCTGGAGCCCTGGGACCACCACATGAGGAAGGCAGCTGGCCCCTGGAATAAGCATGTGGAGGACACTCAGAAGGATGCCCATCTGCTCTGAGTGTCTCCTAATTCTGCCTGACCTTGGTTACTTCCTCTGGACAATCGCCTTTACCTATCTACCAGGTTTTGAGGAATTACACACAGCTCAGGTATAAGAGATATTCGGTAAGTCTGATCAAATCAATAAAGCAAATTTTATCTGTTTTTGTCTGGGACATATCTCTACATTCATTCATTTAACCAAAAAAAAAAAAAATGTTTTTTTTGAGACGAAGTTTTGCTCTTTTGCCCCGGCTGGAGTGAAGTGGCGCGATCTCAGCTCACTGCAACCTCTGCCCCCCAGGTTCAAGTGATTCTCCTGCCTCAGCCTCCCTAGTAGCTGGGATTACAGGCGCATGCCACCACGCCTGGCTAATTTTTGTATTTATAGTAGAGACAAGGGTTTCACCATGTTGGCCAGGCTGGTCCCGAACTCTTGACCTCAGGTGATCCACCCGCCTTGGCCTCCCAAAGTGCTAGGATTACAGGCATGAGCCACCGCACCTGGCCTTAACAAAATATTTATTCAGTGCCTAGCATGAGCTCAACACTCTACGTCTCCCAGTCTGTCTATCTCAGTCTACCTGTAAGCTGAAGGATACAACTTATCTCTTAAGAGGACTATGCCCGCGTTCTCCTACCACCCAGGCCAAAGGGTCACATTTACAGGATGTAGTCAACTGGTCATTCAGCAAGTATGTATGAGCACCTGTGTGGGACTGGCCACCGTAGCAAATAAATGAGTCTCATCTTAGTCAATCGCGGTGTGAAATGAGGACACGAAGTCCAGACCTAACCTCTAAGAGAAAAGCCCTGCCTGATAGAAGAAGAGATTTGTCCTTACTTAATGCAAATGCACCATATTCATGCACCTATGAATGATGGCTAAGACCACAGACAAGGCCGGGGCATTGGATATAACAGCTCTGTGAGGAGCTCAGGACAAAAACCAAAGAATCAAAGATATGTGAAGACAGTTGATTATTGTTTGCTCACTACTGATGCCACTATGAGCAGCATCACCACCAGTGTTAAATAATGGAATTGTAGTATTATGATACAGAGTCGGAAACACGGAATAATAAATTAAAATACTAAAGTGAAAAAATTGGATTGATTAAATAAATATTAAACCAATATTTCTCAGACTTATGTGATAAACACCTTTAAAGGAAAAGATACATATATATTTTTGAGACAGAGTCTCATTCTGTTGCCCAGGTTGGAGTCCAGTGGTGCGATCTTGGCTCACTGCAACCTCCACTTCCTGGGTTCAAGCGATTCTCCTTCCTCAGCCTCCGAGTAGCTGGGATTACAGGCGTGCACCACCATGCCTGGCTAATTTTTGTATTTTTAGTAGAGATGGAGTTTCACCATGTTGCCCAGGCTGGTCTTGAACTCCTGACCTCAGGTGATCCACCCGCCTTGGCCTCCCAAAGTGCTGGGATTACAGTGTGGGCCACCGTGCCTGGCTGGAAAAGAGATTTTTTGAGAACTCGCCATGTTGGCTTAAACGTAAATATATATGAAACAGAAAATGAAGTATAAACTCCTTATGCTTATAGCTCTACTGTTCCAATAACGTTAGAAGTAACAGCAGTAGTTTAATGTAATGCATGATATTTCTTTACTGAAGAATTCTTCGCTCCAACATTAATATTGTAGTGATTGCTACAGCCTAGTTTCTCAAATCTCATTTGCCACTTGATGTTTTCCTTCTTTCATGGATCGTCTCTGTACAAGCTCTCTCAAGACCTTCAGTCTCTCAGTCAGCTGCGGGATTATTGGGCCCTTAATGCAAATGCACCGTTTAAATTTTAAGACAGTTCTCGTTCTACTCTTGTTAGGCTGTGCAATTGTAAAGACTAATCATTTCTATTAGCTTTATGTTGGTTTTATATTGGTCATCAATAGAATCCAGGAAATGCTTATATTATGGGGATTTTCAAGATTATTACCTGAAGGAAAACGTGACAGAAACAGCTCTAGTCTCCCCTTCCCTTACACTTGGAGAACCTGAGTTTTGGGGGTGATGGTAATGTGCCCAGCTGAAGAAAACCATTTCCCAAATCCCCAATTTCCCGGTCCCCCTTGCAGCCAGTGCAGTGAGGAGATACAGCTCTGGCCAATGTGATAAAGGCATAAGTTCCTGGGGATGGTGTCCCTTCCAGATGAAAAGGCCAAAGCTCATGAGGAGAAAGCCCTTTGCCCCTTCCCCTTCGTTCCTCTTCCTACCTGGAATGCAGATATGAGACCTGGGGCTCAGCAATGCTGAGGTCAGGGGGAGACCCACAGCAGGGTGAAGGCTTCAAGCTGAGAGTGGAGCAGAGGGAAGAAATCACTTGGGTGCCCGATGGCAATACTGAGCCCTGGGCTGCTCCTCTCGGACATTTCGTATATGAGATGAGCAGTGTGCCGGAGCTCAGTGAGGTGAGCTTCTTGTGATTCCAGCTAAATGGGATCCTAAATGATATGACACATAAACATCATCTAGAACATGCAGACTTCTGCGAATATCTCCATGACACATTTGGGAAGACACAGTGCTCAGGATTTTAAGAATGTGGGAGCTACACATAGTGGGGAATGGGAGAATAATAAAATGATCTCCCTCTTCTGCCCCCATGGAGGCAGCAAGTGGCCAAGGGAGAATTTTGTGATTAGAGATACTTGCATGAATATCAGTTTATTGCAGGAAAAAAGAGTGACAGAAGAGTCTCTTGGTTAATATACAGGCAGGAAAAGTCCAATGTGTTTCTATAAAATCTTCCTCCTGAAGTTCAGGCTGGGGTTTGGGGCTGGGCATTTGTCAAAGGGTATTGGCAAGCACAAGGAATTCCAGAATCTGCCTTGGTCTTCAAGGGGGCAGAACTTTTGGTCTCGGTACAAGCTAGGTTTGTGCAATAAACAAAGGAATTGCTAGAGCTACAAATTCTAGCTGAGAAGTCTGTGTGCTTGAGTTTCTGCACCTCAAGGACAACTTAGAGCAATTGAAGAGACCATGAAATCTCTGTAAATGGCATAGAAACTTTAGCATGCAAAAGCATGCATGCAAAAACGCTAGCATATCAAAAGCTTTTCTTTTCTTTCAATCAAGTTAATTTCTGGCCAGGCAGGATGACACACCTGTAATCGCAGCACTTTGGCAGACCGAGGTAGGAAGATCACTTGAGCTCAGAAGATCTACACCAGCCTGGGCAACATGGTGAGACCTTGTCTCTACTAAAAATAAAAAAAAAATTAGCCGAGTGTGGTGGCACATGCCTGTAGGCTCAGATACTTGGGAGGCTAAGGCAAGAGGCTCGCTTGAGCCCAGGAGGTGGAGGCTGCAGTGAGCCATGACTGTGCCACTGTACTCCAGCCCGGGCGACAGAGCAAGATCCTGTCTCAAAAAAAAAAGAAAAAAAGAAAGAAAGAAAGAAAAAGGCTGGGCACAGTGGCTCACGCTTGTAATCCCAACACTTTGGGAGGCTGAGGCAGGAGGATTGCTTGAGGCCTGGAGTTCAAGACCAGCCTGGGCAACATAGTGAGACCTCGTCTCTACAAAAAAATTAAAAATTAGCTGGGTATGGTAGTGTATGCCTGTAGTCCCAGCTACTTGGGAGGCTGAGGTGAGAGGATTGCTTGAGCCCAGGAGGTCGAGGCAGCAGTGAGCTGTGATCATGTCACTGCCCTCCATCTTGGGCAACAGAGAGAGACCTTGTCTCGAAGAGAAAAATAAAAGAAAGAAAATGTTAATTTCTGCTCCTGTCAGATTAGAGGGAAATTCAATCTCAGTCTTTTTGCTGCTCTCCAAAGATCCCAGAGTTGTACATAGGATTGAAGCATAAGGAACATCCTTAAAGTCAGTAGCAACTGGCCTGTACTAATTATTCCCAGGATACGCATATCCCTTTGTGGCAGCAGTTCTGCCAGAGGCACAGGGGCTTTACCCAGTCAGTCTCCTTCAACTTGCCACGTAGCTTTCTCCAGAATAAGTCCACCCCCTCAGGGTGCTACCGTGAAGGAGAGTATGGTTTTGGCATTTGAGAGCCCAGAGAGATATACATGAAGATCTGGTCTCTGGAGAGTATTGAAGGTAGAAAAGACAAGGAGAAGATGCTGCAGAACACCCATAAGGGAAGAAAAAAAAAATGAAGCCTCAATGAATAAGGGAAATACCTTTCTAACCACTCCTGGGACCTGAACTACAAGATTTGGTAGTTGACTCTCAAACCATAATATACTCATACTCAGATGACACTTATAAGTTGTCGCACATATCTGTGCATTCCATGCCTTTGGTAAATGCATACAGTTAATCATACAGCTAATCCTCCTTTTCTCTTTATGAAGTCCAGTGTTTAAAGGACCTCTTCAGGTGTCATCAAGGAGTCATACCAGGTCCAGCTGAACCCAACTTGCACAAGTCCAGATTGAGGACACCAGGCAAGTAAGCACACCCCTCTAGATTGTGCCTGAACAGGATTTATGCCTTTTGGGGAGTGTCACCTCTCATTAAAACGTCTGCGAATGCACACTCTGGTCCAGTCCCCTGTCTTTCTAAACAAGAATGTTTGGTGAAGCAACAGTGATTCAACACTCTCCCTTAGCGAGGTATTGTTTGACACCTTAGAAAACACGTAGTTATTTTTCAGATCTATTCAGGACCTTTCTTGTGATTCATCTAAAACAAACCCCTCTCTTCAGTCTCTACAGATTACCATATTTATTTTCTTTATGGAGCTGACGACAATCTGAACTTATGCTTATTTACGTGTTAACTTATTTGTTTTATGTCTGTCTCCTTCCACTAGAATGTCAGTTCCTTGAGAATAGGGGTTTTGAGGACAATATATGAGATAGATTAGATATTTAATAATCATATGCTTCATTGAGCCTCTGATGCACATCTTCCCCATTGGATCGTAATCTAAAATTGAGATGTCGGATGGGCGTAGTGGCTCACACCTGTAACCCCAGCACTTTGGGAGGCTGAGGCAGGTGGATCACTTGACGTCAGGAGTTGGAGACCAGCCTGGCCAACATAGTGAAACCCCGTCTCTACTAAAAATACAAAAATTAGCTGGGCGCTGGTGGCACACACCTGTAGTCCCAGCTACTCAGGAGGCTGAGGCAAGAGAATCACTTGAACCTGGGAGGTGGAGGTTGCAGTGAGCCGAGATTGCACCACTGCACTCCAGCCTGGGTGACAGAGTGAGATGCTGTCTTAAAAAAATAATAATAAAAATAAAATGGAGATGTCCACTGGCTGCAGTGGTTCAGGCCTGTAATCCCAGGACTTTTGGAGGACAAGGTGGGAGGATTGCCCAGAGCTAGGAGTTAGAGACCTGCCTGGGCAACATCGCAAGACACTGCCTAAAAAAAAAAACCAAGAAACGTTTAAAAATGGAAAAGTGTCTTACACTTGATAGCACATCATGAACCAGTCAGTAGCACTCTTTCTTCCTTAGTGGGGCATAAGTAATGCTGCATCTTGCATTCAACGTCATCTTAGATGGGATGAAATACACATTTTGGAATAAACGAATAAATGTATGCTTTCTTTTGGTGCTATTTCTTCTGTTTTGGTCTTATTTGTAAACACAAGGAAATTAGGATTCCTTTTTTTTTTTTTTTGAGACAGAGTCTCACTCTGTCACCCAGGCTGGATTGCAATGGTGTGGTCTCAGCTCACTGCAACCTCCGCCTCCCAGGCTCAAGCAATTCTCCTGCCTCAGCCTCCTGAGTAGCTGGGACTATAGGCGCGTGCCACCACACCCGGCTAATTTTTGTATTTTTAGTAGAGACAGGGTTTCACTATGATGGCCAGGCTGATCTCGAACTCCTGACCTTGTGATCCACCCACCTTGGCCTCCCAGAGTGCTGGGATTACAGGTATGAGCCACTGCACCTGGCCTAGGATTCCTTTAGTAACTGTCTAGTATGGTGCTGGGAATTCTTTTGGGAACAGAGGCAGCCAACCAACAGAAGTGAATGACATAGTTCTTACCCTCAAGGACAAGAAAACCAGCAATTACAGTGCAACATGCTAAGTGCTACAATAAAGGAATGCTTTCGGGCAGAGTCCAGAGAAGGGATCTCATTCAGCCTGTGCAGATCCTGGAAAGCTTCCCAAGGGATAGGGTAACTGACCGGAGACTTGTGACATATTTGTGGGGCACTTTGAGCTGCTGTCACATATGTGGATTCTTTTGATCTTCACATCACCTCTGTGAGGTAGGAGAACCATCCTGTCTTAGAAATGCAAAGACTGAAGTTCAGAGAAGTTAAATAAATTGTCCCCAAACCTCCTTAACGGTAAGTGGCAGGGAGGGGTGGGGGGTGAGGGAGTTAAACTCAGGTTTCCTGGCTCCAGGATTACTCACTTTTTATCTCATTTGGACTGAATCTCAAGTGATGAACTGTTCTGGACTGTCTCTACAAAAATCACTCACAGGTATGAACACTTTTATCCTTCAGTCTTCTCTTCTTTAGGCTTGCAATGGCAGGCTCTCGGATCTTTCCTCCAATCTGTATTGGGTTTTGAGCCAAGCAAGAAAAACCAGACACAGTCCCTATTCTTGAGGAGCCCCCAGTCTGAAAACAAGTCGTGGATACACAGAAAAAACATTCTTGTGTGTGTGATGGATGGTAGGGAACGTGTCATCAATTGTGACATTTATGGCATTTATTTGCCTTTACTAGTGAGTTCTGCTTTTTAAGATGTTTGCGACTTCTCAGGCCTCACCCTCAAAAGAATTTGAAAATTGAACACAAGCAGAGATGTTTTGTTTTCAACTCAGGACCTCACCCAGAGTTTTTTAGGCAGCAACCCTGAACCAAGTTGGCCTCGAGGTATTCGTGAGTTTCCATACCCAGAAGACTTTTTCAGCTTCTACCTTCTACCCATGAAAGGAGGTGGCATGGATGTTTCCTTTTTCTTTTTCTTTTTTTTTTTTTTTAGTATTTATTGATCATTCTTGGGTGTTTCTCGGAGAGGGGGATTTGGCAGGGTCATAGGACAATAGTGGAGGGAAGGTCAGCAGATAAACAAGTGAACAAGGGTCTCTGGTTTTCCTAGGCAGAGGACCCCGCGGCCTTCCGCAGTGTTTGTGTCCCTGGGTACTTGAGATTAGGGAGTGGTGATGACTCTTAACGAGCATGCTGCCTTCAAGCATCTGTTTAACAAAGCACATGGTGCACCGCCCTTAATCCATTTAACCCTGAGTGGACACAGCACATGTTTCAGAGAGCACGGGGTTGGGGGTAAGGTTATAGATTAACAGCATCCCAAGGCAGAAGAATTTTTCTTAGTACAGAACAAAATGGAGTCTCCCCTGTCTACTTCCCTCTACACAGACACAGCAACAATCTGATTTCTCTATCTTTTCCCCACATTTCCCCCTTTCTATTCGACAAAACCGCCATCGTCATCATGGCCGGTTCTCAATGAGCTGTTGGGTTCACCTCCCAGACGGGGTGGCTGCCGGGCAGAGGGGCTCCTCACTTCCCAGTCGGGGCTGCCGGGCGGAGGTGCCCCTCACCTCCCGGACAGGGCGGCTGGCCGGGCGGGGGCTGCCCCCCCACCTCCCTCCCTGACGGGGCGGCTGCCGGGCGGAGATGCTCCTCACTTCCCAGACGGGGCGGCTGCCGGGCGGAGGGGCTCTTCACTTCTCAGACGGGGCGGCCGGGCAGAGACGCTCCTCACCTCCCAGACGGGGTCGCGGCTGGGCAGAGGCGCTCCTCACATCCCAGACGGGGCGGCGGGGCAGAGGCGCTCCCCACATCTCAGACGATGGGCGGCCCGGCAGAGATGCTCCTCACTTCCTAGATGGGATGGCGGCCGGGAAGAGGCGCACCTCACTTCCCAGACTGGGCGGCCAGGCAGAGGGGCTCCTCACATCCCAGACAATGGGCGGCCAGGCAGAGACGCTCCTCACTTCCCAGACGGGGTGGCAGCCGGGCAGAGGCTGCAATCTCGGCACTTTGGGAGGCCAAGGCAGGCAGCTGGAAGGTGGAGGTTGTAGCCAGCCGAGATCACGCCACTGCACTCCAGCCTGGGCAACATTGAGCACTGAGTGATTGAGACTCCGTCTGCAATCCCAGCACCTCGGGAGGCCGAGGCTGGCAGATCACTCGCGGTTAGGAGCTGGAGACCAGCCCGGCCAACACAGCGAAACCCCGTCTCCACCAAAAAAATACGAAAACCAATCAGGCGTGGCGGCGCGCGCCTGCAATCCTAGGCACTGGGCAGGCTGAGACAGGAGAATCAGGCAGGGAGGTTGCAGTGAGCTGAGATGGTGGCAGTACAGTCCAGCTTCGGCTCGGCATCAGAGGGAGACCGTGGAGAGAGAGGGAGAGGGAGAGGGAGAGGGAGACAGTGGGGAAAGGGAGAGGGAGACCGTGGGGAGAGGGAGGGGGAGAGGGAGACCGCGGGGAGAGGGAGAGGGAGAGGGAGGGGGAGAGGGAGACCGTGGGGAGAGGGAGAGGGAGGGGGAGAGGGAGACCGTGGGGAGAGGGAGAGGGAGAGGGAGGAGAGGGAGAGGGAGGGGAGGGAGAGGGAGGAGAGGGAGGAGAGGGAGAGGGAGGAGAGGGAGAGGGAGGAGAGGGAGAGGGGGAGGGGGAGGAGAGGGAGGGGGAGGGGGAGGGAGAGGGAGAGGGAGGAGACTGGATGTTTCCTTTGATCATCTATCACATCTTTGCAGAGGACATATAAGCCTGTGCATGGCTATGAGAACACAGTGGAGAGCCATGTAAATAGCTTTTGCCTTCAAGGTGCCTGGCAGAAGCGAATGAATATTGCTGTCATGTACATGCAAACGTTGTGAAATGCTTCAATGTTCCACATCTTCTTTGGAGACCTTTAAGAAATTCATGGAACTTTCAGCAGTGATATTTACCACCAACAATGTAATCAAATGGGGCAGCAAGCAAAATGAGCTACTACTAATGCACCATGGAGCAGAGGAATTTTCTCTTGCGCTAACACCACAACAGACCCATTCTTTCATTTGGATTAGTATTCACTACTTGTGCTTAGTTGCTTGCAGTGGATACCCAATTTGTGAAGTGAGCTGAGGTATAATGCAGTATTGTATACTGGAACACAGGGGCTGCAAAAGCAGAACTCACTAACAAAGTCAAATGCCATGAACGTCACAATTGATGAAAACTGGCCATTTGAAAAATCTAGATATGATAAAATTGTTAAATTGATGAGGATGAAGATTGGATTATAGTATATATTCAGCATGCAAAAACAGATAATCAGGGGAAATGCAGTGACAGTCAAAGCAACTATGGAAACAATATCCATGGCAACAAATGGCCTGGTCGGAAGAGAGGCCCAAAGACTGCCTGTGTCTTCCTGATGAAATGTCTGGTAGCCCCCTAGTGGCAATGACCGGGTAGTGGCCCTCTGCGAGATGGGCGCCTCTCTGGAGATTGAGCGCCACTTCTGAGGGCCTGGAGAAGTTGACTTGTTTTGCATCCCACGGGGTCACCCCCACCTCCCCCTTTCCTTGCACTCACTGACATGAGACACAACGTATGTCCACAAACAACTGCTGCTCCTCATTGCATCTAAAGCTCCGTTGCCGGAAAACATACCATTATTTCATGCAGCACTAAGAGGAAAACACAGCGGGTTAAACTATGACACGCCATTGATTGTAAGACGCATCCCTATTCAAGAGATGATAAATGGGAAAATAAATATATGTCTTACAACCTATAAAATATAAATGACTTTCGGCATTTATATTATATTACAGGGTGAGGTGGCTCACACCTGTAATCCCAGCACTTTGGGAGGCCGAGGCGAGTGGTTTGCTTGAGCTCAGGAGTTGGAGACCAGCTCGGATAACATAGCAAGACTCTGTATTTAAAAAATATATATATATATATGTATATATATACACACACACATATATATAAATGACTTTCAGTGATTCATTTAACATTTTCAGATACTTGTTCCCTCACAAACTAAACAACTAAACCATTAATTAATTAATTCACTCATTCTACTCACATTTATTAAGTGTGGATTATTGGACAAGCACACTGACGTCAACACTGAGGATACAGCAGTGAGCTGGTGTCCTGTCTTTAGGGGGCTTTTGTTACAGTGACTTGGTTTCTGATTATCTTTGTCACACTGAATCTGTGAGTCAGTGAGTCCGTGACCCTAAGTGAGTTTCAGAGTGAAAACAGACACCAGATAAGAAGCCAGAAAACCTGGGTTCTAGTCTAGTTCTTCCCCTTAATAGTTTATTTAATCTGTCTCAACCTTATTTTATCTACTTATAGTCTATCACGGTTAAATTGAGAAATAGTTATATTTTTCTCATAGCAGAGTCTTTCAAACAATACGCAATGACAATCAAAATAGCAAAGTAGCTGTGGAAACAGTGTCCATGGCGACCAATGGTCCCATCTTTTCTTTCTTTCTTTTTTTCTTTCTTTCTTTCTTTCTTTCTTCTTCTTTTTCTTTCTTTTTCAAGGTCTCTGAGTTTCAAGTCAAGCCTAAAAAAAATTTTAAGTTTTTTTAATTTGCTGGAATGCAGTGGCATGATCATGGCTCATAGAAGCCTTAATCTCACTGGCTCAAGTAATCTTCTCACCTCAGCTTCCCAAATAGCTGGGATCATAGGCATGCACCACCATGCCCTGCTACGTTTTATTTTTATTTTTTCAATAAAGATTAGGTCTCACCATGTTGCCCAGGCTGGCCTTGAACTCCTGGACTCAAGGTATCTTCCAGCCTCAGCCTCCCAAAGTGCTGGGATTATAGGCATGAGCCACAGCACATGGACCTCATCTTTCTTTCATGTCACTAGATCAAGAAAGCTCCAGAGTTTTTCTTGTTCCCTTCAGGTGTCAAGCAATATCATTTTATGTATATAAACATCTAATTCAGAATAGTTTCACTCTTTTTTCCTATTGTCCTGCATAAAGCTTCCCCCTCCCCAGTGGACAGACTGCAATGGGCTGGCATCTGACATTTGTCTGCAGACCTCATGGTAGGAGACAGGCTGGTTTTCTGCCCTGGGAGTGGGAGTGTAGGAAAGGAGGAGGCACTGGGGACCTGTATCCCAGGTTTTCAGGGCAAGGCTGTGTAAGTATTTCCAGCAGACTAGTGTGAGGCATGCTAGGAAGCGAGCTGATGTGGAGCCGAGCTAATCCTGTCTGATGTGGCCACCTACAGGCATCAACAGGCCTCAGCAGAGAGAAGCTGAAGTGATTACTGCATTCCTATGAGCTGTGGGAGGAATAAATCGTGGAAAGAAATCCTCATTTGCAACTGTATGGCATTAGGGGTGAGGGGTCTCGGAAGAAGCACCCAAGGAGGAGGAATCCCCTGTAAGCCCCTACCAGTCCCAGAGAATGCAAAGCCCTCTTGCAAACCGTGCCTGCTCCACGCCCCAGACCACTCCTTCCCCCAACCCTTCCCCATTCTACTCAACCTTGGAGGGTTAGAAACCACCATTAGCAAGACAGGAGAAGAAGGATAGATGCATAATGTTGAGGACCTGTTTCCCCATTTCTCATCTTCCCATCCTTGCAAAGCCCTTGCTGGAGGAAAGGAGACTTACCTTTGGAACTAAACGTTGAGTTTCTGAATTGGCATTGTGTTTGGTAATATAAAATAACTACAGGACCTAAGAGAGATCAGAACAGTCTTAGTACTGTCCATATTTTCATCTTGGAATGGGGAAAACTGGCTCCACTGAGCAAGTTAAGGACGTCATAGACTGATCTGTAGATGTTCAATGAAATCTGTAATTCAAGACTAAATAACGTATTCTTGGCTGGGCACAGTGGCTCACGCCTGTAATCCCAGCACTTTGGGAGGCCGAGGAGGCGGGCGGAGGGCAGATCACCCGAGGGCAGGAGTTTGAGATCAGCCTGGCCAAAGTGGTGAAACCCCATCTCTATTAAAAATACAAAAATTAGCCAGGCGTGGTGGTGTGCACCTGTAATCTCAGCCACTCGGGAGGCTGAGGCAGGAGAATCACTTGAACCCACGAGACAGAGGTTACAGTGAGCCAAGATCATGCCACTGCACTCCAGCCTGGGCTACAAGAGCAAGACTCCATCTCAAGGAAAAAAAACTAATTAATAATAATAACTTATTCTTGAGACACATGCGATGCAAGACAAGTATTTATTGCTAGGATCTCCTCAGGTAAGCTGTGCAGTAAGTCTGTGCTGTCCTACATGGTAGCCATTAGCCACATGTAGCAACTGAGCACATGAAGTGTGGCTAGTCCAAATACAAATGTGCTCTTAAGTGCAAGACACACATGAGATTTCAAAGACTTAGTACAAAAACAGTAAAATATCTCACTAATAATTTTTATGTTTATTACTTGTCAAAATCACAATATTTTGGATATGCTGTGTTAAATAAAATTTACTATTAGAATTAATTTCACCTGTTGTTTTTTACCTTTTTGATGTGACTACTAGAACTTTGTAAATTACACGGAGCTCGCTTTCTGTGGACATGTAGTCTCTCTCACAGAGAAATACATGTATATTTCTGCTGGACATGTAGTCTCTCTCACAGGTCATAAGGCACTGAGGTCACAGGCCATAGGTTGGGATGTTTCTCCTCCAGAGAGTAGCTCATTCTCACTTTAAATCATCCTAAAGAACACAGGTACTGGTAGGTAGGTGGGCCGCAAGCTGGATTGAGTGGGGAAACTTCCTGCTGTCTTTGAACCAGAACAAGAACAGAGTTGGGAGCCTGTATTTTGCATAGTGAAGGCACACTCAAGGGAGCCACCTATCTTGGGGAGTTATGCTGGCCCCCAAAACTCAGAGCGTGCTAAAGGTGAGGCAGAGAAGCCTCCTGTAGCAAGTGCATACAGGGAGGGGCGTGGGCCTCTGAAATCTGAAAGCACCATGTCTCATTTCCAGTTTTAAGTGTACCTGGAATTCTCTTCTGTTATCCCTAGGTCTTTAGTGGAGCCTGATTAAACATGAGGCTGAGGGCAGCTGTGGGAGCTGAGGGTGGATTCTGTGCCCACTCGTGGCCCCCCCACTGGCCATGGCTTCCTCCCCAGCAGGCCTCGACAGCAGTCTCTGGAGCCTCTGGCCCAGCTTGCTGCGGGTCGCTGCTGTTCTCTTTGTGTCTCTTAGCCTGTGACTTCAATGCAGTCATCTCATTTCTGGGAATCTATCCAATTCTCAATTGTGTAAAAAGCTTTATAAACAAAAAAAGTGCATTACAGTTTACTATCTTAACAAAATATTGGAAGCAGCAGAAACATTTAGCAGTAAAAACTATAAATTATAGACTATGTACTTTGTGCATCATTGGGAAGCCACTTAAGTGACTTTTATTAAAACTTATATTAACAAAGAAGACAATAGTGTCATAATAATTTATTTAAAAAGAATTAAAGGCCAGGCACAGTGGCTCATGCTGTAATCCCAGCACTTTGGGAGGCCGAGGCTGGCGGATCACTTGAGGTCATGGCAAAACCCCATCTCTACTAAAAATACAAAAATTAGCCAGGCGTGGTTGGTGGGTGCCTGTAATTCCAGCTACTTGGGAGGCTGAGGCACGAGAATCTCTTGAACCCGGCAGGCAGAGGTTGCAGTGAACAGAGATCACGCCACTTTACTCCATCCTGGGTGACAGAACTAGACTGTCTCAAAAATAAATAAATAAATAAATATAAGGAATTAAGGAACACACAATTATATATGCAATTGGTGACAATAAAATACAACCCCTCAAAAAGAACAAAAACAAAAACCTAAACAACAACAACCACCTAGGTATAAAGAAAAGACTAGAAAAAAATGTTTTAAAATGAAACCATAACTGTATTAGGGTTCTCCAGAGAAACAGAACTAAAACCTCTCTCTCTCTGTCTCTCTCTCTCTCTCATATAGATGAGAAGACACACTCAAAGGAGCTCATATAGGTGAGAGAGAGATTTTAAGGAATTGGCTCACACGATTGTGGAGATTGGCAAGTCCAAAATTTGCAGGGAAAACTGGCAGGCTTGGAGACAAAAGTTAATGTCACAGTTCAGGCCTAAGGGCAACCTGGAGGCAGAATTCCCTCTTCCTTGGGGGATGTCAGACCCACTCACATACGGGAGGGTAATTTGCTTTATTCAAAGTCCATCCATTTAAATGTTGATTTCATCTACAAAATACCTTAGTAGAAACATCTAGAATAATGTTTGACCAAATATTTGGGTACCATGGCTTAAGCATACTGACACATGAAATTAACCTTTGGCTGGGCACAGCAGCTCATCCCTGTAATCTCAGCACTTTGGGAGGTTTAGATGGGTGGATTGCTTGAGCCCAGGAGTTCAAGACCAGCCTGGGGAATATAGTGAGACTCTGTCCCTACAAAAAACAACGAGAAAAAATTAGCTAGGCATGGTGGCGAGTGCCTGTGGTCCCAGCTGCTCGGGAGGCTGAGGTGGGAGGATCTCTTGAGCCTGAGAAGTTGAGGCTGCAGTGAGCCGTGATTGTGCCACTGCACTCCAGCCCGAGTGACAGAGTAAGACCATGCCTCAAAAAATTAATTAATTCATTAAATTTAATAAATATTTTTAAAAATTAACTTTCACAATGATCTAAGGCTTACTACTTTAGGATTTGCTTTTGAAATACTTTTCTGTGTTTTCCAAAATACATAAAATAATAAAGATGTACTTATGATGGAAAAGGCCTGTGTAAACACATTTTAAAACACAGCCTCCTTGGGGTAGCCCCAGAGTCCCAGGGCTCTCCATGGCCCCTTGGACACCTTTCACAGCATTCCTCACCTCTGTCTTCTACCATTATTATGCATGTCTGAATATGTCTTCCTTTGCTAAACATCAAACAGAGTTTTAGGACTGGGATTCTAGAAAGTGAGAGAAGGCAGGCGCAGAGGAGGCAGTGGGAGCCTGCCTGAGGGCATTAACGTCAGTCCTGGGCTATGTGCTGGCTCCTCAGGACCGCCCTTCTGAGGGGCACAGACACGTGAGTGGAGGGAGCTCATGTTCCAGTTTCTTTGCAAAAATCAACTTGATAAAGTTTTTCCTGTTTTGTTAAAATTGCCTAAAATTTTTTAGCAATACTTCATTTGATTTTCTCTAATGGTTTCTGTCATTTCTTTGAGTTTTAATTTATTGCTCATGCTTTAACATCCCAGTTTATGTCTTGCTTAATTTAATGTCCATATAGTTGACCCTTGAGCAACATGGATTTGAACTGCATAGGTCCACTTAGGTCCACTTATGCATGGGTTATTTTCAATCAAATGCAGATCACAAACACAGTAATGGTGACATGTGAAACCCATGTATACAAAGGCCCAACTTTACATATATTTGGGACCCAAAGGGCTGACTGTGGGACTTGAATATGTGTAGGTTTTGGTATACACAGGAGTCTTGGAACCAATCCCCCTCATATACCAAGGGACTACTGTATATCTGCTTTGTTTATTTCTTTTTTTTTTTTTTGAGGTGGAGTCTCACTCTGTTGTCCAGGCTGGAGTGCAGTGGCGCCATCTCGGCTCACTGCAACCTCCGGCTCCCGGGTTCAAGTGATTCTCCTGCCTCAGACTCTCAAGCATCTGGGACTCCAGTCACCCGCCACGCCCAGCTAATTTTTTGTATTTTTAGTAGAGACGGGGATTCACCATGTCGGCCAGGTTGATCTCCAACTCCTGACCTCAAGTGATCCGCCAGCCTCAGCCTCCCAAAGTGCTGGGATTACAGTCGTGAGCCACGGTGGCCAGTCTCATTACCATTTGTTAAGAACTCATTTGGGCGGGCAACAGGTATACATCGCCTCATGAAAACTGAGTCACTCAGCCTGTGCTCCCACCTGGACAGAACACCATGCAGCCTCTGCTTAGAGATGCTCCACAGGAGCCAGTGTGGAAACACCAGGGCCAGGCATCCTTTAGAAAACCATTTTGGGATTGCTCCAGCTCATGAACCAGCAGTTAACTGAGTCACCAGCCATATCATAAAGCATGACTACAACTACGCAGGCCTGGTCCCTAACCCCATGTTGTTACAGCAAAATATAACCCATTCTTATTTCAGAAAAAGAAAAAAAGCTAGATGTGATGGCACATGCCTGTAGTCCTGGCTACTTGGGGGGCTGAGTCAGAGGATCAGTTGAGCCCAGGAGTTCAAGGTCACAGTCAGCTGATTGTACCACTGCACCCCAGCCTGGGCAACAGAGGGAGACCATCTCTAAATAAAATAAGACAAAAACAACAACAAAAAAAAAACAGAAGAAGAAAATATACCAAAATGTTAACAATGTCTTCTATCTTTATTTATTGGGGTTAGAAATTACTTTTGTTTTCTTATATTATGTATATTTTATTTCAAACCTGATAATTTTTTTTTCCTTTTTGAGACAGGATCTCGCTCTGTTGCCCAGGGTGGAGGGCAGTGGTGCGATCTCGGCTCATTGCAGCCTCAGCCTCCCAGGCTCAGGCAATCCTCCCACCTCAGCTCCCTGAGTAGCTGGGGCTACAAGAACACGCCACCATGCCTGGCTAATTTTGTTCGCTTTTTGTAGAGATGGAGATCTCACTACGTTGTCCAGGCTGGTTGCAAACTCCTGGACTCAAGCCCTCCTGCCTCGGCCTCCCAAAGTGCTGGGATTACAGGCGTGAGCCACCATGTCCAGCCAATGTTATTTAATTTATTTATTTTTATTTATTTATTTTTTTGAGACAGGGTCTCATTCTGTTGTCCAGACTAGAGTGCAGTGGTGCAATCATGGCTTATCGCAACCTCAACTTCCCTGGGCTGAGGTGATCCTCCTACCTTAGCCTCCCAAGCAGCTGGGACTACAGGTGTGAGCCACCACACCTGGCTAATTTTTGTATTTTTTGTAGAGATGGGGGTCTTACTATGTTGCTCAGGCTGGTCTTGAACTCCTGGACTCAAGTTATCCTCCCACCTCGGTGTCCCAAAGTGCTGGTATTACAGATGTGAGCCACCATGTCCAGCCTTATTTTTAAAAGAAGGAGAAAATTATTGAGCAAGAGAGTCTCTCTGCAGTTCTTAAGATTGCTGTCAGAACCACCTCAATACTCTTTCTGCAGTCTGTGCTTTGAGCAGCAATATAAAAATGCAGCATTTTATGAGCATTAATAGCAGGGAATGTAAATTAGCCTATTTGTTTTGGCTCTGCTTTGCTTCTGATCATTAGAGGCCAGCAAAAATAGAATGAGAACTGCAAACTCCCTCTTGTTCCCGGAAGATCTCTCCACAGCATGGCATATCAGTCAGATTTCTGGGCTGTCTCATCTCCGTCTCCGTAAGAAAGGATCTTGTTGGAAATACATTGAGGCATACACTGAAGCAGAGGCCCCAGTGCCACCTGGGCAGAGGCAAGCCAGAGAAAACAGAGGGAAATGAAAAGAAAGACTTCCTGGTATTCACTTCTACATACTGCCAGCTAAGCTGCGCTGGGTACCCAGAGCCCACCCACCACATCTACACCACAAATTCAACTGGGACTTCGGGCTTTTTTTTTTTTTTTTTGAGTCTGAGTTTCGCTCTTGGTTCCCAGGCTGGAGTACAGTGGCAGGATCTTGGCTCACCACAACCTCCGCCTCCTGGGTTCAAGTGATTCTCCTGCCTCAGCCTTCCTGAGTAGCTGGGATTACAGGCATGCACCACTACGGCTGGCTAAGTTTTTTGTTTTTTTTTTTTTAGTATAGACGGGGTTTCTCCATGTTGGTTAGGCTGGTCTTGAACTCCTAACCTCAGATGATCCGCCCACCTTGGCCTCCCAAAGTGCTGGGATTACAGGCCTGAGCCACTGTGCCTGGCCGGGCCTTCAGGCTTTATGTAGCTGATTGAACACAACCATCTCTGCTCCCAGCAGAAATCCCACCAAAATGTGATAAAGGGGTTTTAAAAGGCAAGGACTGACAAGAACAAAAGGCGGGGGGAGAGGAGAGAGAGAGAGAGAGAGAGAGAAACTGACTACACAATCTAAATAAATAGAGAATAATGATCTGGATAACAAATAGACAAAGGTCTTAGCAGATAAGAGAAATTTAAAGGTAAAATGTCAGTGGGAGAATCCCAGAAGCAGGCTGATTTCACATAGCAGAACCCCAGTAAGGAATGGAGAAACCAAGTATCCCAAACGTGAGTGTGCAAGAGGCCTGGAACCAGAGGCTGATGGTCTATGTAAGAAGCCACTAGAACCCTAGATCTCCTAACTCAACGCACATGGCAGAGTGACCCCCTATATTCCACCCTAATGAGTGGTTTGCTCGCTGGAGGCGTTGAACCATGCCACATCCTGGGAACCACAATGAAAATCATTTAAGGCTGGGCGTGATAGCTCATGCTTATAATCCTAGCACTTTGGGAGGCCAAGGCAGGAGGATCACTTGAGTCCAGGAATTCAAGACCAGCCTAGGCAACAGAGCAAGATCCCCAGCTCTACCAAAAAAAAAAAAATTACATATATATATATATAGCCTATGGCCTTCTGGCTTTATGTGGCCAGAAGAAAACAAAATAAAATAATTTAAAAAATAGAAAATAAGTAATAATAAAAGAAATAAAATAAGAGAAGCAATAAAAGAAAAGAAAAAGTCATTTAGGATTATGTAAAAGCCTGCCTATCGAACAGTAAGGCTTCCTGGTCCCCTCCATGAAGTTGGTTCTGAGAACTCCAGCAGCCAGACTTGCCCCAGGCCGATTAATAGAGAAACCTTCTCTGGAGAAACTGACCAGACAAGGAAAAACACCTAGGAACACAGGAGTAAGGGGGTTCTGACGGATATTAAGCTACTGTCACTTGACTTCAAAACCCTCTTCCACTCTCTCCTTCCCAGCTGGCTCCCTCTTAGGTGTAGAGGGAGGTGTCAGCACTGGAGGAAGAAGGGATCCCTTCCCTTGTTGGCCTCCCAATCCTGCCGGCATCACCACAGCCGAGGATCTTCAGCCCTGTAGCAACAGCTGGTCCAGCAGCAGTAGCAAGTCCCAAACTGTGGTTCTTCCTCACTCCCGGCAAAGGCCTCTTCCCGTGGCCTCAGTGATACCAGCTCACTGGCCAGGCTCCTCCTTAGGAAACTGAATTCTAGCTCCGTGGGGCCATCCTCCCAGATTCTCCCATTGAATAATACTGACCTCTTCCCTCAGTTCCCCAAGACTGAGGGAGAGGCAGTTGCCCCATTCCTGATTCCCACGCGTTCTACCTCTGCGGTATCTCAGTGCTCTTTTTGTCTTTTTAGATCTCAATATGTGGTTAACAATCCTTTATATAAAATTACCTCTGTCTGGGCGCGGAGGCTCACGCTTGCAATCCCAGCACTTTGGGAGGCCGAGGCAGGTGGATCACCTGAGGTCAGGAGTTTGAGACCAGCCTGGCCAATATGGTGAAACCCTGTCTCTACTAAAAATACAAAACTTAGCTGGGTGTGGTGGCAGGTGCCTGTAATCCCACTACTTGGGAGGCTGAGGCAGGAGAATCATTTGAACCCGGGAGACCGAGGTTGCAGTGAGCCGAGATTGTGCCACTGCACTCCAGCCTGGGCAACAGAGTGAAATTCCTTTTCAAATAGAATAAAATAAAACAAAATTACCTCTGTTTAAATATTTGGATTTTTTTCTTTCACCTGACTAGACCCTAATACAAGGGTCTTCTGGAGAAACAGTTCAGCCCATTTGCACTATGGTGAAGCCCACTGAAACCTCCCCCCATCCCCAACACACACACCTGGAGTTTCCAAACAGCTTAAGATCTAACTAAGCCAAGGATTACTGTATCATTCACAAAGCCCAAGCCCCAATTTGAGCAGAGAAAGTTTATTATTAGAAAGAATTATTGGCTGTAACAGGCTAAAAAGACGTGCAGAGAACTCCAAAGAATGCTGTAGGGCCGCGGGAGAGTACCCAAAGAAGGACACACGTGGAAGCATCCCCACCCCAAAGCTGGATTCAGAACTCAAGGCAGAAAGTGTGCATGTGCCCACCAGGTACCAGATTATTTCCCTGGGATGCCCAGGCCAAAGCCTGTGAACAGTCATGAGCAAGCAGGAAACTGGGGGGGTCGCGGCATCGGGAGCCCACTCACTGCATGCAAGGCCTGGGGCATGCAGGGTCCACGTCAGGGCCAGCTCGCTGGGGGAACGCATGCTGTCAGCACGCAGCTAGGACAGAGACCACCAGATGTTCCCACCTGGCCACTGATGGGCCCTGCCGCAGGAGCAACAAGAATCACAAACCATAGCTCCCGGAACCAGAGATAAAAGAAATTCTTTCCTCTGGCAGTGTCCCTCCGGCGCCCTCTACTGAGAAAGCTTAATATTGTGCTGGCTGCGAAGGAGAACCGCTTAATTCAATACAGATCAGTTAAGAGGATGGATTTACGGTTGAGAGGCAATACATTGATAAGAAACTAGTCATTATGGGATGAAAACCACTGACATGAAAGACAGGTATTGAAAACACAAGAATTAAGGAATATAAAGCCAGGCGCGGTGGCTCACGCCTGTAATCTCAGTGCCTTCGCAAGCCAAGCTGGGCGGATCGCTTGAGCCCAAGAGTTCAAGAACAGCCTGAGCAAAATGGCGAGATTCTGTGTCTACAAAAAGTACAAAAATTAGCCGGGCGCGGTGGCGTGCACCTGTAGTCTCAGCTGCTCAGGAGGCTGAGATGGGAGGATCACTTGAGTCCGGGAGGTCGAGGCTTCATTGAGCTGTGATTAAGCCATTGCCCTGGACCACAACAGAGAGACCCTGTCAAAAAAAAAAAAAAAAAAAAAAGAAGAAGAAGAAGAAGAGGAAATTTAGAGAATGCAAAGAGCCAAATAATAAAATCCACTGCAATTAATATTTTCATAAACATAAGAGACGATATTTTCTCCATGGTAAAAGAACACATTATTAAATAAAAAATTTAAAGTTGAAGAAATCTTCTAAAAAGAAGCAAAGGGTAAAGAAATGTAGATGGGACCGGGCACAGTAGCTCAGGCCTGTAATCCCAGCACTTTGAGTTGCGGAAGTGGGTGGATCACTTGAGATTAGGAGTTCGAGACCAGCCTTACCAACATAGTGAAACCCCGTCTCTACTAAAAATACAAAAATTAGCCAGGCGTGGTGGCATACGCCTGTAATCCCAGCTACTTGGGAGGCTAAGGCAGGAGAATCGCTTGAACCCGAGAGAGGTGGAGATTGGAGTGAGCCGAGATAGTGCCACTACACTCCAACCTGGGTGACTCCATCTCAAAAGAAAAAAAAAAAGGAAAAGAAATGTAGATGGTATAGAAAATATATGAAAATTAGATCATCTGGATGAATAGGAGGATTTCTAGAAAGAATAGACAGAGGGAACAGAAGGGATGAAATTATCAAAGAAATAATTCAAGAACTTTTCTCAGAACTGAGAGATATGGTTCCAAAGTGAGATAGACCTCAAGTGTCTAACAGAAGTGTCTAACAAAAGGAATGAAATCCAAGGCATACTACCATAATTTTAAAAATACTGAGGACAAAAAGAAAAATCCCAAAATTGGACAAAAAGAAAAAAACAGGTCACATAAAAAAGATCAAAACTCAAATGGTATAGGGTTTTCTCTTTTTTTCTTTCTCTTTTCCTTTTTTTTTTTTTTTTTTTTGAGACAGGATCTCACTCTGTCACCCAGGCTGGAGCGTAGTGATACAATCATGGATCACTGCAGCCTTGAACTCCTGGGCTCAAGGGATCGTCCCCTCTCAGCCTTCTGAAAACTACAGACACGTACCACCATGCCCAGCTAATTTTTAAATTAAATTTTATTTTTTGTAGAGACGAAATCTTACTACGTTGCCCAGGCTGGTCTTGAACTCCTGGGCTCAAGCAATCCTCCCACTTTGGCTTCCCAAAGTGCTGGTATTACAGGTGCGCACCATAACACCTAGCTGAGGACTTTTCAACAGTAGCACTGGAAGCTGGAAGATAGTGGAGCAGTGCTTTCCTAATTTAGGTGTAAATTTTACAACTTGGAATTTTATTTTCAGTAAAACTATTAATCAGATGTAATCATAATATAAAAGACATTTTCAGACAAAATTTCAAAAATTGCCCTCC
Source organism: Homo sapiens (assembly GCF_000001405.40). Lineage (NCBI taxonomy): Eukaryota > Metazoa > Chordata > Mammalia > Primates > Hominidae > Homo > Homo sapiens. The sequence goes on from NT_167245.2 coordinate 2,341,116, forward strand.
CTTGCCCCTTTCCTTAGGAAGTTCCATCAAAGTAAGGGATTAGATCAGGAGAGATAAAGATGTGGGATCCTCCAAAGAGTGAGGAGAATGAAAATCCCAGGAGGTTGCTGTGTAGGAGAACTAGGGATCCGCAGGTCCAGATTAAAATGGTTTGGAGGCCGGGCATGGTGGCTCCTGCTTGTAATCCCAGCACTTTGTGAAGCCAAGGCGGGTGGATCACCTGAGGCTAGGAGTTTGAGACCAGCCCGGCCAACATAGTGAAACCCCGTCTCTACCAAAAACACACAAAAGAATTAGCTGGGCATGGTGGCACATGCCTGTAATTCCAACTACTCAAGAGGCGGAGGCGGAGAATTTCTTGAACCCAGAAGGCAGAAGTTGCAGTGAGCCAAGATTTCACCACTGCACTTCTGCCTGGGTGACAGAGTGGATCTCAAAAAGAAAAAAGAAAAAAAAAAAAGGCTTGGGGCCAAAACCTCAGGGATTAAGAAAATTCCTTTACCTGGTTACAGAAAGATATTACCAAGAAAAAGAGGGAATTGATTAATTGTAATACATTAGACTGCAGAGAAAAAATAGACTTCTATAGAATCTGCTGACAAATTTGTGATAAATTCATAGACAAATGATCAAAAGAAAACCTAGTAGATCTGTATAATTCTGGATATCATTCCATAAAGCCCAGCTTAGAACCTGTGCCCTCAGCCCTTATAAAGATTTCAAAAGCTCTTAATACCCTTTGTAAAATGTCTTCCTGTTAATTTACCTAGCGTAATCTCTAGTTGCTGCACTGAACCCTGACTGATATAACTTGTTATTAAGAAACAGGAAGATAAAAACTAATTGAGCATCGAAGTGCTTTTACTTCTAGGAAGAGAGAATTAGGGGTTGGTACCGGACTATAGCTTTTGTTCTGTCTTTGGCTTTTTAAATTACATATCTGTAATTTATATACACACACATATATATTTGGCTTTTAAAATTACATATCTGTATAAATCTGATAAAAATTTTAAATAGTTAAATAAAAACTTATTTAGGAGATAATATATTAGAATACTAAGATGAGTGCTGAGTTTAAAAAACAAAAAGGCCAGGAGCGGTGGCTCACACCTGTAATCCCAGCATTTTGGGAGGCCAAGGTGGGTGGATCACCTGAGGTCAGGAGTTTGAGACCAGCCTGACCAACATGGTGAAACCCTGTCTCTACTAAAAATACAAAAAAATCAGCTGGGGATGGTGGCAGGTGCCTGGGTAACAGAGTGAGACTCCGTCTAAAAATGAAAGTGGCATCTGATACAGAGAAGATTAGCATGGCCCCTGCTCAAGGATGACACACAAATTTGTGAAGGGTTCCATTTAAAAAAAAAAAAAAGTCTGAGCGAGGTGGCTCAGTCCTGTAATCCCAGCACTTCGGGAGGCCAAGGCGGGAGGATCACTTGAGGTCAGGGGTTCAAGTCCAGCCTGGCCAACATGGCGAAACTCCGTCTGTACTAAAGTACAGAAAAATTAGCTGGGCATGGTGGTGCATGCCTGTAGTCCCAGCCCCAGCTACTCCGGAGGCTGAGGCAGCAGAATTGCTTGAACTCAGGAGGCGGAGGTTGCAGTGAGCTGAGATCATGCCATTGCACTCCAGCCTGGGCAAGAAGAGCAAAATTCCATCTCAAAAAAAAAAAAAGGGCATCTGAATATATACAATTACAATGTCAATAAAAATAGATAAATGAATAAATACAGTTAGTCTTTTTTTTTTTAATGGCATCTGGACATTCCTACATTCTGGAAGATTTACAAATACATAGTGGGGATACCTCTCATAAATGTATAAGCCTCTCAGTTTTTCCTTCCAATGCATTGCAGATTGTCCTTATTTAGCCCTTTCCCCTGGGAACCTGAGACTGAGAGCAGTGCAAGCTATGCTTTTTTTGTAAACACAGCACCTCACATTTCTAGAAGACAACCCTAAGTAAACTTCAGGGCCCTACGTCGGTCACCATTCCATCTGCTCTTCTCTGCTCTGATTCTTCCTATCCCTCAGAAACCCAAGGCCTCCTTAGCCAAACGGAGCTGCTGTGGTCGCAAATAGCCTTGTGCCCCTGGGAACCTGTGAGATGCAATATGTCGTCAGTCTCCCTCAATCTTGGCCTGAGTCCAAGAGAAAGGCAGCTGCTCTGAGGTTCGAGACTCTCCAGTGACTCAGCTCTCTAATTCCCAGTACTCTGTGCATATGCCCTCCTCAATTCCATCTCCTAGACTTGCCAGATGTAGGTCGAGTCCTCAAAGATGAGATAACCAAGATGCAAAATCCTAAAATCCTCCATTAAGCACCTACCAGCTGCAGAGGCCCTGCTGGGGCCCTGAGGGAGATGTGTGTGGCAGACTGCAGGCCAAGTAAGTCCTTCTTTAAGGCTGGTGTCATGAGAATTACTCAATGCCGCCTCCTGCTGGGGAAGGACACTTCACCCCTTTTATGGAAGCCCAACGGGAAGGACTCATGGGACAGGGCAGGCTGCCCTGTCTCTTTTTTAGGCAGTCACTGCAATCACACATGCTCACTAATCCAGTTCACTAAGGTACGAAGCCACAATAAAGTTTGGAGCCAAAACTGTAGATATAAAGAGAGTTCCTTTATCTGGAATGGCCTCGATTTTTGAATAAGGAGTTTTTTGTTGTTGTTTTGTTTTGTTTTGTTTTGTTTTTGAGACAGAGTTTCACTCTTTTGCCCAGGCCGGAGTGAAGTGGCAAGATCTCTGCTCACTGCAGCCTCCGCCTCCCGGGTTCAAGCAATTCTCCTGCCTCAGCCTCCTGAGTAGCTGGGATTACAGGCGCCTGCCACCACGCCTGGCTAATTTTTGTACTTTTAGTAGAGATGGGGTTTCGCCATGATGGCTAGGCTGGTCTCGAACTCCTGCCCTCACGTGATCCGCCGGCCTCGGCCTCCCAAAATGCTGGGATTACAGACGTGAGCCACCAAGCCCATCCATAAGGTTATATTTTTTAATGTCCTGCCTCCTCCTCTTTTTTTTTCTTCTCTTTTTGTTTTCAAATAACTAAAGATGCACAGAAAGTTGCAAAATTAGTACCGAGATGTCCTGTGCACTCTTCACGCATCTTCCCCAGTGGTAAGCTCTTACATACTACAGTACATTATCAGAACAAGCAATTGATGCATATTTTCTCAATGCATTGCAGTAGGTGGATTTGGTACTTGAGACCCTCAACAATCTCTTTCCGCATATCATGACTAACAGTATAGGCTCATGGTTTTTAAAGGACTGCCCTTTGAAGGAACTGGATGGAATTTTGTTTGCAAAGAGCTGAGAATCACTGGAGAGGCAATAAATGGAAATGTTCCTGTAGATTGTCACTATAGAGAGCAGGGCTGATGGATGTCAAAGGATATCCAGGGATATAAGCCCTCAGCAGGGAGGAGAGCAAAAAGGCCAGTGTGGTTGGTTATTGGAGAAGTTATTTGGATAGTTTTTAATTAGAGACATCTCTTGCATGAATGGATTTCCTAATGAAATCAAATTTTGATTGTGGAAAGCATAATTAACATGTAGGAAACATCAGTATATTCTAGGACCTGAGAGTAAAGGATGAAGTCCCTTTTAGAGAGATACACTGTTCTCTTTTAGGAAGATGGGCATAGAAGTGCAGGAAGTCAACTAGACGTGTTAAAATATAAATTTTTGGCTGCTTGTAACAGAGACACAAATGCCACTGGTTTAAATTAGGTAGAAAATGTTTTCCCACCCTTGGATCCAAGCACATGAGGACCCTGCCCGGGCTCCATGATCTAGAGGGACCTGCTCTATCATTCCCCCAACTTATAGGACAAAAAGTCCGAGAAGCCAAAGGGATAGACCTACCCATGGAGGTTGCATCTCTTCTACAAGTACTACAGTCTAGGTACTTGGAACCCCTGAATTCCTGGCACTAATGGCCCCCAAGCCTGCTTCCAAGTTTGCATGGGCCTCCTCCTGGGGCCATCGTCCCAGGGGTTATGCCTCGCTGCTGTCGTGCATGCTCTGAGACCCCAAAATGTGGCTGTTTTCAGAGAAGGATATGGGTCTGGAGATTTTAGGGACTTGAATTTTCAGGAAAAGAAAGTAGGGCAGATGCAGGTAGAGGACCCAGAGCTAGTTTTCCTCACTCAGCCATATTCTGCCATGGAACCTAGGGGAGTCTCAGAATTCTAAATTCCAGCCTGGCTGTCCTAGCCTGGATTCCCCAGAAAACAGATTCTCAGATAGATTTATCTGCAGAAGTTTTATTGGGGAACAATCTTGGGACAAACACCTTTAAAAGCTGAGAGAAACGGGACAGGGAAAGGGAGCAGTTGAACTGTAATGAAGCCGTAAAGAGTACTGAGCTGATCTCATGGGTTGTGGAGGCCTCTGGCACTGGAAAAGTCCTTTAAATTTGGCCAAACTCGGCCGGGCGCGGTGACTCACGCCTGTAATCCCAGCACTTTGGGAGGCCGAGTGGGGGAGGATTATCTGAGGTCAGCAGTTCAAGACCAGCCTAGTTAACATGGTGAAACCCCGTTTCTACTAAAAATACAAAAAATTAGCCGGGCATGGTGGCATGCGCCTGTAATCCCAGCTACTCAGGAGGCTGAGGCTGGAGAATCACTTGAACCCAGGAGGCGGAGGTTGCAGTGAGCAGAGATTGTGCCATTGCACTCCAGCTCGGGCAACAAGAGCGAAAGTCCATCTCAAACAAACAAACAAACAAACAAACAAAAAGGTGGCCAAACTTGAAGCAAGGTAACCAGGACTTTGTATGTTCTTATCTTATCTATCAGTCATTGGATGTGGCTGCCCCCAGGGAGGGGAGGTGTAACCTTGGGCAAGACAGCTCTTTTCAGCTAAGGGCAATTCCCAGAGACAGAGCTGTCACAACCAACACCCCTGGCAGCTGGGGAATAAGTGACAATGTTGAAGGTAGGATTTGGGTGGCACACAACAGTATCTGCTACACTAGACTTCAAGATCAGTATGAAGGTATATTTATCAAGACAAAAGCTGGAACATGTTTTATTCAATAATTTATTTGTTTGACTTATAACAATAAACCATCTCTAACACACATTTCCCTTCCTGATATCAGACAGCTGCTCTGAGGGATACCCGAGACCCACATTCAGGAAGTAAGATAGATATCAGCCTGGACTGCTGAATAGATGCCCTGTGATTTATCTTCAGACATGACTCAGTGGAAATGCAGTTGACTCCATTCTAAAACCTCTCTTGAGAATATTTCCAGGCCCAGTCAACTTATCTTGGTCTCACTATAAGGAAAGGAACTGAGATCAGCTGCACCCTGAGAGGCTAAGATCCTGATAGGGAGCAGGTGAAATCAGGTTGGAAAATAGACAAGACAAAGGCAGGCAGATGTAAGAGGTATTCAAAAGCCCAGTTGTGCTCTATTTTTGCCTTCCACGAGGAATCTTACGGGGAGCTTCCACATTACCCGGTTATTGGTCACGGCGGTGAGTTAAGGCTGTTTTATTGAATGAAATCATCAACCCCCCTCCTTTTCCTGCTAAAACGCAATCTGTTTCCAAGACTTTCCTAATGTAGAGTGATTTTATTGAGCCTAGACCATGGATTTCCCATCTGATAACTCTTTAAGAGGGATGAGATAGAACATAATGTGAGAAAATAACATTGTTCCAAGATTTGTAAATGCTAATAATTGTTGAAGTCCCATGGTAGGTAAATAGAGGTATTTTCTTTATTTTTGTGTAAGTTTGAAAATTTCCATAATAAAAAGTGTTATAAATTGTCTTAGCAGGTCACATAACTAATAATAAAGGTAAAATTTTTGTTGGTCTTAATGAGAGAGAATTTGGAAAGTGGAGATAAGCGGGGCTTTGGAGCTCCTAAACTATTCGGGCTGTGTTTTGACTCAGCGAGCTCAAAGTGGGAGGGCAGGAGAGCTCGCTTTTTAAAAGATCGACAGCGCCATCTACCGGTAAGAGCGCCCAACTCCCTTGCTAAGGATGATATCATTATGCTAGGGTGATAGTAGCAAGCCTCATTGTTAGTCACCTAAGAAGTTAAGACAATAAGAAATCATTCAAAAAATAAAATGGTGGCAGGACGAGGTGGCTCACGCCTGTAATCCCAGCATTTTGGGAGGCCGAGAGGGGAGGATCGCTTGAGCCCAGGAGTTTGAGACCAGCCTGGGCAACATAGTGAGGTCCAAATCGCTACCAAAAAAAAAAAAAAAAAAAAGAGAAAAAAAAAAGAAAGGCGTTAAAATTAATTTAAAGATACACAATAATGAAAATATTACAAAGTACTATTATTCAGCCATAAAAAAGAAATTACATTCTATTTATTTATTTTATTTTATTTTATTTTGCAGACAGAGTCTTGCTCTGTCACCCAGGCTGGAGCGCAGTGGCGCAATCTTGGCTCACTGCAACGTCCGCCTCCCCGGTTCAAGGGTTTCTCCTGTCTCAGCCTCCTGAGTAGCTGGGATTACAGGCACGCGCCATCACGCCCAGCTAATTTTTGTATTTTTTTTAGTAGAGACGGGGTTTCACCATGCTGGCCAGGCGGGTCTCCAACTCCTGACCTCAGGTGATCTGCCAGCCTCGGCCTCCCAAAGTGCTGGGATTACAGGCATGAGCCACCGCGCCCAGCAGAAATTACATTCTGATACATGCTACAACATGGATGAACATTGAAAAAATTATGTAAAATGAAATAAGCCAGACACAAAAGGACAAATATTGTATGATTTCACTTACGTTAGATATTTAAAATGGGGAAATCTGGTTTGCCAGCACAGCAGGAAAAAAAATAAATAAAAGTAAAATACAAAAATCATAGAGGTGAAAAGTCAATTTGGCCAGGTGCCGTGGCTCATGCCTGTAATCCCAGCACTCTGAGAGGCTGAGGCAGGAGAACTGTTTGAGGCCAAGAGTTCGAGACCAACCTGGGCAACATGGTGAGACACCCACCCCCACCACCTCTAAAAAAAAAAAAAAGAAAAGAAAATAAGTCGATTAGAGGTTACCAGGGGCTGGGCGGAAAGGAGAATGGGGAGTTATTGCTTAATGGGTAATGAGTTTCTGTTTGGAGTAATGAAAAAAATTTGGAAACAGATAGTGGTTGACAGCTGCACAACAACGTCAAATGTAATTAATGCCAATGAATTATACATTTAAAATGGTTAGGCTGGGTGCAGTGGCTCAGGCCTGTAATCCCAGCACTTTGGGAGGCCGAGGTGGGAGGATCACCTGAGGTCAGGAGTTCAAGACCAGCCTGGCCAACATGGTGAAACCCCATCTGTACTAAAAATACAAAAATTAGCCAGGCATAGTGGCAGGCACCTGTAATCCCAGCTACTCAGGAGTCTGAGGCAGGAGAATTGCTTGAACCTAGGAGGTGGAGGTTGCAGTGAGCCGAGATCGTGCCACTGTACTCAAGCGTGGGCAACAGAACGAGACTCCGTCTTGAGAAAATAAAATAAAATAAAATAAAATAAAATGGTTAAATGGGAAATCTTACCTTATATACATTTTCATATATATAACATACACACACACACACACACACACACATATATATACACACACACCACACACACATACAAGTATGAGCCACCACACCTGGCTAAATTGACTTTTCACCTCTATGATTTTCCTATTTTATTTTTATTTATTTTTTTCCCTGCTGTGCTGACAAACCAGATTTCCCCATTTTAAATATCTGATGTAAGTGAAATCATGCAATATTTGTCCTTTTGTTTCTGGCTCATTTCATTTTGCATAATTTTTTTTCAATATTCATCCATGTTGTAGCATGTATCAGAATGTAATTCCTCGTTTATAGCTGAATTATATATATGTTTATTTTTACCACAGTAAAAGAAATTTTAGGCCAGGCATGGTGGCTCATGCCTATAATCCCAGCACTTTGGGAGGCCAAGGCAGGTGGATCACTTGAGCTCAGGAGTTTGAGACCAACCTGGGCAACATGGCGAAACCCTGTCTGTACTAAAAATACAAAAATTAGCCGGGCGTGTTGGTGCACGTATCCATTTCAGCTACTTGGGAGGCTGAGGTGGGAGGATCGTTTGAGCCAGCGAAGTCCAGGCTGCAGTGAGCTGTGATTGTGCCACTGCACTCCAGCCTGGGTGATAGAGCCAGACCTTGTCTCATAATAATAATAATAATGATTAATTAATTTAATTAATTATTTTTTTAAATTTTTTATTTTTTGAGGCGCAGTTTCAGTCTTGTTGCCCAGGCTGGAGTACAATGGCATGATCTCGGCTCACCACAACCTCCGCCTCCCAGGTTCAAGTGGTTGTCCTGCCTCAGCCTCCCTAGTAGCTGGTATTACAGGCATGTGTCACCACACCCGGCTAATTTTTGTATTTTTAGTAGAGACAGGGTTTCTCCAGGTTGGTCAGGCTGGTCTCGAACTCCTGACCTCTGGTGATCTGCCCACCTCGGCCTCCCAAAGTGCTGGGATTACAGGTGTGAGCCACTGCACCTGGCTAAAAAAAGAAATTTGTAATGAAATTGACTTCAAAATAATTTAAAAGTTAAGAAAAAAACCACATTACACAAATATGATATAAACTTAAAAGAATGACATAAAAAAAAACACACAAGAGCAAAAAAGGACGCAATGAAATATGGAAACTAGTGAATGGAAACAGTGAAATGACAAAATAACTAAATAAACTAGTAGCAAGATACCTGAAAGGAAAAGTTGACTGCCAATCAAAATACGTTGCTGGGTGACCAAGAAATCAAAGTTAAGAGAGGTAGATATTTTAGGAGTATTTCATCCAGGTCATAGTAAAACCCAGTCCAGGAATAAAACATTGTATGTATCTATACCAGCCTTGTTTTAAACAAAATCTAAAATAGCTTAAACACAATACAACAGAATTAAAAATTACAACTAAGGCTGAGCCTGGTGGTGCCTGCCTGTAACCCCACCTACTCTGGAGGCTGAGGCAGGAGGATTGCTTGAGGCCAGGAGTTTGAGACTGCCCAGCCTGGACAACATAGCCAGATCTCATCTCTAAAAAAGCAATAAAATGAATTAGCCAGGCTGTTGGGGCACATGCCTATAGTCCTAGCTACTTCCTCAGAAGGCTGAGGCTGGAGGATCACTTGAGCCCAGGAGTTTGAAGCTGCAGTGAGCTATGAGTGAGACCCCAAAATCTCTAAGAAAAAGAAAGAAAAATACGAAGGCAAGTAAAGAGTTAGAAAAATCAGATAAAACCAGTAAGATTAGTATAAACATCATGCTGTGCTGGGGGTGGGGGTCGCAGGTTTGGAACTGAGCTCTCTAGAAGCCAATTCAAAGAGGGAAACACAATCATCACATGGCTTCCAGTGTCCAAAGTCTCAGAAGTAGTGAGACAGCCAGGTGGGAGGGGTTCCCTGGAGAAATGCCAACCAGCCTGCCCACTGAGGTGGAGCCTCAGGAAGTTTGTGCCCTTTGCAGCGGGGAGCAGCCTGGCCCCTCTTCTTAGTGTGTGGATCCTGGGATTTGAATGGCGGGTGGGAAGCGCTCTAGTAGGGACTCTGGCCTAGCGACAGTCCCTGTTTCTCCGTTTTCTTCCTTTTCATCCAATAAAACCCATCTCATTCACCATTCAGATTGTCTGCGAGCCTGAATTTTCGTGGCTGTGGGACAAAGAACCCGTCTTTAGCTGAACTAAGGAAAAGTCCCGCAATAGTAACACAACTAATCCTTTCCCTGAGACCAGGAAGCAGTTTTCTTCTGGTCTCCCTTGACCAGAAGGGGTGTGATAAAGTGAACAACGTCTCAACCACACCACTACCATAAATACAAGTTTTCATAGGATTTATTCATTTCTTCGGTGTTCCTGTTACAGCTGGTGGCACCATGTTCCGGCAGAATCAGTCAGATCAGTGCAGTCCCATGCTGTGTGTCCATGCCACTGGTCTGGCTTAATTCAGGGATGAATTCTAGTGTACATGAAACAGACGGCACACATATTCTTCCATCAAACTGACAGAAGAAGTCTCTCTCCACCCATCTTTTGATATGTAGAGCATGACTGTGAGTTCAGTGTTATTATACACTTGATGTCACAGCCATTTTGAAGCTGCTGATTAAAAGTAGGTTATGGCTGGGCGTGGTGGCTCATGCCTGCAATCTCTTAGGGAGGCTGAGGTGGGAGAATCACTTGAGCCCAGGAGATCAGCCTGGGTAACATACCAGACCCTGTCTCTATTAAAGAAAATTAAGAAAATAAAATTAAAATAGGTTACAACAGAATACTCATGGCCAGAACATACCTGTCTTCATGTTCCCCTGCAGGGAACAATGACTAAACAGCTCATGATTCTTGTCCCTTGAGCCCCGCTTTTCTAGATTCCATAAAGGCCACCCTCTTCTGCATCCACATTCTTTCTTCAGTTGGCGCCTAGTACCATGGATTTGATTTTTGCTTCCTTAGGTCTAGTCTTTATCCATGCATACTTCCCCTTGGCTCCCTTTGATTGGATTTATTTACTCCCCAATTTCCTTAGCACCATCTACAGTGTCTTTTCCAGTTAGTGCCTCTCATTCACTGTGCACAGACTCCCCACAACTTTCATTCGTAGGTGATTAACTTTCATGTAATGTCCTAGGAAACCCTTTACTAGCTGTGTGACTTTAGGCAAATTACTTAACCTCTCTGAGCCATATTTTCATCATTTATAAAGCTCATAATGCCTACCTTGGAAGGATGTTTGGAATTAAAGTAAGTTAGAGGCTGGGTGCAGTGGCTCACACCTGTAATCCTAGCACTTTTGGAGGCCAAGGTGGTCAGATCACCTGAGATCAGTAGTTCTAGACCAGCCTGGTCAACATGGTGAGACCCCCGTCTCTTCTAAAAATACAAAAATTAGGCTGGGCACGGTGGCTTACACCTGTAATCCCAACATTTTGGGAGGCTGAGGTGGGCTGATCACCTGAAGTCAGGAGTTCAAGACCAGCCTGGCCAGCATGGTGAAACCCCATCTCTACCAAAAATACAAAAATTAGTTGGGCATGATGGCGGGTGCCTGTAATCCCAGCTATGCAGGAGTCTGAGGCAGGAGAATCGCTTGAACTTGGGAGGCGTATGTTGCAGTGAGCCGAGATCGCACCACTGCACTCTAGACTAGGTGACAGAGCGAGTCTCAAAAAAAAAAAAAAAAAAAATTAGCCGGGGGCGTATTCCCAGCTACTCAGGAGGCTAAGGCAGGAGAATCCTTTGAAGCCAGCAGGTGGAGGTTGCAGTCAGCCAAGATCGTGCCACTGCACTCCAGCCTGGGGGACAGAGTGACACTCTGTCACTCAAAAAATAACATAAAATAAATTATAATAATAATGGTAACAACAGCAAATTGTTATTGAGTTCTTATCGTGCCAGACACGATGCTAAGAATTTCGTATACAAATATTTGGTTGAGTCATCTCAACAAGCCTATCACATGGGAACTCTGACTATCCCCACTTTACAGATAAGGAAGATGAGGCTTAGAGAGCTTAGTGCTGGGCCCATTAGTTACAGTAGTTATAATTATTCAATGTCCTTCAATGTCATGAGAAAGTCACCATCAGCCTGGGAGTTCAGTGGGAGGGTCAGGAAAGACTTGAACAATGAGTTGTTTGCAGATGAATGGGCTTTTGTGTTTGTTTTGTTTTTATTATAAACCCAGTACTATACAGGTCTTTGTAAAAGTACAAAGTACAAAGTTGAAAAGTCCTGAAAAGCTTCTACCACCAAGGAATAACCGCCGAAATAATATCTCATCAGAACTTTCTCCATGAATACACTTTTTAAAAATTATCACCAGCAGTTTCATGGAACACGAATACTCTGTTTAAAAAAGAGATAAGCTTTTATGTCTATATTACTTTATTTTTTCTGAGTACTATTTTTTCCCCTGATTTTCACCGAAAGGGTTGCTCTCTATGTTGTTGTTTCAGCCCTTCCAGTAGTTTAAAACATGCATCTTTAGTTCTAGTCTAATTCATGATTTCCCTTACATCTATTTAAAGTTATAATTTTATTTAACATCAAAGGTTATTCAGTAGCTTTAGTCTTTCCCCTGAACCAAACACATTTATTTATTTATTTATTTATTTATTTATTTTTGGAATTGGAGTCTCACTCTGTCACCCAGGCTGGAGTGCAGTAGTGCGATCTCAGCTCACTGCAACCTCTGCCTCTGGGGTTCAAGTGATTCTTGTGCCTCAGCTTTCCGAGTAGCTAGGATTACAGTTGCCCGCCACTACGCCCAGCTAATTTTTATATTTTTAGTAGAGATGGGGTTTTGCCATATTGACCAGGCTGGTCTTGAATTCCTGATCTCAAGTGATCCGCCCGCCTCGGCCTCCCAAAGTGCTGGGATTACAGCCATGAGCCACTGCGTCTGGCCACCAAATACATTTTAACTTCTTTCCTCTTTCCATTCCTCTTACTGTACCCTTCTAGGATTCCCTGGGTTTTGTTAAAAGCTTCTGGAACTGGAATGTAGCAAATGAATGTTCCATTTAACAGGCAGAGAAAGAGGAGGTGGGCAAATCACAGAACCAAAGTGCAGAGTGGTGAAGAGCTCCAGTTGCATGCAGGGTGGGGTGGCTGCCAGGGCCCTGGTGCCTTCAGTCATTAGTTCTGCAAATGTTCATGAGTTCCACCAGTGGTGTCTGCCCAGCAGAGAGCAGGAGCAGGGGTGAGGGTGAGGACAAGAGACAGACAGAGCCTGGAGGGGCAGTCAGCTGCACAGGAACGACCTTCTGTGCAAGCTGCAGGCTCTGCACCCAGCCAGTACCTGAGCAGGGTAGAGGTCTGATGAACTGACTTATAGGATGGGCTGGAGGACGCAGAGCCTGTGGGTATGAGGCCAGTTAGGAGAGTGCTGTCACCACCCAGGCAGGAGGCCATGAACATCCCCATATGAGAAAGAAGGGCATAAACAGGAAACAAATTTAACAATTAAATAAAAGCACCTCCCTCATGCAGGAAACTCGCCCTGTGCCAGGCCCTGCAGAACCATCTGCAGAGTCATTTCCTCTCTTGGCAACTTGGCAGCCCCTAGCAAACACAATGCATCTTGGCTTGCCATCAGTGCAACCCTTGTTCTTCAGATACAGGTAAAACGCCAAATCCCTAAGAAGGCCTAGAAGGCTCTGCAGTGTCAGCACCAGCACCCCCACCCCTTGGCCCCTCTCTGTGGTCACTTTCTTGGGTCCTGCAGATGCTCCAGGCTCCACTCAAATTCTATTGGATTAAGGCTCACCCTAATGACCTCATTTTAACTTGATGACCTCTATAAAGACCCTATTTCCTAATCAGATCACATTCTGAGGTACCAGGGATTAAGATTTCAGCGTATCTTTTGGGGGTGGGGGACACATGGTCACATCCTGAATGACTATAGCTCAAACAGGTCTTTGTTAGGTGAAAATAACAGGTGGAAAAATCACTGAGCACTTCACCTTATCTCAAACTTATGACTTCAAAATCTCTACAGTGGACTGGTTTCCCAGCTGACCTCACCTTACGTGGAGTGTTGCCCAATTCACACTCTCCAGCCTTCCCCACACTGACTTTAACTTCCACATATTCCTTCACTTCATTCCTGCATAAACCTGGGTATGGTCCCTTCATTGTCTCTCAGTGATGTGGAAAGTTTTCATGATGAGTCTACCCTGCTCTCTCTAATGCAAGTAGGATACAACAAACAGCATGTTAAGTTAGCAAATTTGACATTAACGTCTATCTTAAAAAGTGGCCAACTATGGGCCAGGCACAGTGGATCACACTTGTAATCCCAGCATTTTGGGAGGCTGAGATGGGCAGATGGCTTCAGCCCAGGAGTTTGAGACCAGCCTGGGCAACATGGCGAAACCCTGTCTCTATTAAAAAAAAAAAAAAAAAAAATTAGCCAGGCATGGTGGTGCACTTGTAGTCCTAGCTACTTGGGAGGCTGAGGTGGGAGGATTGCTTGAGCCTGGGAGGTTGAGGTTGCACTAAGCCAAGATGGCACCACTGCACTCCAGCCTGGCAACACAGCAAGACTCTGTCTCAAACAAACAAACAAACAAACAAAAAAGTGGCCAACAGAGGAGGTAGTAGTTTTGTCACTAGCTGTCATGTGGAACCCCAGGACCTAGCCTTTGGTTTCAAATACTGTTTTTCATTTATAGAAACTAGGACCCCTTAGAATGCAAGGCTTAGGTGACAACTGATTCCATGTCTCAGAGAAGGAAAGAATCAGGACAGGACTTGAATGTTCTGTTGTTGCCATAGAGCAAGGATGACTTCAAGAATGTGAAGGACAGGCTGGGCACGTGGCTCATGCCTGTAATCCCAGCACTTTGGGAGGCCAAGACGGACAGATCACTTGAGCAGAGGGGTTCAAGACCAGCCTGGGCAACGTGGCGAAACCCCATCTCTACAAAAAATACAAAAAGTAGCTGGGCATGGTGATGCATGCCTGTAGTCCCAGCTATGTGGGAGGCTGAAATGGGAGGATCATCTGATGCTGGGAAGGTCAAGACTGCAGTGAGCTGTGACTGTGCCACTCCAACCTGGGCAACAGTGAGACCCTGTCGCAAAAAAGAAAGAAAAGAAAGAAAGAGAGAGAGAGAGAAGGAAGGAAGGAAAGAAGGAAGGAAGGAGGGAAGGAAGGAAGGAAAGTAAGTCAAGGACAGTGCTTAAAAAGACAAAGGAGCCAATTTCAAAGAGCTCCCATTGTTCAAGTTGACAGTCGGGCATGAAAGAAAGAAGATGGGGGGAGGAATGATAATTATGGTTAATTGAAGTAAATTGAATCTGTGGCAGGCCATGAAATCACGATAATAACAGATAAAAATTCACATAAAGGGCACAAAAGATGACTGTAATAGAGAAGAATTGAGTTTTAAAATTTTATTTTAATAAAAAGGGAACTATTCATTTTGTCTCTTCTATTAATTATGTGTCTGTTTATAAAGCAAAGATAGGTGCTTGCTTTTGTCTGTGTAAGCAGAAAACCCACAGAGAATGCTGAGAAAGCCAAGTAGCCCTGTTATAGTAGGCAGCTAGTCAGGCACGAGCAGAGCAGGAGAGGGCTTCCTACCACACACACCCACCAGGAATGCCAGGCGAGCATCAGGTGATGGCCAGGCGGTTATTAACTGTTTCTCTAAAATAATAACTGGTAGCAGCTGGCGCCAGGGACAGGCAGATCCCAATAGATAGAAAAAACCTGAAACTGGTGATCAGCAGCTTCCTGATAAGATCTCAGGAGTTGGGCGAGTGGACTCAAGCATGCTCACTAAGAGGCAAAACTGTGGAGTTTAACTGGTGTATGTCCTTCCTCTACGAATTTTAGACTGGCAAGGGAAGAACGCCTCAAGTGAGCATGCGTACAACTCCAGTAAACACACTGTGCATGCCGCCCTTTCCAAGGGCTAGCAGACCACTGCACATATGGACAGCCCAGCCCAAGGGAAGAATCAAGGGAGAAGGAACACCAAGACCCCCGAAGCATGCAATGTATAAAACCTCAAGTCAGGCCGGGTGCAGTGGCACACCTGTAATCCCAGCACTTTGGGAGGCCAAGGTGGGCAGATCACCTGAGATTAGGAGTTTGAGATCAGCCTGGCCAACATGGTGAAACCCCGTCTCTACTAAAAATACAAAAATTAGCCAGGCTTGGTGGTGCACACCTGTAATCCCAGCTACTTGGGAGGCTGAGGCAGGAGAATCGCTTGAACCCGGGAGGCGGAGGTTGCAGTGAGCCAAGATTGCACCACTGTACTCCAGCCTGGGTGACAGGGAGAGACTCCATCTCAAAAAAAAAAAAAACAAACAAAAAAAGACCCAAGTCAAAAGATCAAACCACATACTTGATCTCTAAAGTCGTCCACTTGGCCCTCTTCCAAATGTACTTTCCTTCCTGCTCTAAAGCCTTTTAATAAACTTTCACTCCTGCTCTAAAACTTGCCTCGTTGTCTCCTGCCTTATGCCCCTCAGTCAAATTCTTTCTTCTGAGGAGGTAAGAATTGAGGTTGCTGCAGACACCTACGGATTCACCGCCAGTAACAGCCCTGCTGTAAGTATGAATGTTAGCAGAAATAAGAACGTCTGACATGAGATGATGTCAGAGGCAATAATGAAAGAGAAGGGAGTTTCAATAGTAGGTACCAAGACAATAAATTAACCAAAAATATCACTAAAAAGAAGAGCTAACCAAGTCAACCCAATTCTTCATCTTCTAGAATATTGAATATTTAAATTGCCCTACTAGTTATAATAAAATACAAATAAGATATGCATAAGATTTAATACTGCTAACAGATCAAGTCAGTATATCATAATGAGAGAAAAATTCATTATGTAATAATGGTCAAGAGATTATTGAAGTGTGTTATATTAGGGGGAGAAAATATGTTGTGAGATTCTTGTTTGTTTTTTTGTTTTTGTTTTTTGATACGAAGTCTCGCTCTGTCACCCAGGTTGGAGTGCAATGGAGTGATCTCGGCTCACTGCAACCTCCGCCTCCTGGGTTCAAGCGATTCTCATGCCTCAACCTTCCGACTAGCTGGGATTACAGGCATGTGCCACCACGCCCGGCTAATTTTTGTTTTTTCAGTAGAGACAGGGTTTTGCCATGTTGGCCGGACTGGTCTTGAACTCCTGACCTCAGGTGATCCATTCTCCTCAGCCTACCAAAGTGCTGGGATTACAGGTGTGAGCCACCGTGCTTGGCCCGCAAAATTCTAAAATTTATGTAAAAGATGTGTACCTAACTAAAAGCAGTTATATTCCTCAGTGAGATATAATTTCACACCCACTAGGCTGGCTATAGTAAAAAGAGAGATAATAAGTGTTGGCAAGGGTGTGGAAAAATTGGCACTCTCATGCACAGCTGTTGGACAGTGAAATGGTACAGCACTTTGGAAAATAGTCTGACCATTCCTCCAAAGGTTGAACATGGAGTTACTGTATGACTCAGCAATCCTACTTCTAGGTTTATAGCCCAGAAAAATGAAAATCTATGTCTACACAAGAACTTGTTCACAAATGTTCATAGCAGCATTATTCATAATAGCCAAACAACAACGACAACAACAACAACAATAAAAAATGGAAATGGCCTAAATGTCCCTCAACGGATGAATGGAAAATAAAATGTGATATATACAGCCATACGCTAGAATAAAAATGAATTTGAAAATAAAAAGAAATAAAGTACTGATATGTGCTACAACATGGATGAACCTTGAACACATTGTGCTAAATGAAAGAAGCCAGTCAAAACGACACCATGTTGTATTATTCCATTTATATGAAATGTACAGAATAGGTAAGTCCTTAGAGACAAAAAGTAGATGAGTGGCTGCTTAGGGCTGGGGTGGAGTAGGGGAGGGTTAGGAGATTGGGAGTGACTGCTCATGGGTTTGGGCTTTCTTTTGGGGTTGATGAAAATGTTCTGAAATTGATTATGGTGTTGGTTTTGTAACTCCATGAGTATACTAAAAACTACTCCCTGGTTTTGTACATTTATTTATTTTTATTTCATTTTATTATTATTTATTTATTTATTTATTTATTTATTTTGAGACAGAGTTTCTCTCTTGTCGCCCAGGCTGGAGTGCAATGGCACAATCTTGGCTCACCGCAACCTTCCGCCTCCTGGCTTCAAGCGATTCTCCTGCCTCAGCCTCCCAAGTAGCTGGGACTATAGGCATGCACCACCACGCCCGGCTAATTTTGTATTTTTAGTAGAGATGGGGTTTCTGCATGTTGGTCAGACTGGTCTTGAACTCCCAACCTCAGGTGATCCGCCTGCCTCAGCCTCCCAAAGTGCTGGGATTACAGGAGTGAGCCACCACGCCCGGCCTCATTTTATTATTTTATTAATGATTTTTTAATTTTGTGTGTACGTTGTAGGTATATATGTTTATGGGGTACATGAGATATTTTGGTGCAGGCATGCAGTGTGTCATAATCACATCATGGAAAATTGGGTATCCATCCTTTCAAGTATTTATCCTTTGTGTTACAAACAATGCAATTATACTCTTGTAGTTATTTTTAAATGTACAATTAAGTTATTATCAGCTGGGCGCAGTGGCTCATGCCTATACTCCTAACACTTTGAGAGGCCGAGGCGGGCGGATCACCTGAGGTCCGGAGTTTGAGACTAGCCTGGCCAACATGGTGAAACCCCATCATTCCAAAAAATACAAAAATTAGCCAGGGGTGTTGGTGCATGCCTGTAATCCCAGCTACCCGGGAGGCTGAGGCAGGAGAATCACTGGAGCCCAGGAGGTGGAGGCTGCAGTAAGCTGAGAAGGTGCCACTATACTCCAGCCTGGGCAACAGAGGGAGATTCCATCCGAAAAAAAAGAAAAAAAAAGTTATTATTGACTGTAGTCCTCCTGTTGTGCTATCAAATACCAGGTCTTATTCATGCTTTCTAACTATTTTTTTTGTCCCATTAACCATCCCCACGTGTCCCCCATAGCTCTACTCTTCCCAGCCTTTGGTAACCATCCTTCTACTGTCTCTGTCCATGAGTTCAATTGTTTTGATTTTAGATCCCACAAATAAGTGAGAACATGTGATGTTTGTCTTTCTATGCCTGGCTTATTTCATCTAACATAATGACCTCCAATTCCATCCATATTGTTGCAAATGACAAGATACCATTCTTTTTATGGCTGAATAGTACTCCATTATGTATATGTACATTTTCTTTATCCATTCATCTGTTGATGGACACTTTAGTTGCTTCCAAATCTTGGCTATTATGAACAGTGCTGCAGTAAACTATAGTTATTATTTTCTATTGGTTCATCATTTAGTCTTTCTACTTTAAGACAGGAGTAGTTTACCTACCACCATTAAATTATTATACTATTCTGTGTTTTTCTGTGTACTTGCTATTACCAGTGAGTTTTGTAATGAGATTTATTCTCATTCATTAACATCCTTTTCTTTCAGATTAAAGAGCTCCCTTTAGCATTTCTTGTCAGACAGGTCTGGTGTTGATGAAATCCCTCAGCTTTTGTTTGTCTGGAAAAGTCTTTATTTCTCCTTTATGCTTGAAGGATATTTTCACTGGATATACTATTGTAGGGTAAAAGTTTTTTTCCTTCAGCACTTGAAATATGTCATGCCACTGTCTCCTGGCCTGTAAGGCTTCCACTGAAAAATCTGCTGCCAGACTTATTGACGCTTTGGGAGTTTGATCATTAAATGCCTTGAGGTAGTCTTTGAGTTTAATCTGCCTGGCATTCTATAACCTTCTTTTATTTGAATGTTGATATCTTTCCATAGGTTTGGGAAATTCTGTTATTTCTCTGAATAAACTTTCTATCTCTATGTCTTCTGTACCTCCTCTTTAAAGCCAATAACTCTTAGATTTGCCCTTTTGAGGCTGTTTTCTAGATCTCGTAGGCATGCTTCATTGTTTTTTATTATTTTTTCTTTTGTCTCCTCTGACTCTGTATTTTCAAGGAGCCTGTCTTCAGGCTCACTAATTCTTCTGCTTGATTAATTCTACAATTCAGAGATTCTGTCTTTTCTGAAAGATTAAAATAAATAAAATTTTAAAAAGGCTGGGCACAGTGGGTCACACCTGAAATCCAAGCACTTTGAAAGGCCAAGGCAGGCGGATCAACTGAGATCAGGAGTTCGAAACCAGCCTGGCCAACACAACAAAACCCTATCTCTACTAAAAATACAAAAATTAGCCAGGCGTGGTGGTGGGCATCTGTAATCCCAGCTACTCGGGAGGCGGAGGCAGGAGAACCTCTCGAACCCAGGAGACGGAGGTTGCAGTGAACTGAAATTGTGCCACTGCACTCCAGCCTGGGTAACAGAGTAAGACTCTGTCCCCCCCACAAAAAAAAAAAGAAAGAAAGAAAAGGAAAAAGGAAAAAGAAAAAAAATTTTCAAAAAAATATTCAAAAGAGTCGTACATTCTTCAGCATGTCCATTGTATTTTTCAACTATTGAATTTCTGCCTGATTCTTTTTAATTATTTCATTCTCCTTGTTAAATTTATCTGATAGAATTCTGAATTCTTTCTCTATGCTATCTTAATTTTTTTTTTTTGGAGATGGAGTCTCACTCTGTCACCCAAGCTGGAGTGCGGTAGCGTGATCTCGGCTCACTGCAACCCCTGCCTCCTGGGTTCAAGCGATTCTCCTGCCTCAGCCTCCTGAGTAGCTGGGACTGCAGGCACGTGCCACCACGCCCAGCTAATTTTTTGTATTTTTAGTAGAAATGGGGTTTCACCATGTTAGCCAGGATGGTCTCGATCCCGATCTCGCGATCCGCCCTCCTCAGCCTCCCAAAGTGCTGGGATTTCAGGCATGAGCCACCGTACCCGGCCCTTGAATTTCTTTTAGTTTCCTCAAAACATCTATTTTGAATGATCTATCTGAAAGATCATATATCTCTTTTTCTCCAGGATTGGTCCCTGATAGCCTATCTAGTTCATTTGATGAGGTCATGATGGTATTGATGCTTATAGGCGTTTGTCGGTATCTGGGCATTGAAGAGTTAGGTATTTATTGTAGCCTTCACAGCCCTGGGCTTGTTTGTGCCTGTCCTTCTTGGGAAACCCAATAATGCTGTGGTTTTGCAGACTCTTAGAAGTACTGCCTTGGTGGTCTTGGATAAGAGCTGGAAGAATTTTCTGGATTATCAGGCATAGACTCTTGTTCTTTTTGCTTACTTTCTCCCAAACATACAGTCTCTCTCTCTCTTGCTGAGCCACCTGGAGCTGGGGGTGTGGTGTCACAAGCACCCCTGTGGCCGTCACTGGGACTGCACTGGGTCAGATCTGAAGCCAGCACAGCACTGGGTCTTTGCCAGGGCCTTCCCTTCAGGGCAACAAGTTCCTCTAGGCTAAGAGCTTCTCCAGAGATGCTGTCTGGGAGCCAGGGATTGGAGTCAAAAACTTTGGTAATTTACCTGATGTTCTGTTCTACTGTGGCTAAGCGGGCGCTGACACCACAATACAAAGTCCCTCCCACTCATCCCTCCCCTTTCCTTAGGCAGAGGAGCCTCTCCCTATGGCAACCACCACCACCAGTCCACAGCAATTCTGCCAGTCCACCACCAATGTTCACTTAAAGCCCAAAGGTGGCCGGCTGTGGTGGCTCACGCCTGTAATCCCAGCACTTTGGGAGGCCGAGGCAGGTGGATCACTTGAGGTCAGGAGGTCAAGACCAGCCTGACCAACATGGTGAAACACTGTCTCTACTAAAAATACAAAAATTAGCCAGGTGTGGTGGTGGGTGCCTGTAAGCTCAGCTTCTTGGGAGGCTGAGGCAGGAGAACCTCTTGAACCCAGGAGACGGAGGTTACAGTGAGCCCAGATGGTACAACTGCACTCCAGTCAGGGTGACAGCAAGACTCCGTCTCGAAAAAATAAAAATAAAAATTAAAGCCCAAGAACTCTTCCATCAGCTTGTGGTGAATGTTGCCAAGCCTGGGACTTACCTTTCAGGGCAGCAGGCTCCCCTCTGGACCTGCCATGAGCCAGAGGGGCAGGTCCAGGACAGAATCTACACCTAGATTTGGGGACTCCAAGAGACTGCTTGTTGCTCTGCCCTACCATGGTTGAGCTGGTGCCTAAGGTACAAGACAAAGTCCCCTTTACTTTTCCCTCTGCTTTTCTCAAACTGCAGGAGTCTTTCACCATAGCCATCATAGCTGGGAATGTGCTGGGTCACTGCTGAAGACAGCATGTCTCAGAGTCTCACCCAAGGCCCACAGTGTACTACCTGGTTATTGCTGCTAGTTATGCAGGGCCCAGGGGCTCTTTAGTCAGCAGGTGATGAATCCTGCAAGTACTGGGCCCTTCTCTTCAAGGCAGCAGCTTCCCTTTTGGCCCAGGTATCTAAAAATGACATCTGGGAGTTGGGCCTGGAATGGGGGCCTCATGACTTGGCCCAGTGCCCTATCCTACTGTGGCTGAGCTGGTATCCAAGATGCAAGACCAAGTCCTCTTTACCCGTTGCTCATCTCTCCTTAAGCAGAGGGAAGGAGTCACTTTCGTTGCTAGGAGCTGCACTGCCTGGGATTGGAGAAGGGGTGGCACAAGCCCTCCCTTAGCCATACCGGCTGGTGTCTACCTAGGTCAAGTGCAACCCTAGTCCATTGGCTGTAAGTCCAGCCGAGCACTAGGAGTTGTCTAGGAATTGCAGTCCTTGGGTCCTAGACTGCCTTTTCTTTTTTTTCTTTTGTGGAAATATGGCCTCCTTATGTTGCCCAGGCTGGTCTCAGACTCCTGGGCTCAAGTGTCCCTCCTGCCTCAGCTTCCCCAAGTGCTGGGATTATAGGTGTGAGCCACCGCATCCAGCCTAGACTGCCTTTCAAGTTTACCTAGGACACCAGAGCACTTTGGCCCATGGTGGTGAGGCTTGCAGAGAAACTCAAGTTCCAACCACTGGGACAGGTGATTTCCCTCTGGCTAGGGCTGGCCCAGATGCCCCCCTCCACATGCAGGTGCCGGTCGATCCCAGCATGACTTTGCTCTCCGCTATGACAGTGCAGCAGTGAGTTCAATATAAAGTCCCCCACCCCATGCCCTCCCTCCCCAAAATGCAAAGACTCTCTTTCCACGCTGCAGGGACACTGCCAGGGAGGACGGAAGGGGCGTCACAATTCAAGACTGTCTCTCCTGCCCTCCTCAATGTTTCCTTTAGTGATATGAAGTTAAATCCAGTTACTGTGATTGCTCACCTGATTTTTGGTTCTTGTGATGATGCTTCTCTGTGTGCAGATAGTTGTTAAAAGTTAGTGTTCCAGGCTGGGCACAGTGGCTCATGCCTGTAATCCCAGCACTTTAGGAGGCTGAGGTGGGAGGATCATTTGAGGCCAGGAGTTCAAGATCAGTCTGAGCAACATAGTGGGACCCCATCTCTATAAAAATTTAAAAATTACCCAGGTGCAGTGGTGCAGGCCTGTTGTCCCAGCTACTTGGAAGGCTGAGGTGGGAGGACTCCTTGGGCTCAGGAGGTTGAGGCTGCAGTGAGCCCTGATGGTGCCACTCCACTTCAGCCTGGGTGATAGAGGAAGACTCTGTCTCCAAAAAATAAAAATAAAATAATAATAATAATTGCATTCGTAGGCCGGGTGCAGTGGCTCACACCTGTAATCTCAGCAGTTTGGGAGGCCAAGGTGGGTGGATGACCTGTGGTCAGGAGTTCAAAACCAGCCTGACCAACATGGTGAAACCCCATCTCTACTAAAAATAAAAAATTAGCCGGGCATGGTAGTGCACACCTGTAATCCCTGCTACTTGGGAGGCTGAGGCAGGAGAATTGCTTGAACCCGGAAGGCAGAGGTTGCAGTGAGCAGACATCGCGCCATTGCACTACAGCCTGGGCAACAAGAGCGAAAATCCATCTCAAAAAAAAAAACGCATTTGCTTCTTAGGGGGTTTCAGACATTTAAGAGAATCCTATGTATTAAATGCAAGATTTTTTTTTTTTTTTTAAGATGGAGTCTTGCTCTTGTCACCCAGGCTGGAGTGCAATGGCGCGATTTCGGCTCACTGCAACCTCTGCCTCCTGGGTTCAAGCGATTCTGCTGCCTCAGTCTCCTGAGTAGCTGGGATTATAGGCGCTTGCCACCATGCCCAGCTAATTTGTATATTTTTAGTAGAGACAGGGTTTCACCATGTTGGTCAGCCTGTTCTCGAACTCCTGACCTCAGGTGATCCACCCGCCTCGGCCTCCTAAAGTGCTGGGATTACAGGTATGAGCCACTGTGCCCAGCTAAATGAAAGATTTTAATTAAATGCTTAAATGAGTTTAAGTCTAAAATCAATATTTAGGCCGGGCGCAGTGGCTCACGCCTGTAATCCCAGCACTTTGGGAGGCTGAGGTGGGTGGATCACAAGGTCAGGAGATCGAGACCATCCTGGCTAACACGGTGAAACCCCATCTCTACTAAAAATACAGAAAAATTAGCCAAGCGTGGTGGTGGGCACCTGTAGTCCCAGCTACTCAGGAGGCTGAGGCAGGAGAATGGCGTGAACCTGGGAGGCAGAGGTTGCAGTGAGCCGAGATCACGCCACTGCACTCCAGCCTGGGTGACAGAGAAGACTCCGTCTCAAAAAAATAAATAAATAAATAAATAAATAAATAAATAAATAAAATCAATAATGTGTTTTAATCAGTTTGGATTATTAAATCCATAAATGTCTATGTATTAGTTGTGTACATAGTGTATAAATAGAAGAATATTATTTAATGCTTAAATGCTATTTGTTTAATAAATTCATAAGAGAAACAAAATTACATTAAGTAGAAATACCTTAATGACATTTAGACACTGAGAGGGTGTCCCAGGAAAAGAGAGGGGCACCTGAACTTGAAGGCTGGTGACAGATGTTTAAGGGGCCACTAACATACCAGATAGATTTTATCTTCCTAGACTCATCATCTTTGCACCTATTAATCATGAACAGAGTTAGTTCTCCTGAATTCATCATATGACAATGTCACAGTGGACAGAGAGACTCAAGAGAAGTGAGTTTTGACTGGGTGAGTCAAGAGGGATTATGGTCCTGAGTAGCCAGGGAGTGATTTAAGTACGGGATTCAGAGAAAGGAGGGACAGAGGAAGAGGTGCTAAAGAAACAACCCTCTGGCCGGGCGGGGTGGCTCACGCGTGTAATCCCAGCACTTTGGGAGGCTGAGGCGGGCGGATCACGAGGTCAGGAGATCAGACCATCCTGGCCAACATGGGGAAACCCCGTCTCTACTGAAAAATACAAAAATTAGCTGGGGATGGTGGCACATGCCTGTAATCCCAGCTACTCGGGAGGCTGAGGCAGGGGAATCGCTTGAACCAGGGAGTCGGAGGTTGTGGTAAGCAGAGATCACGCCACTGCACTCCAGCCTGGCAACAGAGCGAGACTCCGTCTCAAGAAAAAAAAAAAAAAAAAGAAAGAAAGAAAGAGAAAAAAAAAAACACCTGCTGCATCAGTCACAACTGCCATCCTGAGGCCAAGAAGAACTAAATGGTCTCAAAATTATTTCACAACTTGTTGCTACCACCTTTCCACAGTGGGGCTTGTCTAGCCAGAGAATCAAACATTAATTCACTTTAGGCTGGTCATGGTGGCTCATACCTGTAATCCCAGCACTTTGGAAGGCCGAGGCAGGAGGATCACTTGAGGCCAGGAGTTCAAGACCAACCTGGGCAACAAGCGAGACCCCCATCTCTACAAACAAACAAACAAACAAAAGAGTAAGCACGTCATACACATCATAGAATTCTAAGAACTGAAGTAACCTTGTAACATTTAGTTCATGGTAAATACATAAAGGAAACTATTATTATTATCACCCAACAGTGTGTGTGTAAGTGAAAAATGTCTTTTTTACTGACAAATGGCTAAGTGAATGCTGTTTGTTTGAGGGATGAAATATTTAAATGAGAAGCCAACTCAACTCTTCCTCTTGATCTTAGAGTCATTCTCTCAAGTGTAACTCCCAGTGCAAAGCATCACATCAACTTATCAATCGACTGTGATGTCAACTACAGCCTCTGCACCAGACCAGCCCTCCTCTGTGGGACGAAGAACTATCCTGTGGTCCTGCCAGGACTGCCTCACTGGGACAACGCACTGCATTAGGATCTATCCCTTACGATGGCTCAGGGTTTTCCAGTCTCTAAGGCACCTTATCATTATCTTACCTAAACTTCCTAATAATCCTGTGAGGGAGGCTGGACATCTGCTTTCATCCCATGTTACAGATGAGAAAACGAAGGTCCACAGAGGTCAATGACTTGCCTAAGGTGACCTGGCACAGAAAGTTGTGTGGCAGAAGGGGAACTTCTGTTTCCTAACTTCTGGATAAGCGCCCTCCTAGGATAGGAGAAATGAATGACTCTTGCTACTCCAGCCACCACTTCCACTAATTAACCACTAATAAAAATGTAAAAATCAGTATGCCAGCAGTAGTCCCTGTTGCAAACATTAGGACCTTTCTCATATCACAGATTACTGAAGACATTCCCTCTCTTTTTGTTGTAGTTGTTGTTGTTTGGTTTTTGGGTGTTGTTTTTGTTGTTGTTGTTGTTTTTCTGAGATGGAGTTTCCCTCTTGTCACCTAGGCTGGAGTGCAATGGTGCAATCTCAGCTCACTGCAACCTCTACCTCCCAGGTTCAAGCGATTCTCCTACCTCAGTCTCCCGAGTAGCTGGGATTACAGGCGCCCACCACCACACCTGGCTAACTTTTTATTTTTAGTAGAGACAGGGTAGCACCATGTTGGCCAGGCTGGTCTTGAACTCCTAATCTCAGGTGATCCACCCTCCTTAGCCTCCCAAAGTGCTGGGATTACAGGTGTAAGCCGCCTTTCTTTTCTTTTCTTTTTTTTTCCTTTTTAGTCTTGCCCTGTCACCCAGGCTAGAGTGCAGTGGAATGATCATGGCTCACTGCGGCCTCAACCTCCCAGGCTCGGGTGATCCTCCCACCTCAGCCTCCCAAGTAGCTGGTACCACAGGCATAACACCATGCCAAGCTAATATTTTATTTTTTTTAAAGTTTATTTTTGCTCTTATGATGATGATTTTTTTTTTGAGACAGAGTCTCACTCTGTTGCCCAGGCTGGAGTGCAGTGGCACAATCTCAGCTCACTGCAACCTCCATCTCCCAAGTTCAAGCAATTCTTATACCTCAGCCTTCCCTCTAGCTGGGATTACAGGCGTGCAACACCATGCCTGGCTAATTTTTGTATTTTTAGTAGAGATGGGGTTTCACCACATTGGCCAGGCTGGTCTCCACCTGCCTTGGCCTCCCAAAGTGTTGGGATTACAGGTGTGAGCCACCATGCCCGGCCTACTCTTAATTTTTATTTTAAGTGCTCAAGCTAATTTTTTAATTACTATTTGTAGAGATGAGGTCTCCCTATGTTGCCCAGGCTGGTCTAGAATTCCTGGGCTCAAGTAATCCTCCTGCCTCAGCTCCCAAAGTGCTGAAATTACAGACATGAGCCACCATGCCCAGTTCCACCATTTTTTAAGCAACAACTAACGTTAATCCAAAGACCACCCTGAGGGGACTGGCCACATCCCCCTGGGACCCTCCACTGTTAAAGTCCATCTTCCCTGAGCCATCAGCACCAAGCATCAGATGAACTTCACTGCCCTGGCTCAGTGTTGCCTGTGTGTGAGCCTCAGCTCCCCATCCTCTCTGGGCCTCAGTGTCTTCCCTGTGCAGTATGCCCCGCAGTGCCCACCCAATGGGGTTGTTGTGAGGATTTGCTGGAAGGGTGTGTGTGCAAGCCCCTTGTCCAAGACCTGGCCTATATGTAAATATAATAAAAGTTCGTTGTTATTTCTGTTAATTGCATATTGTACTTGAATACTCCCTGGACAGATAATGAGAAAAATGAGGTTTGAGTCACCACCCCTGTCACTTGTAACCCTGTGTGACTTGCTTAATCCCTCTAAATCTCAGTTCCTCCATCTGTAAAAATCTTTTTTTTTTTTTGAGACGGAGTCTCGCTCTGTCACCCAGGCTGGAGTGCAGTGGCGCGATCTCGGCTCACTACAACCTCCAACTCCCGGGTTCAAGCGATTCTCCAGCCTCAGCCTCCTAAGTAGCTGGCATTACAGGCACCATGCCTGGCTAATTTTTGTGTTTTTAGTAGAGATGAGGTTTCACCATGTTCCCCATGTTGGACTAGGCTGTCTCGAACTCCTCAGGTGATCCGCCTGCCTCGTTCTCCCAAAGTGCTGGGATTACAGGTGTGAGCCACCGTGCCTGGCCGCAAAAATCTTATAATGCCTTCCTCACAGAGAATAATGAAGGTTAAATGATGAAACGCACAGAGCATTTTAATGCTGAGAAGGGCTTCATGAGGTTGTTGAAAAATGTCAGTGAGGCTCTGGGAGGGCTACAGCCGGAGTGTAGATTAGACTCTGGGTGTAGCCGCATGGCTCAGGAATTGAGTGGAAGAAGAGAGATGATGAGAGAGGGGGAGGGACAGAGAGAGAGGATCAGCCATTCCTTCGTGCCTGCTGAGTGCCTGCCCTGGTCCAGACCCTGTTCTTTGTGCTGGGGGTGCAGCAGTGAACTAAAGAGACAAAGCCCCTGTCCTCGTGGTGCTTATGCTCTAGTGAGTCTGTGGAACAGAGCAGGGGACTGTTGACACCAAATTTAAATGTGCGAATAGGAATGACTATGCAGAAGAGGCCACCAGGAAGAGGGACAGAGAGAAATGAGACTCCAGGCTTGATAGAATGACCTTGGGCTGGTGGAAGAGGCAGGTGCTGAAAACAGGCATGGAACCCCTTGCCCTAGGGCAGGGAGAAACCAAGAGAGTCCAAGCTGGGAAAAGAATCAGGTGAGGAGGTTGAGGTGTTGACGAAGGGAGTGTGCTTGGTGATGGGAAAGGTGGGCTCTGAGGAAGGTGTTCCAGGAAGGACTTCTCAGTGTAGGATGGAGCCTTATGGCAGACGCTGGGACCGGGCATCTTCTCCAGAAATGCCCATCTGCCACTCAGGCAGGCAGGCAGGCAGCTCCCTACCCCTTGAGTTCTGGTGTTTTTCCTACTCCTTTCTCCCCTCCCACAAGCTGCCCAACTCCCAGGGACCTGACTGGATGGAGAGTACATACACCTGGACCACTGCAGGCATGGCACAGGGAAGAGAGAATCCAGACCCAAATCACCTCCAACCCACACCTGCTGATTCTTCCGTGCTTTTGTAGCCTGACCCTTCGCTGCCGTCACTCCAACTCCTGTGTGAGGATGTTGAGCTCCTGGGAAAACCGAAGGGAGGGCAGGAGAGACAATACTGTGACCAAAGGCTGAGACTGTGTCATCACTTGGGAATGAAAGCATCAAATGCCACCCCAGGTGGGATTGTTGGCTTCAAGGTTTTTTTCTCCCTTTCCTTTCTCCCTTTTCTCTTTTCCTTTATCGAGGTCTGCTATTTACTCAGCAACTCTTCAAAGTCTGTGGTTCTGTGGGACACAATGTGCTAAATGATGCCTGTAAGGGAGGAGGTCGATGTACCTCCACTTCCAAGAAGCTTGACTTTCCGGGGAAGAAAAGACAAGTGAAGCGTAGACATTGCGACTTTTGGCTTCCTGTTTCTGTGAGTTGCAAGGAATCCTGTCCACCTGGCCCTGGAGCCGCCTTCTGGGACCTCATCCTTGCCCCCTGCTGCAGGTGCCATCTCAATTAGTCCTGCTGTCCCTCCTCCCCCTTTCAGATTCCAGCACAATTCTGGAACAGCTCTCCCACCTGGCCGGGATGAGACTGAGGCTCCACCCTCAAGCACTTGGGCACTGATCCTTTGTGAAGGATGGGGATAGCAAGACAGCGTCTGCAGGGGCCCCTAGAGGGCCGTGGGGATGGCTAGAAAACAGGAATGAACAGACTCACTTCAGCTTATGCCCAGACTCACTTCAGCTTATGCCCAGAAACAAAGAAACCAAGGAGAAGCAAATTCCATAAGTGCTTTTATTTTATTGGAGATGAGCAGGGGAGGCACTGAAAAGTGGGGATAGTGCTGGAAACATGCTGACAGGGCCTGGATTGAGCCCACACAGCAAGGGGCGGGAGCAGGACTCTAACTCCCAATGTTGGGTTTCCCTCTATCGTGCTCTAGCCCCACTGCAACCTAGGGCTTGGAGGATTAGGGAAGCCAGCTGGGATGTTCCAAGAAGAGCCAGGAGGGCGGAGGACTCCAGGAGGAAATGGGTTATTGATACCTGGGTATAGATGAATATTCCCCCAGCTGCCTCCTGGATACCGATTAATATTCCCCCAGCTGCCTCCTGGATACCGATTAATATTTCCCCAGCTGCCTCCTGGATACCGATTAATATTTCCCCAGCTGGTACCTGGGGGTTGATTATTGATACCCCAGATTCCCTCAGGGTGTGGCATGGGCCTCGTTCCCCAACCAGTCCCAGGGCCTCCACCTCCCCAGGACACACTGGGATTCAGGGTACCCCAGGGGTGATCAGGCAGAACCCTGTGGATGAGAGACCAGGGAGGGCGTTGGGAAAGGATTTTTCCCCCGGCTCCCAGTGAATTAGAACGGGGCAGTCGTCTGGACTCCGAGTCCTGGTGGAGGAGTGAAGCCTTGGGTGAGAGGCCTGTGGCATCGGGAGAAGACTCCCCAGGCAAAGGGCCACTGCCCGGAGCGAGGGCCGCAGCACTGGAGAGGTAAGAGAGTTCTTCAGGCAGCGCTTCCCCCAGGCGGTCCTCAGCCGCAGCAGCCATCATCTGCCAAGGATCCTCAGGGGGCCAGGAATCCATGGCAGGCAGCCCCCACGATGGAGGCCACCTCTGCACTGCAGAACCTCCTGCAGGTGGGAAGCCATCTGATGCAGGCACGCTGAGCTTCAGAGGAACCCTTGCCAAGTCATTAGACCTAGGGTCCAGAGCGGGCTGCGGATGTTCAGAGTTAGAGGGGCCAGTGGAGGAAGGTTGTCCGAGCTGAGGCAAGTTGGTCCCCAAGTTTTGGGAAACTTTCTCCTCCACAACACCGATGCTCCGGGCAAAGAGGCCTGAGGGAAAGGGAAGATAAAGCAACCAGTGGTCTCCAGTCCCCGAGTCCCCAGTTCCCTTTGCTTCCCCTATGCCTATTCTTCCTTTTCCCTCAGGGACCTAAATGTGTACCCTCCTGCCTTTACCCCTTTCCTTAATTCCTGTTTCCTGGGGGACCTCCAGTCCCTCCTGCCCAAGGGCATCACGGCCTCCATACCTGGGAGATGAAGACAGACCAGGAGCAGGCCCAGAGGAGCGCAGCTCCCTGCCACGCGGCCCTGCATCCTGCTCAGCACCCGATCTCCCTCAGCCCCAAGACAGCCAGCCCTTTATCCTGGTAGTGGGGTGGGGGACAGCAGAAACAGGCTGGGCTAGTGGTTGTGAAGACAATAAACCTCCACATTCCACCCTCATTCCTAATGTGGTCTGTGGCAACAGGTGTCACTTGAATGAATGTCCCAGAGGAAGCTGGGTGTCTCCCGCCCTGGCTCCTTTCCTTGACCTCCCTGCCCCTTCTTGGCCCAGGTGTCCTGGCTCACAGCTCATCCCTGGTTGCCAGCCTCCCCAGCCCTGCTTCTCTATACACAAGGACCTCCACCCTGGGGTCCCACTCTCTTAATTGCCTCTCTCAGCAACAGAAACACTTGTTTCTTTTTGGGAGCTGGATTGTTTCCTCCCAGCACCCCTTTCTCATGCATCCTCATATCTCCTTCACCTTGGCCCCAACCTGCAGGAGGTTCTGGGGTGCAGAAGTGGCCCCATCTGAGGAGCTGCTCCTACATGAGACCCTGGATCTAGCTAGGGAAATGGACCTGGATGCCATCCTTATGAGATACTGACTAATTCCTGCTGCTGCAGTGACAAATTACCATGAACCGAATGGCTTACAACAACATGGATTTATTACTTTACAGTTTTGGAGATCAGAAGTCTAAAACAGGTCTCAGTGGATTAAAATAAAGGTGTCAGCAGGGCTGTGATTCTTTCTGGGGGCCTCAGGGGAAAATCCCTTTCCCCGCTTTTTCACCTTCTAGAGGCATCCTGTGTTCTTTGGCTCATGGTCCCCTTCCTCCATCTCCAAAGCCAAAATCAGCCATTTCTTACACTGTATCACTCAGACTTCCTCTTCTGCCTCCCATGTCCACATTAAGGGACCCGGTGACTACACTGGACCCACCTGAATAATCCATGATAATCTCTGTGAAGTCAGCCGAATAGCAACCTTAATCCCATCTGGAACCTTAATTTCCCTTTGCCATGTAACCTAATTCCTACGTTCCAGGGATTAGGATGTGGACATCTTTGATGGTGTTGGGGTTGAAGACATCATTCTGCCTGCTACTGGTGGTCAGATGTGCCATAGAGTATAAGAAACCTTGGGAGAAAGTGGCTATTTCCAAGTAACAGTAGAGGAGAGCCTTTAAATGCTGCTGTCAAATGGCCAGGACTTGATCGTTGTTGAAGCTGGGCGATGAGAATGTAGAGATTCATTAACAGTTTGTTGGCTTTTAAATATGTTTGCAAATTTTATTATAAAAATGCAATGGCTTTGTTCTCTCCATGGCTTCCGGGAGGCCCCAGGAGTAGGCTTCCCTGGCTGCCCAAGGTCTAAACATGAGCTGTTGGCTGATTCTACTGCTGTGTCCTCCCCACCTGCCCCTGCTGGCTTAACCACTGGAGGAGTGAAGAGCTCCTCTCCAGAACTGGCAGTGGATGGAGCCCAGAGGCCTTTTTGGATGACATGCATGAGTTTTACACAAGCTTTTAATTTGGAGCACAGCAGGAGACTCGAGGAAACACCACATCAGAGAGCCTTCTCTCCCTGCAATTCCCATTCATGAAGCATCTGAGGACCTCGATTCCTGCCATTGGCTGCAGATCAGGGGCCAGATGCTGGACCAAGGGTGATTCAATCCCTTTCTGGTCAATGTAATACATTTTTGCTGATTCCAGACTTGGAGTTTCAACAGTTCTAAATTCAGGACCAGACAGCACCACCCTGATAGGAGGGAATGGGTTAAGTGCTACAGTAGGGGTGAATTCCTTTGCAGCCAAGCAGAGGCTCTGAGAGGTGGCCTGGGGTGGGGGGTGGGGCTCCTACAGGGACAAGCACAATCCACTCTGCCCTCCTTGGGATGCGGGAACTTCGTCCGCCTCAGCCTCTCCCTGCCTGTCTCAGGACTTAAGTCGCATGGACCCCACCACACACTCCACTTTCTCTCTCTTCTCCAGTGGAAGCGACTCCTCTTTCCCACTGGGGCACTCTGCCTTCTCAGCCCTCACCTGAGAGCCATGTTGCTCACACTCTCACTCTGGACCCCAGCAGAGCAGGGAGTGTGAAGATGGAGAGACCACTGGCAGCTCTGTTCTGCCACAGGCTGGGCCTCTTGATCTAGGCCAGTGAGTCACCCTGCTTGGCTGCACTCCCTGCCCCGCTCCCATCCTCTCAGTCCTTTACTCTCTCCACCCCCAGCTCCAGGAACAACGCCCAACTGGCCTCCTACTCAGCTGACAGGAATCTGGTTGGAGTTGTTGTGTCCCAGCCTTCCCAAGCTTCCAGGTGTCCCAGAAACCCAGGAAATCGAGACTCATGACTCCCAGAGAGGATGGCATCTAGAAGGTGAGGAATGCTAATGGTGGAAGAAAAGGAGTTTGGGTGGGGAGGGGAGGGGAGGGGAGGGAGAGAAAACACTGAGGGCCCTAAATAAGGGGAAGGGGGACCCCACGGTGAATGAGGAATGGGAAGAGAATGGATTTCCTGGAGCAATGAGAGAGGAGGGAAATGGCGGAAGGATCTGGGAGGCCAGGCAATCTCTGCTTTCAGTTCAACAAATATTTATTGTCTTCCTCCTCTGTGGGAGGAGCTGGAAGGTAGAAGAGAAACACAGCCCGCTTTTGAAGGAAAATGAGGGACACAGAGACCTCTAGAGGCGTAGGAAGAGCACCACCCAGACTCTCAGAGGAGACCCAGGACTCCAAGAAGGCAAAAAGTCTGCACCTAGTCCCCACAGTTTACTGAGCCATCTGTCCAGGATCCAGGGACAGCAGGGAGCCTGCTCCAACCTCTGAGGGTGCCCCAGTGTCTCCCTCACCCAGGGAATCATCTGGGCACTGAGGGAAATGGCCACAGGAAGGGGCTGAGATAAGGGCCTTGAGAGGCAATGGGTGTGTTGGGGACGGTGATCTAGGAGGGCGTGGTGAGCTCTGTAATGGAGGGTGGGGTGGAATTGGGAGCGAAAGCCCAGTGGCATATTGGGTGGGTTGACTAGATGTCGAAGAGAGGTCAGTGAAAAGTGGCCACTGTTTCCAGATGATGGTTTGACTTTGCTTTATTTGGTAAAGGGGAAGAGGAAGGTATAACTTCTTCAGGCGTCAGAGGTGCTCTGAGAGCATTTCAGGGGTTTCCCAGTTGAGAAGGTGATGGGGGTGTTACTCAATGGACCATTTCAACACAGTAGAGGGAATTGTAAGGGGTGGTGATCTGGCTGAGGGGCACTGTGGTGGAATGGGAATTTAAACAGTAGGAGAGAATCAAGAGAGGAGCTTTGAATCTACCATTTTGAGAAGAGGAAGGAGGAAGGGGTGATAAGAGAGAGTCTGCAACCTTAGGGTAGTAGAGAAAGCAGAACCACTCTTTTGGGAAGGAGGGAAACTGAGCTAACCCTATGCCTGGGCACTGGCCTTCTCCCATATGGGATATAGTGTATGTGCTTGTTTGTGCCCAAGGCATGCACACACACAACAGTTGACTTATGGACTGTCGAGTAACTCTCCTTGGGGTAGGAAAACTTCAGGGTCAGCTAGCTGGGGCCCCAGAGGCTTCACTTGGGCTAGGATATCCCGGATGGAGCGGCAGGGGATCTTTCCAGCACTGCTGGAGCCACAGGGCTTGGCACCAGCGGAGGGATCAGGATGGGGAGAGCCATCGGGGCCCCCAGTCAGTGTCAAGGAGGAGACAGACATGCAAGGGTGACCAGAAGAGCTGGACTTGCTGCCACAAGGCTGAAGGATGATTTTGCCACTCGATTGGGAACTGGAGCTGCTGCTGAAGGAGCCGGTGCCTGGTGGGGAGCAGGGGCTCTGGGAAGCACTGCCGCAGGGATGGTAGGGTGAACCGGAGCTGCTGGAAATGCTAGAACTGCTGGGGACTCGAGAACTGGAGGGAGAGCAGGGTCCCTTGGAGCCCGTGGAGCCGCCTCCACAGAGCTGGACCCCACCAGTCCCCACTGGCTGGAACGCAATGGCCGAGGAAGCTGCCGACTGGCTGGGGATGATGGGGTTGCTGGAGAAGTATTTGCCCTCAGAGATGGGGGGCCCAGCTGCAAAGGAAGGGACCCCTGGAGAGCCTTTCACAGGGTTCTCTTTGGTGAAGTAGCCCACAGGATAGATTTTACCCTTACTGTAGGTCATGCCTGGAACCAGATAACTGTCAGAGGAGCCACCCACCACCTCGTAGCCACCATAGGATTTGTCTACAGAGGTGATTGGGGGACAGGGCTTGCCTGGAAGGCCACCATTGCTACAGGGGGGACCTTGAACCACTCCAGGGGCACCAGAACCGTGCTGGTCCACCACCACCACCACAGGCCTCTGACCCCCTGACACAGAGTGGGAGCTGGGGATGTAGGGGCCAGAGTGCGAGACGATGGGCCCTCCACTGCAGGGAGAGTCGGGGATGTCCGAACTACAGGGACGCTGGTTGGAGCTGACGCTTTGGCCACTGCTGGATACCCCAAAGGTTTGGGAAGAGGAAGAGCTTTGTCCAGGCTGGGAAGGGTTTAGTATTCCGCGGTAAGAGTTGTCATTGGTTGGCAGAGCAGAGCCATTCCCTACTTGGAAGCTGCTGCTGCTGAACTGAAAGCTGCTGCTGCTGCTCGAATGAGAGCTGCTGCTTCCCGAGTGAGAGCCGCTGCTTCCCGAGTGAGAGCTGCTGCTCCCCAGCTGGGAGGAACCGGATGCACCTTGTAGACTAGAGCCAGATCCGGAGGAGTAGCTGACCTGGGAATACCCCGTTCCTGGCTTAAAAGATCCTGCAGAACCACCCTGGGCAATGCTGGATCCGCTGGAGCTACCACTGGAGCCACCACCAGAGCTTCTGGCACTGGAAATGGAGCTGCCAGAACTGCTGGAGCCACTGTAGCTACTGAAGCCGCTGGAGTCACCCTTCCCAGTGAGGCAGGGGTCGTTAGGGGAGGTGATACGCGTGGGGTCCTTACAGGGGTCTGAGAAGGTGCCAATGCTCTTAGCCAAGGTCCCTGTGGAGGAAAGCAGTGGTTAGTAAGGGCCAAGGAGGCTTGGCTTCCTCCCTCACCTTTCTGCCTTATCTCAGTAATCGGCCTCTCGGGTTTCTCCCAAGCAGAGCGCAGGGAGAGTTTAGGGATGGAGAAAGGAGGAAGAACTGGCTATTGTCTCTAAAGGATATTGAGGTGGCCGAATAAAGGCATTTCTTTGTTTGGGAAGGGTGGGCAAACACCAACCAGAAAAATAGAAAATTACGTGCCAAAGTGAGTGACCTCAAAGGAATACATTGAATATAAGAGGGGGCTGGGCACAGTGGCTCACGCCGGTAATCCCAGCACTTTGGGAGGCTGAGGTGGGAGGATTGCATGCGCCCCAGAGTTCAAGACCAGCCTGGGCAACATAGACCCCATCTGTATTTTGTTTTTTAATTAAAATTTTTTTTAAAAAGAAGAGGGAATGGAGAAGGGGCAGGAACAAATAGGTCTAAAAGAAAGGACCCTGAAGAGACAGAGAATTGGGGAAACTGAGGCTCTGAGGAGTCCAGGCGTAAATTCTTAGGGGAAAAATCCTGGGCCAGACAGTGGGACCAGAGGGAAGAAGACAAAAGGCAAAACAATGGAGGGCTGAGAAGTGGAGACACATATAGAAGGAGACACTGGAAAAAGACAAAGCTGGGGGCAGAGGGGCTGAAATAAAGGAAAGGGCACTCGAGGACTAAGATTTGGTCACCAGCTTCTTCGTGAGAGCCCAGGCTGGGGTCAGGAATGGAAACCCTATTTCCTATCTCAGCACTGGCCATGCCAGTAAAGCTGGGTGGGGGCCAGGATGTGGGGTCACTACCTGTTGCTTCAGAACCTGCTGGTACCAGTGTGTCAGGACACCGCACCCTGAGCCAGCCCTGC
The DNA here is from genome assembly GCF_000001405.40 of Homo sapiens. Lineage (NCBI taxonomy): Eukaryota > Metazoa > Chordata > Mammalia > Primates > Hominidae > Homo > Homo sapiens. Next base: position 2,377,779 of record NT_167245.2, read on the forward strand.
TCTCGCTGGCCCAGCCCAGGGAACCAGGACGAAACCCCACGAACCTCCGAGGCTCCTGGCCACAATCAGCTTCCCTCTCTGAGCACACCTGCCTCTGTCCAGCCCCTCATCTGACTTCTGCTGCCTTGACTTCCCTCAGGGATGTGGAGCCACATCTTTCCTTATCTTTCCTTTCCTTTGCTCAAAACCCCAGGCCCAACTTACCCCATGGTTCCTCCATGACTCTTTCACCTGCGTTCCTTCTGCCTTCCCTAGCCCCTCCAGGTCCCACGTGTTACAAACAGAGCCACATACTAGCAAGTTACTGAACCTCTCTGAGCTTTAGTTTATACATTCAGAGGGGCCAAATTTTCCCTGCCTTCCCACAGCATTACTATGAAGAAAACTAAATGAGATCATCCACCTGGAAGTTTTTTCTTCTTTTTTTTTTTTTTTTTTTTTTTTGTGAGATGGAGTTTCTTGTTGCCCAGGCTAAAGTGCAATAACATGGTCTCAGCTCACTGTAACCTCTGCCTCCTTGGTGCAAGCGATTCTCCTGCCTCAGCCTCCCAAGTAGCTGGGACCACAGGTGCCCGCCACCACACCCAGCTAATTTTTTGTATTTTTAGTAGAGAGGGGGTTTCACCATCTTGGCCAGGCTGGTCTTGAACTCCTGACCTCAGGCGATTCACCTGCCTTGGCCTCCTGAAGTGTTGGGATTACAGGCACAAGCTATCATGTGCGGCCAGATGTTTTAGAAAGTGTAAAGCATTATATATTATGAATTATTACTGCCACTCATCCTGATCCCTCCACCAACAACCAGACTGCCATCCTCTGTGATGTCCCTGTTCTCTCCTCAGAAAGAAATTCTCTGCATGCACCTTCACGCCGAACCCCAGCTGTGCCAATTCCCTTCAGTCCTCTGCACGAATCCACCATGCATTGCCTCTCTCTTTCGCTATTCCCTCAGACACCAACCACCCACTAGACCATGGGAAGGTCGCAGAAATTCCTCAAGGGCTATAAGTACCCGGTGGTCAACAACACAGGTCCAGGGGTTGCCTGGCCTGGGGTTGAAATCTTGGCTTTGCTGCCTTCTAATGCATGATTTTGAGCTAGTTTCCTAACCTCTCCGAGCCTCAGTGTCCTCATCTGTAGAGTGGAAATAGCAAATCTCTTTTCATACCGTTCTTGTAATGATCAAAAGTGCTAATATAGGCCGGGTGTGGTGGCTCATGCCTGTAATCCCAGCACCTTGGGAGGCCGAGGCGAGCGGATCACTTGAGTCAGGAGTTCAAGACCAGCTTGACCAAAATGGTAAAACCCTGTTTCTACTAAAAATACAAAAAAAAGAAAATTAGCCAGGTGTGGTGATGGGCACCTGTTGTCCCAGCTACTCTAGAGGCTGAGGCATGAGAGTCGCTTGAACCTGAGAGGTGGAAGTTGCAGTGAGCCGAGATTACGCCACTGCACTCCAGCCTTGGAGACAGAGTGGGACTCCATCTCACAAAAAAAATAAAAATAAAAGTTCTAATATATAATCCAAATGTGCTTAAAACAGAGTCTAGCATATAAAAAGGCTCTAAAAATGATATTATTACTATTAAATGTCCAATCATTATCTTGTAGTGCTCCCATAATAAAAATCACCACCACCATTTATATAAACCTCTAGAATTTCCAAAGTACATATCACATACATTATTTAATTTGAGACACACAGACTAGAGGTAGGTGTCATTAACCCCACTTCAGAATTTCAGAAACTGGGGCTCAGGAAGTTTAAGAAACTTACCTGAGGCGACCATACAGTGAGGAGCAACCCCCAGACTCAAAAGGCAGATTCCAGAGCCCCTGCCCGTCCCCTTCGCTGGGTCCTCTCCCGGAGTCTCCCTCCCGCCTCCCTCCTGTTCCCAGGGCCCCCAGCCTCCTACCTGGCAGGAGGAGACCAGCCAGCAGCAGTGCCATCATCCCGTGCCCACCCACACGCCCCATCCAGGGTGCCCGAGACGAGCCCATCTCGGGCTGCACGGCCTCCTGACTGATGGCAGCTCGAGGACACCTGGGTCCTTTATGCCAGAGCTGGACATTCCCTGGGCAGGAGTCACTGTGGGGAGAGGAGGAGAGGTGGAGGGGGTGGGTGCCCCGGGGGAAGTTGGTGTGGCCGGGAGGAGCGTGGTAATCAGCCCGGTGCATCTGCCTACTCAGCAGCAGCAGTGGCTGCAGTGTGGGGTACCCATGGCCACGGGGCTCTAACGATCCTGCCACCTGACAGGCCTGGCCCCGGCTCCTCATTGCCTAACCCGGAACCAGGCGCTCTGCCCCACGGCCACCCACTCTGGGGCGGCCACTCTTGCCACGGGACCCAGCTGCCTGGCTCCTTAACTCTCCTGCCTACCGTGGCTTGGCCTGTCTCTCCATCTGCCCTCCACTCGCAGTCGTGGGTGTTTCAGCTTTTTCTTCCACACTTGGGTGCCCGCTCCAGCCCCACCCACCCAACCCCAATGAGGTCCCATTCACAGCCCCTGATCTGCTCCTTCCTTAGGACCCCATCACTCCACCTCCACTTTCCTCCTTCAAATATGAGTTCTGCCCCCATCCCCCAGGCTCCCCCTCCCACCACTCCCCAAGTACCAGGCCAGCCACATACCTATTACGTGTTCCATCACCTGGGGAACCTTCTCCTTCTCAGAAATGGGGCACCACATTCCCAAAACCAACTCCCTGACCTGTCGCTTCTGGGGGCCTCTGGGGACGGCATGGTGGCGGGGGTGGGGGGGGGTGCTGGGAGCCAGGGCTCAGCCAGGGGAGGGGCCTGGGCTGATGACCTCTGTCAAAGCTGGGCCTTGGTTACTCACAGGCCACTCACAGCCCCTCCCCATGGCTGGTAACCCAGACCTCAAGGGTGAGCAAGAGGCTAAGAAGGCTAATTGGGAAGGTGGTGGCCCCGTAGCCCATCTGCTGGCCCTGGGCTGGATGAGCGAGCAGGAAGCAGCAGCCAGCTCTGGGCAGGTCGAGGAGGGCCAGGCAGGCTCCCGGGTCCTCAAAGGATGAAAGGAGGCCAGGAGAACCGGAGCCCTGCCATCTGCTGAGAGGGTGGTGGCTTCTCCTCCATTGCGTTGGCCTCCCTCCTGCTCTGGCCCCTGCCCCGCCCCAGCCAATTAATTGCTCACTAGTATTGCGGGAGTATCAGTATCGGAGGGAGGTGCCTGCAAGTCCAGCAAGCTGCCCTCTCCTCCCCCAGGCCTCAGACACCCCTGCTCCCCTCACCCAAACTCACTTCCCAAACCTCATCTCCTCACAAAGGCAGCTCTGTCCCTGGGCCCCTTGGGCTGGTCTCTCCCATTCCCTCTACCTCCTGACCGCCCTTTAAGTTCAGACCAGCAGGAGGATGGAAATGTTTCCTGTCTGTGCTGTCCGATACGGTAGCCACTGGCCACATGGAGCAAGTTTAACCACCAAAGATTTGGAGCTTTAATTTTAATTAATTGTAATGATGTGGTTGGCCACGTGCAGCTAGTGGCTGCCATCTAGTCTTGCTCTTGACTTGCTAGTGACACTCAGAATGGGAGTGGGAGGAAAGAGGGGCTGAGGGAGCTGTGGAGAGAGGAAGGGATAGGACAGGGTCCCCTGAAGGGGGCTAATGCCTTGGGAAAAACAAACAAACAAAAAACACTGGCTTCAGAATGAAGATGACGTGGGTTCAAGTCCCAGCTAACCTCTTGGCTTTGGGCGGCTCTTCAAACCTTTCTGAACTTCCATCTCCTCATCTGTGAAATGGGGGTATTTTAAATAACACTTATTTCGCAAGGTTTTTGTGAACATCAAATGGGAAATTATCAAAAAGGTTAAATGGGACAAGGGGTGCAGTCCCCCAGTAGGAAGCCCAGCAAATGGAGCCCGGCAGGTGCTCCTGTCTTCATCCTTCCACTGGGGGAGACAAATAGGCCAGCTTCACCCCCACAGCCCCAGGCTCCCTTTCCTGAGTCTCCAGCCCAGCCAATGCTAGCAGAGTGTCTTCTGCTCCCTTCCTGCCTTGTATAGAGGTGCAGGCACAAATGTGAGACAGAGATACCATTTAAAGTGATGCTGCTCGGCTGGGCACGGTGGCTCACGCTTGTAATCCCAGCACTATGGGAGGCCGATGCGGGCGGATCACTTGAGGCCAGGAGTTCGAGATCAGCCTGGCCAACATGGCGAAACCCCGTCTCTACCAAAAATACAAAAAAATTAGCCAGGCGTGGTGGTGGGCGCCTGTAATCCCTGCTACTCGGGAGGCTGAGGCAGGAGAATCACTTGAACCCTGGAGGCAGAGGTTGCAGTGAGCCAAGATTGCACCATTGCACTCCAGCCTGGGTGACAAAAGGGAAACTCCATCTCAAAAAATAAAGTGATGCTGCTCTTTCCGAACATCATTTCCTCTTGTGGGCCTCCCTAGACTCTCAGGCTTGGCTCCCTGGAGGACCTGGGCAAGGAGGGAGGGGGCACTGGGGTAGTGAGGGGAGTGGCAGAGGGCAGGGAGGAGTGGACTAGAAGGTGCTGGGCCGTCCCAGGGTGTGAGGGGAGAAGGCAGCGGAACAGTGGAATCTGTGGCTTCTTCTTTTCCAACACAAACTTCCCCTGACCAGCCAGAGGTAGCAAAGTTTGTCTTGTTTTCTTTCTCACAGTCCTCCTGGCTGCCATCAGAACTTGGCCAAGACAGCCAGGCTGGAGGAGGCACAGTCTCTCCTGGCCTCCTGCCAGGTCTCCAGCCGCCCACGTGGACTGGTGGTGCAGCCACGTCCCTCCTCCTGGCTACTCTCTCCTGTCCACTCCTGTCCACCCCATCCTGCCACCCTGGGCTGCCCAGTTCCTCTACTGTCCTGCCCACCTGTGGGTCCTTGAGCTCTAATCTGCCATGCTTTTGGTTTTTTACTGAAACCCTGCCTTCTGTGCTAGATTTTACTCTGGTGCTCACCATTAATCTTTCTCTCAGTGCAGGTGGTGAAGACCTAAAGCTAATGGGGCTTAGGAGGGAAGAGAAGGGCATCAGCTGAGTGCCCACACAGGCCAGGGTCACCTTCAGTGAAGCTGCCAGTTTGGTGACGTCCACAGTACTGCAGGCAGCTCTGCTGTGTTCTACAGCAACAGATTCTGGCCCTGCCCCTGCCCGTGCCCGTGCATTGGACCGGGTGAGAAAGTGTGGGTGGCGTAGACACTCTACACCCGAGAAAATCAAGCTCAAAGCACATGGCTTCCATAGGCAAAAGGTGGGGCTCCCAGCCATGTATTATGAAGCAGGCAGGTCACTGTCCCCTCCGGTCCCCTCCACCCCTCCAGCAGCCCTGTGCTGCTGTGTTTGCTGTGCCAGCCTTTGCCCCCAGTGCACGCTCCTCTGCTGTGTTTTGGAAGTTGCACTGAGAAAGAAGAGAAATTGTTCCTTGCCCTGAGGAGCTGCCATCCAGCTGGGGACACACAGCGTAAGAGAGCAGCCTAGAGTGGAGAAGCGGGTAGGCACTTGGCTTCAGGGAGGTGGCAGGACTTTCCCCGGGCCTTGAGGAATGATGAGAGAAGCACAGAGCAGGCAGCCAGACGTGGGGCCTTGTGGTGCTTCAGGTGTATTTAGAACCAGCGGATGGCGTGGGTTGGTGTGGGACATGCATGTGGAGGACAGTGGTGTGGGAGAAGGGACAGGCTGCTTGGATCGGGATTGTAGATGACCTACAACACCAGGTTAAAAGAATTTGGATTCTATAGGAATTGCAGTAAATGTGAGAGGGTGCAGGGAACCAAACGGCTTTGAATGATCACAAAGGGGGCTGAAGCATGGCGTGCTGTAGTCCCAGCTACCCAGGAGGTGGAGGTGGGAGGAATCCGAGGCCAGCTGGGGCAACTTGAGGGACTCCATAAAGAGGAGGCTTGGGGCACGAGATCCACCATGTACTGACTGCCTGCTGCAGGCGGACACGGTGCCTGGGTATTTAACATGAGTTGTCTTGTTCAATCTTCACAACAGCCCTACAGGGTAAGTGCTTTTTCCCCCTGTTTCACAGATGAGAAAACTAAGTTGAAATTATTTGTCCAAACCAGCTGCTAACAAGCAAAAATGTTTGAAAAAGATTCAAACCCAGGCCTGTTGGACTTCCAGGCCCACATAGATCCTATTACTCTGCAGCTGACACCATGCTATAAATGAATGGCAGAGGTTCATGGACAGGCTTAAGAGGCTCCCTAAACCCTGTAAGGATGTGTGCAAAATTCCTTATGTATATGAATATTTCTAGAGAGAAGATTTCTGCTGTCAAAGCTGGCCAGGTATGGTGGCTCACGCCTGTAATCCCAGCACTCTGGGAGGCCAAGGCAGGTGGATCACTTGAGCTCAGGAGTTTGAGACCAGCCTGGCCAACATGGCAAAACCATCTCTACTAAAAATACAAAAATTAGCCGGGTGCGGGGGCAGGCACCTGTAATCCCAGCTACTCAGGAGGCTGAGGCAGGAGAATCATTTGAACCAGCGAGGCGGAGGCTGCAGTGAGCCGATTTCATGCCACTGCACTCCAGCCTGGGTGACAGAGTGAGACTCCGTCTCAAAAAAAAAAAAGTGAAGAGTTCCTAAGTGAAGGTTACTGGCTCATGAGGTCCCTCCTCCACAGCTTTCCTCCTCTGGGGGCCTGAGAGTCAGGACAGAAGTTCTAGCACAAGTGTTTCACATAGGGGTCCTTGGTAGACCAGGGCTTAGGCTTGGAAGAAGGAAAATGGAGTGAGCACGAGGAAGAGAAAAAGCCTGGAAAAGCAGCTTATTTTGTGCTGAGGAGAGAAGGAAAGGGGCCACCCAGAGCTGCTCTGGGGCTCCAGGGCCTGTGGGCTCCTCCCCTCCTTTGTTCCTCTCTGCTTGGCTCCAGCGAGAGGCCATTTCCTCTCCTCTCTCTTTCTCCATGACACCCACGCTTCCCTGTGGACTCACCTCTGCAGCCACAGCAACACCCTCCTCTCCTTGGCGTGGAAGCCAGCGCTCCTGGCCCACTCCCAGTAGGGAATGTCCTCTGAGTTGTTTTTCCTGTGCGGGGAGGGGTGGACTGAGTCATCCACACTCTTCACCTGGTTCCTCTGGTGACCAAGAACATAGAAGGAGAGGGCACATCCCCAATCAGGTGTTCCGAACATCTCTGCGGGGACTGACCCTCCTCAGCCCAGGTGCTCCCATGGGACTGGCTACACTTCTTGACTCAGTTTTAATCTCTCCTTCTCTGCCTTCCTGTTGGGAATACCCCCTCACTTCTGTGGCTTCTTTCCTGTAGTAGACGATCAAGGGTGGAATCTACAGTCCATGGGCCCTGACTTCTTGCCTTCGTCTCAAATAGACTCTGCAGCCAGCCATCTATGCAGCGCCCCAGTGGCTTTGAAATGCAACAGAAACCATCACCCCCGGACCATGGGCTCCATGCCAGTGGGCAAAGCACAGGTGCGTTCACTGAGTTCCCAGCACATAGCTGTGGCAGGCACTTGGTGATATTTTGAAATAAAAGAATGGAAGAATGTGTCCAAGCTGTGCTTCCCCTTTCTACCTTACTCAGGGACATGGTGCCCTCCTCTCTGGTTTCCTGCCCTGTGCCCACCCCCCGCCCCCTGCAAGCACAGCTCTTATGTGCAAAGCCCCTGTAGGTGCTGGAGGGATTCACTGATGGCCTTGGCGGAGGTGGCAGTGGGCATGTGCACTTGGCTCTGACACAGCCACTCATGCAACACCCTGTGCAATCTCGGCCTGGGCCTGTGTGTCCTGCCCTCATTCCTCACGGGTGACTGTCTCCCCTGAGCCACTCTTCTCTCTATTGGATTAGCTCCTTTTATTTCCCCCTAGGGATGCAACACATTTTTATGAACAAACAGCAGTGTTCACATGGCTGTGATGAGGACGTACTGGGGTTTCCCCTGGACATGGCATTCATCTGATGCCAGTGGTGGGCACGACCGTGCTGTATACTTTAAAAAAACCCTAGGGTGTTCTGTTAGGTGCCCCCACTGCAGCATAACGAGTTGCCCCTAGCTGAGAAGCCCTGTCCTGGGGCCTGTCCACACCATCCTCTTCCTGAGATTATTCCTGGTGTGGGCGGTGCTCGGCTCTACCTTTCCTTCCTTCTTCCCTGCTTGGCTCCTGGTCCATGGCTCTCTCCTCTATGGAATGGCCTCCTGGAGCTTGGCTGGGTCAGCCCCCACTTTCCACTCTTCCCATGCCTGTCCTCACCCTCCCAGCAGCCCTGCCAGCCTCCGACGGGCCCAGGGCACTGCAGCCGGCACTTGGGAGTGAAGACTGGGGCCAGAGCCAGGCGCACCTTTGGCCACTGAATCCTGAAAGAGGAGGAATTTGGCAAGTGGGGTTCTGCCCACCAAGCTTTCTTCCCCCCGCTCCCCTGAGTCTTTTCCCTTCACCCCCACTTCCCAAAAGCAGCAGGGAGTCAGCTGTAGGGCAGTCGCTCCCTGGGCCGAAGCCTTCCTGGCTGTTTCCGTCACACCCTGAGGCCACCCCTCTTATCTTGCGAGGAGGGAGGCACACAGAGGCTGTGATTAGCTGTCACGGTAGCAAGACTGTTCCCCTCTCTGTCCTGCGGAGTGAGTGTGAGGGAAAAGAGCTCTCCTTGTCTGCTCATTATTTGCACCTGTTAAATAGTCATTCTTTCCACTAGGGCTATTAGTGGTTTTTATTGTTACTGGTCACCCAGAATTAGAGTCACAGCTTCCTCGACAGGGTGAAAGAGAGCGCCAGGGTGCAGTCTGAACGTGCTCTCGGGAGAGGAGAGGCCGGAAAGACTTGTACCAGGAGGGACTTCTAGGCTGGGCTGGCCCTTGGAGCCCCTGGGAATGGGACTGTGGTGGCCCATCTTCCCTCCTGTGTTCTGGGTTGTCTGAGTGCCTCCGGGTGAGAGTCCTCACAGGAGAGAGCTTCTCCTACTGCCCAGTGTCTCCCTGGCACCTGAGGCATCACCCAGCACACAGAGGTGACCAGGAAACACAGACTCCTGTTAGAGAGGCATCTCGTGTCCCGCTCTGTTCTCTTGGGCCCTGGGACTAGAACATCTTCACCAGAGACCGGCGCCGACTCCTTGGCAGTGTGTAACATTCAGCTCGGTGCCGACGTCTGCCCATGCAGGACTGATCTCCATTCTCTCAATGACCCTAGGAGACAGGAATTATTATTATTATTATTATTATTATTTTGAGATGGAGTTTCGCTCGTAGCCCAGCCTGGCCAACATGATGAAACCCCGTCTCTACTAAAAATACAAAAATTAGCCGGGTGTGGTGGTGCACACATGTAATCCCAGCTACCCGGGAGGCTGAGACAGGAGAATCACTTGAACCCGGGAGGTAGAGGTTGCAGTGAGCTGAGATCGCACCACTGCACTCCAGCCTGGGCGACAAGAGCGAAACTCTGTCTCAAAAACACACACACACACACACACACGTTTGGACCATCCCTATTTCCTCGCTCTGCCTAAGCTGCGTCACACCATTCATCACTAGGTGACATCCTACTACAGATACCTTGTAAGCATCTGTGTATCTCTCTCCTCCCTCACTGGAAGGCAGCTCCCTGAGGGCAGGGCCCTGATCCCTTTGACTGGCTGTGGTATCCTCTCCTGTAGACCACTGGCTCATGAAATTATCAGGGAGAGAATGTGTAAATGATGATCGTGAGGTCCACTTGGACAAGCAGCCTGTGCCTGAATTTTCCTGAGGACTTCAGAGCCTGTCTCGCCTCGCCTCACATGCCTGGCTCACCTTAGAACGGTCACCTTGACGGCTAAAGGGACACCTGTGTGCCTTGATGGTGGACCCAGGGAGTGGATGACATTAGTGAGGGAAAGAGCAAAGGCTCTGGAGGAAAACACCTGAGAGGAGTCTCTAGGCTGCCCTCTGGTGGCAGTTCTTGGAACAAGACCTGAGAGCCGCTACCTTGGCTCTCAGCATTGCACCGGAGTTTAGAGGTTATTAAAGAAATCCCCCTAAAGTCCCATCCCAAGGTCACACAGAGAACGAATGGCTAAGTAGCGACAAGAACCCAAGTCACAGTCTGTTGATCTCACTACCATGCTATCCTGCCTGCCCCCATCACAGGAGTTGAGATTATACTGCAAAAGGAAAGGTGGGGATGGGGTGGGGACTGGGGAATTTGGGGAGGGAATTGATTACTGCCTCTGAGGATATTAGGGGGGAAAACCCACAGGAGGTGCATTTGGCTTAATTCAGCAAGTTTTTTGAGTTTTGATTCAGTGCCAGGCACCTGGTGGGCACTTAATTAAAGATTAGCAGGAGAAGAAAAATGTACAGTAAGAGAGCTTAAGTTTATACCAAAGCGAGTCTTGGGTCTAATGATTTTGAAACATGAAATTGGCAGAGAAGTTAGGAGTCCTCCTGGGCTCCTACGTCAGGGTTTGCCCCCTCTCTAATTTAACTTTTTATCAAATTTTATTGTCATGATGTATATGTTTGTCCTCCCTAAACACAGAGCCCCTTGAGGGCAGGGAGGACTGAAACTGCTTCCTGGGACTGTCACCATCACATAGCACCCCACAGAGCAGATGCTCAATGAATGTTGATTGTGTGGGCAAATGGATGAACAAATGAATGGTTTGGAGTTTCCCTGGCCAGAGAGCTTCAAAGCAGGGCAGACAACCATCTCTTCTGTCTAGTCCAAAGACATCATTCGCTGCCCAAGGCTCAGGGCTGTGCCTGGTGCTTTCTCAAGGTAACTTAGCTTGTATAATTAGATTTTACCGTGATACTAGTTCTAGGTTCTTTTTTTTCATTGGCCAAGCATTTAATAACTATCTGTCATGTCCAAGGTTCTGGGCTATTGTTCTGTAAATCTGTGATCCTATTCTGTTATTTAATTCCATGACTCTGTGTTGACATAGACGTGACGGTGTCCCTGGGGCATTTACTCCTAGGTGAGCTTAGCCAAGGCAGGTAGAGAGGAACCAGCATTGTCTAATCTGAATGGATAAGCCAGCACAATGGGTTTCCCTGTGCAAATACCTCCATACCATCCAGGCCCACTCAGTCTCCTCCCCAGCTAATGAAGACAGCCTGTTTGAGTGCCAAAATCCACTGCCTATTAATAGGTACTAAAATCTCCAATTGCCTCATGCCTCCCCCTTCTCTTTCCCACTCACCTACCTGCCATGTCAGCCTGGGAAGAATTGGTTTGCAGCCAGGCAGTCCTCCATCCAGTCTTGACTTTGGCACTTGTGATATGACTTGCACAGGTGAGTTACCTCTCTCAGTGTTGGTTCCTCGTCTGTGAAATGGGGCTAATCATTTGCTTTATTGAGTGCCTTCTAGGCTGGGTACTAGGAGAGAAGGAAGGGATACAAAGAAAGACAAGGCACAGTTGCTGTCTTCAAGAAGCTCATACTTTCCAAGGAAATAAAGGCATGGAAACCCACATAGTGCTGTGGAATTAAAGAAGGCAGCATGCTGTAAAGAGCCCCAGCTTTTTCCCTAGACAACATCAGGGGCTCAGTTCCTTTCCCTCCTTTCTCTCTTCTTTAAGAATTTCTCTTAGCTGGACATGGTGGCACATGCCTGTGGTCCCAGCTACTCAGGACGCTGTGGTAGGAGGATCCCTTGAGCCCAGGAGGTCAAGGCTGCAGTGAGTTGTAATTGCACCTCTGCACTGTCCAGCCTGGGCGACAGAGCAAGACCCTGTCTCAAAAAATAAAAAATTAATTAATTAATTAATTTTTTTTCCTCCTAACTAACTCCACGTTATTGGCTTGAGGGTCAGTTTGAGGGGTCCAGACCTCCTTCTTCCTTTCTATCCTTAGCTTCCTGCCACAGTATACCCAGAGATGTATGTGTTTCTCCCCACCCTAGGCACAATTTTTTTTTTTTTTCTGAGACAGCTCTGTCATCCAAGCTGGAGTGCAGTGGTGCAATCATATCTCACTCCAGCTTCAACCTCTCATGCTCAGGTGATCTTCCTGCTGAGTAGCTGGGACTACAGGCATGCACTACCATGGCCTGGCTAATTGTTCGTTTTTTTTTTGAGGTGGAGTCTCACTCTGTCGTCCAGGCTGGAGTGCAGTGGTGCGACCTCGGCTCACTGCAACGTCCGCCTCCCGGGTTCACGCCATTCTCCTGCCTCAGCCTCCCGAGTAGCTGGGACTACAGGCGCCCGCCACCACTCCCGGCTAATTTTTTTTGTATTTTTAGTAGAGACGGGGTTTCACTGTGGTCTCCATCTCCTGATCTCGCGATCCGCCCACCTCGGCCTCCCAAAGTGCTGGGATTACAAGCGTGAGCCACTGCGCCTGGCAACCTGGCCAAATGTTAAACATTTTTTTTGTAGAGGTGAGGTCACACTATGTTGCCCACACTGGTATCAAACTCCTGAGCTCAAGCGATCCTCCTGCCTTGGCCTCCCAAAGTGCTAGGATTACAGGTGTGAGCCACTGTGCCTGGCCCTTTTTTAATTTTAATTTTTTTTTTTTTTAGAGATGGGGTCTTGCTGTGTTGCCCAGGCTGGCTTTGACCTCCTGAGCTCAAGCAATCTTCCACCTCAGCCTCTGGAATAGCTGGGATTACAGGTGCGCCCTACCATGTTCAGCTAACTTATTTTGTTTGTTCAGAGACAGGGTCTTGTTATGTTGCCCAGGCCCAGGCACAGTTCTAATAGAGGAGAGAGACTTTCAGATATGAGCTCCTGCACTTGGCACCAAGATCTTCCCTAATTTTCCCCCGACCTGTCTCTCCAACATGTCTCTCTCTTCTTCGGGTTATTTTACTCCAATCATTCTGATCTACTCTTTGTTAATTGGGCCCTTCATTAAATAATTTAGCCTTTCACAAAACACACATTAAGTGTGCATGACGGCCCAGGCACTGTATTCTCTGTCAGGGTTACACAGATGAATAAAGAGCTGGGATGGGCCAGGCGCGGTGGCTTATGCTTGTAATCCCAGCACTTTGGGAAGCCAAGGCTGGTGGATCACGAGGTCGGGAGTTCAAGACCAGCCTGGCCAACATGGTGAAACCCCGTGTCTACTAAAAAAAACTACAAAAATTAGCCAGGTATGGTGGCGGGTGCCTGTAATCCCAGCCATGTGGGAGGCTGAGGCAGGAGAATTGCTTTAACCCAGGAGGCGGAGGTTGCAGTGAGCCAAGATCGTGCCATTGCACTCTAGCCTGGGTGAAAAGAGCAAGACTCCGTCTCAAAAAAAAAAAAAAAAAAAAAAGAGCTGGGATGATGTAGTGGTTAAAATCAGTGTTGTTAGCATAGCACAGACCTAAATTGAAATCCCAGTTCTGCCATTTGTCCCCTGTGTGACCTTGCATGGGTCACTGTACCTCTCTAGGCCTGTTTCTGTCTTCTGTGAAATGATCATGATAGCATTGTTATGCAAATTAAACGAGAGCTTAAGCTGTAGAGCATTTACCAACAGTGCCCTATGGCACATGCGCAGTAGAAAGTAGTTGCAATAGTGTGTAGCAAATACTTTGCATCCTAGGTTGGATTCCCCAGAAGCAGGCCCTGAGACAAAGATTCAAGTAAAAGAGATTTATTTAAAACTAATGAGAAGTTGGGCAGGGTGGCTCACGCCTATAATCCCAACACTTTGAGAGGCGGAGGCAGGAGGGTTTCTTGAGCTCAGGAGTTTGAGACCAGGTTGGGCAATATAGTAAGACCCAATCTCTACAAAAAAAATTAGCCAGACGTGGTGGCATGCGCCTGTGATCCAGCTACTTGGGAGGCTTAGGTGGGAGGATCGCTTGGGTCCAGGCTTCAGTGAGCTGTGATCGTGCCACTGTACTCCAGCCTGGGCAACAGAGTGAGAACTGTCTCAAAAATAAATAGGCCAGGCACAGTGGCTCATGCCTGTAATCTCAACACTTTGGGAGGCCAAGGCGGGCAGATCACCTGAGGTCAGGAGTTTGAGACCAGCCTGGCCAACATGGTGAAACCCTGTTTCTACTAAAAATACAAAAATTAGCTGGGCGTAGTGGCGCATGCCTGTAATCCCAGCTACTCAGGAAGCAGAGGCAGGAGAATCGCTTGAACTCAGGAGGCGGAGATTGCAGTGGGCCGAGATCACACCACTGCATTCCAGTCTGCGCAACGAGAGGGAGACTCCGTCTCAAAAATTGAATAAATAAATAAATAAAAGTAATGAGGGGACTGGGCATGATGGCTCACACCTGTAATCCCAGTGCTTTGGGAGGCCAAGGCAGGAGGATTGCTTGAGTCCAGGAGTTCCAGACCAGCCTGGGCAACATGGCAAGACATCATTTCTGCAAGAAATTAAAAAATTAGCCCAGTGAGTGGAGTGCATCTATAGTACCAGCTACTCAGAAGGCTGAGGCAGGAGGACCACTTGAGCCCAGGAGGTTGAGACTGCAATGAGTTATGATTGTGCCACTGCACTTTAGCCTGGGTGACAGAGTGAGACCCTGTCTTAAAAAAAAAAAAAAGTAATGAGGGTGGGGAGGAGTGGAAAGGGAGTGGGAAAGTGGGACCCAAGCACATGAGTGGAACCAAGCTAAGTCTCATGGAGGGCTGGGGTACTGACACCTTCATATTTGTCCACCGTTGGTTAAGGCCTGGGGGCGGGCTGGGGGAGTGGGAGGGTGGTGGCATGTGAGGATGTGGGAGAGAAAAATTTCCAAGTGCTTCCAGCTCTCTGCCCCTGGAAAAGGTCCCAGCAGAGGCATAGGCGGGGCTGTTGGGAGTGATTTAGCACTCTGGGAGTCCGTAGGCACAAAAATGGTAAAGGAGTTCAAGAAGAAATGCGTAGAACACAGTCCCTGCCCCACAAGGTTCATGGCCTGGGAAAGGAAGACAGACATGAATAAATCATTGCCATAGGGTGACTGGGGTGAAGGGCGTTGGGGGTCGGGTGGGGTGCGGGAAGGAGTGGTGTAGGCAGAGGCATCCCTGAGGAGAAATGCAGCTGGTTTGGGAGAGGACGGCCATTCCAGCACACACGAAGGCTGATGCACATACGCGCAAGGGCTGGTCCCCAGAGCTGGTGGTTCTGGCCACGAGAGCTCATCACCTGGGGGCAGCTTCTGTACCTGCACCCTGTATGAGGCTCCGGGTCTGCCCTTCCTGGTCCATCCTCCAGACACACTGCCTGTTCTTCTCTCAGGTCCCGCTCCGGGCCCTCCTCCCAGAAGCCTCCCCTGACTAGTCCAGCTCACCGTGACTCTTCTGAACTCATGGCGTTTACTGCCAAGGCTATTACGTTGGCGCTCGCTCATGTCATTATTAGGAAATATGCATTTTTACTGTCTTTGATGTTATTTAAACTTGCCTGTAAATTCTGTCTCTCTCAATTTTAAGTTCTGAGTAGAAACTACATATTTTTATTATTTATATTCTTATATTCTCCCATGGCACCCGGCATTCGTGGACACATTGAGGAAGTAAGATAATGAATGAATGAATGGGTGAATCCAGTCCAGCTTGGGGCCTATTTAATTCTACTAGGCTCAACCTACAATTCTTATGTGTTCTCAGATTATTCCTAAACCCTAAGCTTAGTTTTGTTTCATTCGGACCACATGTAGTTTTTTTTTGTTTTTTGTTTTCTGAGACGGGGTCTTGCTCTGTCGCCCAGGCTGCAGTGCAGTGGCACGATCTTGGCTCACCGCAACCTCTGCCTCCCGGGTTCAATGGATTCTCCTGCCTCAGCCTCCCGAGAAGCTGGGATTACAGGCGCCTGCCACCATGCCCAGCTAATTTTTTTGTATTTTTAGTAGAGACAGGGATTCACCATGTTGGTGAGGCTGGTCTCGAACTCCTGACCTCAGGTAATCCACCCGCCTCAGCCTCCCAAAGTGCTAGGATTACAGGTGTGAGCCACCACGCCTGATCTCATGTGTAGTTTTTTGGTTTTTTATTTGTTTGTTTTTTTGAGATGGAGTCTCGCTCTGTCGCCCAGGCTGGAGTGCAGTGGCACGATCTCGGCTCACTGCAAGCTCCACCTCCCAGGTTCACGCCATTCTCCTGTCTCAGCCTCCCGAGTAGCTGGGACTACAGGCGCCGGCCACCATGCCCGGCTAATTTTTTTTGTATTTTTTAGTAGAGACTGGGTTTCACCATGTTAGCCAGGATGGTCTCGATCTCCTGACCTCGTGATTCGCCCGCCTTGGCCTCCCGAAGTGCTGGGATTACAGGCGTGAGCCACCGCGCCCGGCCTCTCATATGTAGTTTTTAATGAGAGTTACCACATAAGCAAACTGGGTTCTAAGTGGTGAAATTTAAGGTTATGCAACCTCAGTTTCTTTTAACCCCTCTTCATCCCTAACCCTGGTCGGATACTTGATTGACAGTAGACCATTGGGATCTCTGAGCTCCTGTCCTTCTAACCTGATTGCCTCTTTAAAGGATTTTGAAAAACTATGTCCCTTGCACATTTGTATTGTTTTGAGACACGGTCTCACTCTGTTGCCCAGACTGGAGTGCAGTGGTGCCATCTTGGCTCACTACAGCCTCAACCTCCCAGGGTCAAGCAATCTTCCCACCTCAGCCTCCTGAGTAGCTGGGACTACAGGTGCGGGCCACCACATCTGGCTAATTTCTTAAATTTTCTGTAGAAACAGTTTTGCCATGTTGCCTAGGCTGGTCTCAAACTCCTGGCCACAAGCAATCCACCCGATTCGGCCTCCCGAAGTGCTGGTATTACAGGCATGAGCCACCTCGCCCAGCCCCTTGCACATTTTTAAGTCAACATTTAACATTTGTAATAATTTAATAGCATTCCAAAGGGTAGGCTTTTCAGGGAATTGCAAATACATGTTAAAAATCACATCACTATTTATGTATTTATTTATTTATTTATTATTTTTGAGATGGAGTCTCACTCTGTCTCCCAGGCTGGAGTGCAGTGGTGCGATCTCGGCTCACTGCAACCTCTGCCTCCCAGGTTCAAGCAATCCTCATGCCCTAGCTTCCCGAGTAGCTGGGATGCCCAGCTAAGTTTTTTGTATTTTTAGTAGAGACAGAGTTTCACCATTGTCCAGGCTGGTCTTGAATTGCTGACCTCAAGTGATCTGCCTACCTCAGCCTCCCAAATGCTGGGATTACAGTCGTGAGCCACCATGCCTGGCCATGTCAGTTTTTAAAATTAAAAACAATTTGTTGTGCTCAGTCTGTCGGAGACTGCACGTCACTCTAAGTGTAGCAAATTGAATATAATGCCATAGAACTTTCATATCTGTTAGCATCCTTTTAAAAAATACGTGAACAAGCCCTTGAACAAGTGTTAGAAACAGTTATTCTATTTGTATTGCAATTATTGCAGTTAACCAAAACTAGGAATATTCACAAGGATTAAACATAAAAAGTTGGTCAGGCGCGGTGGCTCGTGCCTGTAATCTCAGCACTTTGGGAGGCCAAGATGGGCTGATCACTTGAGCTCTGGAGTTTGAGACAAGCCCGGGCAACACGGTAAAACCCCATCTCTAAAAACGAAACAAAACTAAACTAAACAAATACAAAAAATTAGTCAGGGGTGGTGCACCTGTAGTCTCAGCTACGCCAGAGGCTGAGATAGGAGGATTGCTTGAGCCCAGGAGGTTGAAGCTATACGAGCCATGATCGTGCCACTGCACTCCAGCCTGGATGACAGATGGAGACCCTGTCTCAAACAAACACACAAAAAGACATGAAAAGTAACTTATTGAAAATGCATCTCTTGGCCAGGCGTGGTGGTTTACACCTGTAATCCTAGCACTTTGGGAGGCCAAGGCAAGCAGATCCCATGAGATCAGGAATTCGAGACCAGCCTGGCCAACATGGCAAAATCCCATCTCTACTAAAAATAGAAAACTTATCTGGGTGTGGTGGCACACACCTGTAATCCCAGCTACTCGGGAGGTTGAGGCAGGAGAATCACTTGAATCCAGGAGGCGAAGGTTGCAGTGAGCTGATATCTGTCGTGCCACTGCACTCCAGCCTGGGCGACAGAGAGATAATACGTCTCAAAAAAAAAAAAAAAGAAAAGAAAGAAAATGAATCTCTTAATGAGATGGGAAAGGTTGATTTGTTTCCTATTGACCTTTGGCGGCTCTGGGAAGGGCACTCTGGTCAGGCCCAGGACAAGCAGGAGATTCATTCTAGCGGGGGGCACATATTAATCTGGAAACTGATTCCCTTAAAACTGGTCCTGCCGACACACCCCTGGGAAGGTTTGCATATACCACTAGGGGTATCCAAGCCATAGGCCATTAAACAGAGATGAAACTTGCCTTCCCATTCTTTAATATAGTGTTCTCAGAAAGGGAGAAATGTGGGCCTGAATGTTATTGTGACTTGCATAGTGACATTTCCAACCCTCCTCCTGCTAAGCCCCAGAGCCTTACATGCTGGACATGGGCAAGATAGGAACTCAAGTTACTTCCAGGTCTCTGTAAGTTTAGGACTGTGAAGAGGGCATCCTAATAGTCAAAAACATAAGTGTTGGCCGGGCACGGTGGCTCACGCCTGTAATCCCAGCCCTTTGGGAGGCCGAGGCGGGAAGATCACGATGTCAGGAGTTCGAGACCAGCCTGGCCAACATGGTGAAACCCCCATCTCTACTAAAATACAAAAATTAGCCGGGCATGGTGGTGCGCACCTGTAATCCCAGCTACTCAGAAGGCTGAGGCAGGAGAATGGCTTGAACCCGGGAGGCGGAGGTTGCAGTGAGCCGAGATCGTGCCATTGCACTCCAGCCTGGGCATAGAGTGAGACTCCATCTAAAAAAAAAAGAAAAAGAAGAAAGAAGCCGGGCGCTGTGGCTCACGCGTGTAATCCCAGCACTTTGGGAGGCCCAGGCAGGCAGATCACGAGGTCAGGAGATCGAGACCACTCTGGCTAACACGGTGAAACCCCGCCTCTACTAAAAAATACAAAAAATTAGCCTGGCGTGGTGGCGGGCGCCTGTAGTCCCAGCTACTCGGGAGGCTGAGGCAGAATAGCGTGAACCCGGGAGGCGGAGCTTGCAGTGAGCCGAGATCGTGCCACTGTACTCCAGCCTGGGCGACAGAGCGAGACTTCGTCTCAAAAAAAGAAAAAAACAAATAAATAAAAATAAATAAAAAAGACCCTAAGTGTTAGTTAAAGCAGCAGCCTAGATTCAGAATTAAGAAAACATGATTTTTATTTTTCCGTTTCATGGAAGCAGCAGCTGTCTACTGATAGTTCCTGCCGCCGGCCACCAGGTGGCAGAAGGGAACACAGTACCATAGCCCTGCCCCAGCGATCGCGCGGGCAGGAAGACCGGGTGGGAGGTAGGTGCGGCCGAGGCCTGGAGGCGAGGTAGGAGAGTAGGCTTAGGCTGTCAGAGGAAAAAACGGGCGATGTGAGGACTAAGTATGGATCTCAGGAGGGGACAGGAAATATTGAGAACACCACCTTACGGGTTCAGAATAAAACCGAGGGAATGAGGAAGAGGTTTAAGGAGATAGGCTAAATTGGGAAGAATTCACGGGGAATCAGAGGGTGGAGAGGGCGTGGGTGCCTGGAGATGCCTGGGAACAGAACGGCTGAGGGGACTCCATTATCTGTACTCTTCCCGGGGTGGGTCTAGGTCTGGCTCCTCCTGAGGTCGGTTGTCCACCTCAGGGGCAGGAGGCCAGGGGTTTTCTGGGGGCTGGGGTCCTGCCGGCCAAGGGTCGTCAGGCCGGGGAGGTTGAGGAGGATCCGTTCTAGGCGGTTCAGGGGGCCAGACTCCAGTTTCAGGCAGGTCTCTCCAGGGACGACTGGGGCGGGTAGGCGGAGGATCTTCAAAGAGAGGGGGTGCCCCTGGCCAAGGGTCACCGGGGACTGGGGGGCCCTGAGGCAATGTTGGGGAGCCTGCCTCCTCTCGGTCCTCTGCGGGTGGGTGAGAGGGGTGGCCCTCGCTGCCTGAGATGCCTGTAAAGGAGGAAGGAGAAAGGTAAGAGGTGGTGAGGGCTTCTCTCCCCAGCCCCACCCAGCCCCAGCCCCAGGAGGAGGAGCCTGTCTGGATGGACGCAGCCTGAACTGACCCACAAACAGACCAAAAAAGTCACTCTCAAAGAGCTCTCGGTAGGTTTGTAAATACTTAACTGATGGTAAAGTGTCATGAACCCCTACCCCCGATGGATCTGAACTGTTCACTTGACCCACTTTAAACTGACCAGACTTCTCCAAATAAGCTCCATCCACCCCTGGTTGGGGTACCCCACTAGCTTTGTCCTCAGGCCAACCTGCAACCCAAGGTGGGTTACACCTTGGCCCCCAGGCACACAGACCCCAGCTTTACAAGGACCCCAGCTCCTTAACACAGATCCCAGCTCCGAGGAAACTCGTCCCCCCCACGTTAATCCTGACCGACTTTGCCACATGGAGCCAGCAAACCATTTCTGGTGAGAGCCAAATGCACCTTCTGCACCATGTCCCCCACCCAATGTGTCCTGAAAGCCATTTCTGGTGAGCCAGATGCACCTTCTGCATCCCCTGAATTCCTGTCCCCAACCCCATGCGTCCAGTTCACCTCCGCCATCTTGAGTATCCCTCATCACCCCAAACTGCAGTCCCTGCCTCTGTTCCCACCTCACCTCTGGTGTGCAGGCAAAGGACCAGGATCCCCAGGAGCTTCCAGTTGAGGATCATGGCTATGTACTGGCCCCCAAAGCTGGGGTGGGCTGAGTCTGGGTGCCTGGGAACCCCAAGAGGCTTTATAGGGGAGGAGTGGAGGAGGGGCCAGCCCAGTGGCACAGGAATACCATCAGAACAGAACTGGTCAAACCCGTTGGGAAGGCCTGGGCTGATGTGTCACCCCTGAAGGTGGCGTCCCTTATTTTAGTCCTCCAGCCCAGGACCCAGCTGCCTGCTCTCCCTATCATGACCCAGAGCCTGCGTCACCCCACCCTGGTTTTCACACCCTCCATCCACACCCTGGAGCAGTCAATACCCACTTGGCATCTCCGTAATCACAGAGATGTCCACCTTCATCCCTTGCAACTATTGGAAGCCAAAGAATGGGAGCAAACCACGCGATGGGCGTTGGGAAGCACCGTAATTACAGGGTTGGGAGGCAGGATGCCTGCGCTGGGGGAGGAGGTGCCTTTCAAACCTGGGATGCAGCTGGGACAGTGTCAGCTACTACCCCAGCCTCCCCACTCATCCCCGCACTGAAAGCTCCCCCTGGGGCTTCGTGCTTTCCTGGGCACTTCCCTTCCCCCATGGGATCCAGGCATCCTGCTCTCCACCATGTCCTTCTTCAGGCATGCAGGGGACCTCCAAGCAATGATATCCAAGGAATTCCATCTGGCAGCCACCCAGGATGACTGCAGAAAAGGAAGGACACAGGAGGATATCCTGGTTCCCTCTTCCCACCCAGAGCTGTTTGCATCAGTCCTGCCAATGGCTCCGGAAGAAGCTGCCAGGCTCCAGCAACCTCAGCCCCTTCCTCCTCCCTCAGGAATCCACCTATCCGCCTCTAGGACCTTGGCTCCAACTCTATTGTACTCGTCTCCTCCCTCCCATTCTCCTTTTGGTCTCAGCTCCTTGATCTAAGCCTCCCAGAGAGACCCCTAGAACGTTTCCCTCAAGGACCTTTCTGCCTGGAAGTCTGTTAGCCTTTCAGAAGTAACATGTCCAAAATAAAATTTGATTCCTCCCAGGTTGTTCCCTGCCTGGTCCGCTACCCCACAGTAAGGAACACCTTATTATGCAATGGCGTGATCTCATCTGTTCCCTCCAGGGCTCACGCAGAAACCTTCGTTACACTCCTCCACCATCCACCTGCAAGCCCCTCCACACCCTGTCCAAACCCAGCCCATCATCCTGAGCCACCATCTCCCCTGAGCCTCCCCAACACCCTTCTAATTGGCCCCCTTGCTCCCACTGTTTATCCCTCCCCCTCACACAAAGCCTGTCCTCCACCAGCAAAAGAGGTCTTAAAATATACATCACGCGGGCCTGGTGTGGTGGCTCGCGCCTGTAATCCCAGCACTTTGGGAGGCCGAAGCGGGCGGATCACCTGAGGTCGGGAGTTCAAGACCAGCCTGACCAACATGGAGAAACCCCGTCTCTACTAAAAATACAAAAATATTAGCCGGACATGGTGGCACATGCCTCTTGGTAATCCCAGCTACTCAAGAGGCTGAGGCAGGAGAATCGCTTGAACCCAGGAGGCAGAGGTTGTGGTGAGCTGAGATCACACCATTGCACTCCAGCCTGGGCAACGAGTGAAATTCCGTCTCAAAAAAAAAAAAACATATATATATATATCAGGCCAGGCGTAGTGGCTCATGCCAGCACTTTGGGAAGCTGACACAGGAGGACCACTTGAGCTCAGGAGTTGTGTGCGCTGCTTCACCTGCAGCAAGACTGTGGGCAACACGTGGGAGGCCTACCTGGGGCTGCTGCAGTCCAAGTACGCTGATGGGGACGCCCTGGGCCTGAAGCGCCACAGCCGCTGCCTGCCGCATGCTGCTGGCCCACGTGGACCTGATGCGGAAACTGCTCAATTATGCCCTCCTGGGGAAGTGACCTGGTTAGACCCACCCATCTGCTGCGCTGGGTGCCGGGAGCAATCGCTGACCACAGTGCGTGGATATGTGTACCTCACTCTGGAAGGGACCATCCAGTAAGTCCCTCAGGAAAAAAAATGTACACCAAATCATGTTGCGTCTTCCCTTTGTTTGGGGAGTGAGGACAGGTTCTCGCTCTCTTAGGCTGGGGTGCAGTGGTGCGATCACAGCTCATTGCAGCCTCAACCTCTTGGGCTCAAACAATCCTCCCAACTCAGCCTCTGGAGTAACTAGGACCATGGGTGCACGCCACCATGCCCTCCAATGTTTTTTATTTTTATTTTTTATATAGATGGAGTCTCCCTATGTTGGCTGGTCTCAAACTCCTGGGCTCAAGCGATCCGCTCACCTCGGCCTCCCAAAAAAGTGCTGGGATTCAGCTACTCCGGAGGCTGAGGCAGGAGAATTGCTTGAACCTGGGAGGTGGAGGTTGCAGTGAGCTGAGATTGTGCCACTGCACTCCAGCCTGGCAACAAGAGCAAAACTGTCTCAAAAAAAAAAAAGTGCTGGGATTACAGGCGGGAGCCACAACACCGGGCCCCCTTCCCTGGTTTTTTTTTTTTTCTTCTTCTTCTTTTTTTGAGGCTGAGTCTCGCTCTGTCACCCAGGCTGGAGTGCAGTGGCATGATCACGGCTCACTGCAACCTCCACCTCCCGTGTCCAAGCAATTCTCCTGTGTCAGCCTCCTGAGTAGCTGGGACTACAGGCTCACACCACCACACCCGGCTAATTTTTTGTATTTTAGTAGAGACGAAGTTTCACCATGTTGCCCAGGCTGGTCTCAAACTCCTGAGCTCAGGTGATCCGCGTGCCTCAGCCTCCCAAAGTGTCAGGATTACAGGCGTGAGCCACCACACCTGGCTTTCTTCCCCGTTTTTAAAGAAGTACTCCAATGGCTTTCTATTGACTTACAGTAAAATCCAAACTTGGCCACATCTCGGCCTCGCAGCAGCATCCTTGAGCATTCTCTACAGAGACCTCCTGGCCTCCACAGGAGCCCACTTCAGGCAGGCCTCTGCACAAGGTCCCCTGCTCAGAGGCCTCTCCCCAGAGTCAGTTTCTATCATATCATCATACTGTACTTTCTCTTCAAGCACTTATTTGAAACGATCTCGTTCATCTGTTTAGGTCCCATCTGCTCGCTCTCTCTCCCACTAGGATGTAGGCTCTCAGGGTCCAAGTGGCCCCCAGGCTAATACAGTGCCTGGCATTGACATTCCTGTTGAACGAGTGAATGTTTCATCTTCCCCACTCCTAGCATTTATCATCTTCCAGAAGAAAAGAGTTTTAAAACAAAAGTTGAGAATAAAGAAAAGCAGGAGCTTCCCAAACATTTCCAAAGCTGCCTAGAAAAAGGATTTGAAAAGGTGCCACCCATAGAGAGAGCTATGGGTGGGACCACTTCTCACAATCTCCAAGAGAGATGGCTGCAGGGAGAATTCCCACAGATTCCCAGAAATAACATTTCCAAACAATGGCTCCTTCTGTAGTCGTCTTTATTTAGAGCAGAATTCAGACTCAGCTGGTATCCCCCAGGGCAACCCCAGGATGGGGAAGGGCTGGTCTGTCCCCACCCACTTCTCCAGGATCCTCCCAGCCCCCAGGCTGGCTTTCCCTCCAACTGTCAGCTGCTTAGCTGCTCATCTGGGGATTGCAGCTGGAGCATCTGTCAAGGTTGTCTCCTTGACAAACAGCTTCCTCTTTGGAAATGGCTTCACTCAGGTCCTGCAGGTCATCGAGCAGGACAGAGAGGGACCCTGGGAAGGAAGACAGCAGATGAGCACCAGACAAGGGAAGGTGCTCGTGGTTACAGAGGAAACAGGGCTGGCACAGGAAATGAGGAATGGGAGAGAGGAGGCTCTTTGGTCCAAGCTGGGCATCGCTAAAAGAGGCTAAGGGCCTCGAAGGACCGCAGAGAACAACACTCATCATGCGAGAGTCTGAAGAGGAGATTCCTGAAGTGCGCGCATTTGTCCCTTGTCCCTTTGTGCTTGGCCCAAGACCTTTTATGGACTCCCTGGTGGGCACTGCTGCTGCTACAGGTGCAGATGCTGAACACTCTGGAGGCCTGGGGCTGGACACCACAGATTTCTTCTTATCCAGTAGGGAAGGAAGAACTGTCAACAGTCGCTGCTGCTTGTAACGGGAGAGGAGACCTTCCTGCTGCAAGGTGGCCTGGGAAGGAGAGGGTTAAACCTAGCCCGGATAGAGCCTCCCTCACCATCCTCTTTCCACACCTCTAGCCCAGGAACCAGCCCAGGATGGGCCCTAGTGTCTGCCTGTCTGCCCTCCTGTCTCCTACCAGCATGAGGTTCTTATCCCTCTCTAGCTCCTGCAAGCGCCGGGCCAGTCGCTGCCCCTCCTCCTTCCGGGCCTCCTCCTGCAGACGCCTGAGTTCCTGGCTCCGCTCCTTTTCCTGGGCGGCTCTGCGCTGAATCTGGCGCAAGGAGACCACTACAGAGAGGCCAAGGCACAGAGGAGGCAGGTGTGAGTCAGGCCAGAGGCAGCCAGGCACCATGAAGACAGGAACAAACGCTGGGTCACCAACTCTGTGGCTTGGGGAGGCTGTTCTGCTCTGTGGATCTGTCTCTTCTGTACAGTTGGAGGGGTGGGCTGATGCTCTAGGAGCCTGGGAATCTGAACCTAAGTATCTTCCTCATCCCTGAACCATCCTGGAGTTCCTCAGGGGAAATCTGAACATGAACTGGGTTAGATTTTGTGCAATTAGTGTTCACTGTCTTAAAGTGTGATGATTGCAGCTATATAGGAGAATTTACTGGCTTTGGGAGATGCGGCTGAACAACTTATGTTTACAACTTACTTAGGCGTGGTGGCTCACGCCTATAATCCCAGCACTTTGGGATGCCAAGGCGGGCGGATCACGAGGTCAGGAGCTCGAGACCATCCTGGCCAACATGGTGTAATCCCGTCTCTACTGAAAATACAAAAACTAGCTGGGCATGGTGGTGGGCGCCTGTAATCCCAGCTACTTGGGAGGCTGAGCCAGGAGAATGGCTTGAACCCGGGAGGCAGAGGTCACAGTGAGCCAAGATCATGCCACTGCACTCCAGCTGGTGACAGAGGAAGACTCTGTCTCAAACAACAACAACAACAAAACATTAAATGATTACAACTTAAAGTGATTCAAAAGATGTACAAATATGTGTGTATATAGATAAGAGACCAAATGTGGCAAATGTTAACTGCTATATTTAGTTAGAGAAGATACATTCATTACACAATTCTTTTTTTGACACATGGTCTTTCTCTATCACCCAGGCTTGAGTGCAGTGGCACAATCTTGGCTCACTGCAGCCTCGACCTCCCGGGTTCATGTAATCTTCCCACATCAGCCTCACAAGTAAGCTTGGTGTACAGGTGCCCACCACCAGGCCTAGCTAATTTTTGTATTTTTAGTCGAGACAGGGTTTCGCCATGTTGTCCAGGCTGGCCTCAAACTCCTGACCTCAGGTGATACACCCACCTCGGCCTCCCAAAGTGCTTGGATTACAGGCATAAGCCACCGCGACCGGCCATATGCTGTTTCTTAATCTGGTGCTGGCTACATGGGTGTGTTCACGATGTGATAATTCATCTGTGCTACTCCTGGATACCTTCATTACTTCCTGTAATGAAGCTTTGAACACACTTTGAGGGGAAAATAATAACCTTATGTCTTAACACTTCCTTCTTCCTGGAAGGCCCTATCCACCCTGGCAAGGCTCACCGGCCTTGGCATGCTCCCTCCGAGCCT
Source organism: Homo sapiens (assembly GCF_000001405.40). Lineage (NCBI taxonomy): Eukaryota > Metazoa > Chordata > Mammalia > Primates > Hominidae > Homo > Homo sapiens. The sequence continues at coordinate 2,404,036 of NT_167245.2, forward strand.
CGTTCAGCCTCCTCTCTGTGTCTGAGAGTTGCTCCCGCAGCCGAGTTTCCACTTCAGCCACCTTTTCTTGCAGGGCTGGGGTGAAAGTGCAGACGGGGCATATCAGCAGGACCTTTGATTCGCAGTTCCCACCCCACCCTCCAAGGGAAGCACCCATTTCCCTCTCGACACCTTGCCCGTAGAGTTCCTGCTGCTGGGTCAGCTCCTGCCGCAGACTGGCAGCCTCCTCTGTGCTCTCCTGCTGGCACTGGCGTGCTACCTCCAGCTGCAGCCCCAAGCTAGCCAGGGACTCCTGGGTCTGCTGCAGCTCCTGCTCCAGCTGCTGGGCCACCTTGCTCAGCTGCTGCCGCTCTGCCTCCCCTAAAAGGAGGGGGTGCTGGGTCAGGCCTCTCCCAGCACCCTAGACACTGGGTTTTTCCTCATCCTCTCCACCCTCTGGCAACCAGGTGTACCTTGCTCCCGAGCCCGGCCCACCTCCTGCTGGATGAGGCGGGCACTCAGCTGCAGTTCTGCATCCAGGCGGTTCCGTTCTTCCCGCAGCTGCTGCAACTCAAGGCTCACATCTGTGACCGGTGGTGGTAGGGGACAGCTGAGACGGGGAAGAGAAAGAGTCAGGAGAAATCACCCAGCTGCCTGATCCCAAAGCCCCCATCCCACCTCAGTCCTCATGGTTTTGGGGGTCCCAGCAGCCAATGCCCTAAAGCCCCATCCACCTCAAAGTGCCCAAACTTCACCTCTCCTGGCGCAGCTGAGCAAGGGCAAGCTTTCGAGCAATCAGGCCTGGGAGGGAAAAAGCAGGGAGAAAAAGAGATGAAGTTTGCATGGGAGAAAGTGGGGACAGGGAGTAAGGGAAAAAGAGATGCAAGGACTGGTGAAAGGAGGAAGGTGAATGGATGTGGGATCAGAGAGAGCTGGGTCAGGAAGAAGAAAGTCCGAGCTGGTGGGGTGGGGGCAGGACGTGGCTCGCAGTTGTCCTACGCACCCCGAATGGTGTGGACCTTGCGGACAGCATAGCTGAGTCGGTTGTTGAGGCTGGGAAGCTGGGCGGCAGCCCCTTCCACCTTAGCCATGGTGGTCTCGAGCCAGATCTGAGAGCTGGAGAGGGCACAAGTCACTGATCCTCCATGCCTCCCCTCATTCCCAAAGGACTTGCTGTGCCTTGTATAGACAACTCCCTCTAATCCTGTCCCATTATACAAGTACAGAACGCACAGCTTCCGTCAATTATCTAAAGGACCCTTGCCCCAAGAATGCATTAAATGACTATCTTTTTAAGCAACCTGTTAAGCTTATTTCTCACAACTGTGTTTTGCTCACTATCGTGTATCAAAGAGTAAAGTTATCCTCTCTGGTCAGGGGCAGTGGCTCCTGCCTGTAATCCCAGCACTTTGGGAGGCCGAGGCGGGCGGATCACCTGAAGTCAGGAATTGGAGACTAGCCTGGCCAACACGGTGAAACTCTCTCTACTTAAAAACACAAAAATTAGCCGGGCATGGTGGCTCATGCCTGTAATCCCAGCTACTCCAGAGGCTGAGGCACGAGAATCACTTGAACCTAGGAGGTGGAGGTTCCAGTGAGCCAAGATCGCACCCCTGCCCTCAAGACTGGGTGACAGAGCGAGACTCCATCTCAAAAAAACAAAAGAAAACAAAGTTATCCTCTCCAAGCCCAGGAGTGTCGATCTAGCACCAGTGACGGGCAGGTCCACATGCTTTACCAGCTGGCTGTGCCAGAAGTAGGACCAACCTGGCTCATGAAAACTGAGCAGCTTAAACAGGCCCCAGGAGGAGGCCAAGGAGTGTCTGGGGCCGGGCTGGGGTTTCCTCAGGAGAGTCCAGGTCTGCACCCACAGAAAAACACATGATGATGAAGGCTTGCAGCTGCATCCCCAGCAGCACAGCAAAGTTCACTTTGATCTGGAAATTGTTCCAGTAGATGCTTCCAACACCTACCACAGCTCTTATTAAAGTCTCCAATTACCTAGAGACAATCTAATAAACCCAGCAACAATCAGAGTTTGGACTGCTTTAAGCCTGGAGGACTTTCGGCAAATGCATCATTACACAGACCATTTCTGTGATCACCTGGTACCAAAGTCAAACCCTGTCCACAGTGCATCTTTCTGTTCTCCTGGAGGTAGGGGGCACCCGCGATGGATTGAACCTGGGTGGTAGGTCATTATAACTAGTTTAATTCCGTGCAAGTTTGAAATTTTTCATAATTTTTAAAGCTAAATTAGTCCCTAAGGTACAAACCCAAGAGAAGGAAGTGGTGGGCAAGGACTCATCCTGCATCTTAATTTCGCTAAACCAAAAATTATCTTTATCTAAATTAACCCATCAAGAAGAGCCTCACGATAACAATCAACATTTACAAGCCAGAGACTGTGCTAAGAACTACCTGCCGGCCGGGCACGGTGGCTCAAGCCTGTAATCCCAGCACTTTGGGAGGCCGAGGCGGGCGGATCACGAGGTCAGAAGTTTGAGACCAGCCTGGCCAACACAGTGAAACCCTGTCTCTACTAAAAATACAAAAAAGTAGCCGGGTGTGGTGGTGTGCACCTGTAATCCCAGCTACTCAGGAGGCTGAGGCAGGAAAATCGTGTGAACCCGGGAGGCAGAGGTTGCAGTGAGCTGAGATCGTGCCATTGCACTCCAGCCTGGGTGACAGTGCGAGACTCTGTCTCAAAAAAAAAAGAACTACCTGCCTTGGGTACCTCAGTGTCTAAGGCTGAGGGGAAGTCATCACCAGCACAAAGAAGCTTTGCTGTTTTCTTAGAGGTTTTTCTGAAGGTCATACAACAATTGTAGGTAATGAAACAACTAGGAAGTTGGTAGGAGAGACAAAGGCTGGCAATTGATTTAGAAGGAAACTAACTGGCTTACATTTTAGATGGAATAGTAAGCAAGTTAAGTATATAATAAGCAAGTAAGTATACAGCTTTAAATAAATAGACTAGGCCAGGTGCAGTGGCTCACACCTATAATTCCAGCACTTTGGGAGGCTGAGGTGGGTGGATCACCTGAGGTCAGGAGTTCAAGACCAGCCTGGCCAACATGGTGAAACCCCGTCCCTACTAAAAATGCAAAAATTAGCCGGGCGTAGTGGAGGACACTGGTGGAGGATGCCTGTAATCCAGCTACTCGGGAGGCTGAGGCAGGAGAATCACTTGAACCAGGGAGGTGAGGTTGCAGTGGGCCAAGATTGCGCCATTGCACTCCAGCCTGGGTGACAGAGCGAGACTTTGTCTCAAAATAAATAAATAAATAGACTAAATTTTTCTCCAGTGAAACGGATTGCCCGTAAAATTTTAGAAAAAAAAAGGAAGATGAAGTGTCTACACTCTCCATCCTTGAACAATACTGCAAGTGAAGATCCTCCCGGGTGCTCTATTTAGCTCAAGCCATTACTAGACTGAACTGCAGGAGGAAGCAAGGCCTCACCTCCAGCCAAACATGCAACGGGAAATTCATAACAAGCAATCAGGTATGAATGCAGAAGGGGCTTCCCCAGGAAAAGAAACGAACACAGGAACATTGATAGAGCTAAATCTGCCCAGCCCTGTAGCCTCCAGTGGCCACTTTCCAGCCCCTCTTGCCTGAGGATCCTCAGCAACAAGGTGCCCAGGAACCTGAGGTAGCAGAAACACTACTCCACCCACCCCTCCATCCCTGATACCTGCTGACAGCATTGACCACAAGCCTCAACTGCTCCTCGGCTGAGGCTGTCTGCTGCTGCCACCAACGCCTGGCCTCCTGAGCACGGCTCAGCTCCAACTGCAGGCCCTGGGGAGGATGCAGCAAAGGACAGGGTCCCTCCCTAAGTCCTGGCTGCAGCCCCGGAACAGGGGCTCCCTTGCCCTCCCCGAGTCTCTAGTAGGCTGACACCAACCTTGGCACCCATACGCTCCACCTCCACCTCTGCGGCTTTGTCCTGCAGGGATCGCTGCAGGATGGCCTGCTCCTGGCTCTGGGATGTCACTTTTTCCTGGAGTGAGGCCACCTGGGGGAGGAGAGAGAGCTGGGCAGGGCCCTCTAGAGCTAAAAGATGAGGGGGGCACTGGAAGCAAAGTGGCAGGTGCAGAGATCTCTGTAAGAATGCCATGCAGGGGCTGGGGGGAGGGGGGGCGGGCAACGGGGGTGGGTCGCAGCACGGTGGCTCACACCTGTAATCCCAGCACTTTGGGAGGCCGAGGCAGATGGATCACTTGAGGTCAGGGGTTCAAGATCAGCCTGGCCAACATGGTGAAAGCCTGTCTCTACTAAAAATACAAAAATTAGCTGAGCGTGATGGCATGTGCCTGTAATCCCAGCTACTCGGGAGGCTGAGGCAGGAGAATCACTTGAACCTGGGAGGCGGAGGTTGCAGTGAGCTGAGATCAGGCCACTGCACTCCAGCCTGGGTGACAAGAACAAGACTCCTTCTCAAAAAAAAAAAAAAAGAAAAGAAAAGAAAAAGAATGAATGCCACGCAGGGAGACAGAAGCTTAGGTTCTGAGGATGGAATCTGAGCCCAGTGTTCCATGTTCCACATTCCATGTGCCCACTCGAAGATGGGAATAGCCCTTGACACACCCCACAAGACCCACCAACTGACCATGCCACTCTCCTCAGATGCTGTCACCTCCTCAGAGAGGCTGTCTCTGAGCATCCTACCTGAGGCTGACTCACCCCACAGTCTCTCTGTCACATTATCTTTTGAATTTTTCTTACTACTTTCTTTTTTTTTGAGAAAAGATCTCGCTTTGTCACCCAGGCTAGAGTGCAGTGATGGGATCACAGTTCACTGTGGCCTCGCCTCGACCTCCCAGCCTCAGGTGATCCTCCCACCTCATCCTCCAGAGTAGCTGGGACTACAGGAATGAGCCACTATGCCCGGCTAATTTTTTGTATTTTTAGTAGAGACGGGATTTCACATGTTGCCCAGGCTGGTCTCGAACTCCTGACCTCCAGTGATCCACCTGCCTCGGTCTCCCAAACTGTTGGCATTACTTGACTGGGCACGGTGGCTCACACCTGTAATCCCATCACTTTGGGAGGCTGAGGCAGGTGAATCACCTGAGGTCAGGAGTTCGAGACCAAAGTGATCGCATTATAGGTGTGAGCCACTGCACCCGGCTTCAATCTTTCTATCGCACATATAATTACCCAACATTATCTGTTTACTTGCGTGTTCTGTGTCTCTGTTCTAGAATGCAAGCTCCACATTTTAGTTTTGTTCAGGGCTGTGTGCCCAGCATGTGGCAACCACTCAATAAACACTGGTTGAATGGATGCCACCTTCATGGAAGGAGCAAGGTGCTGGGAGGGAATACCGGGAGAAAAGAGAGTGCAGTGACCTGTCCCTTCAGCTGCTTAACAGAGTCACTGTGTTCCAGCTCCTGGGCCTTTAGCTGCACCATGAGGGCAAACACCTTCTCCCGCCAGCGGTTCAGCAGGGACTGGCACTTCCTGGTAAACTCAGGCTCCAGGGAATCTGAAGGTTGAACCTGAGGGAGAAGGAGTGGGAGAAAAGCGTGGGCTCCTGGGGGAGGAGAGGAAGGAGGTGGCATCTTTGTTTCTCCTCTGTCCTGCCTGGGCAACATGAGCTACAGCAAGAGGAGTTCACAGGAAGGAGATCTAAGCAGGTTCTGGGGCACATTGACCCCTCCTGCCCACAGGGAGGGAGGCAGGGGACAGTAGATGCAGGATGCGGCTGAGGGTGAGGGGTCTGGGGGTTGGGCTGTACCTTCCTGGTCAGCTCCTCCTCCTGCAGGGCGAGGATGTGTGTGAGGCTCTGCACCCGCACCTGCAGCAGCTCCGCGGTGGCATGCAGGCTGTCCCGGTCCTCCTGCAAGTGCTGCGGGCAGAGGAAAGCAGCCCCTCTGTAGGGCCTCCATGCCGCCTTAGGTACCACCTTCTCTCCCGGAGGCTGTGCTCTACACGCTCCTCCAAGGGCCACGCTTGCCTCCCAACCTGATCCCTAAGTCTGCACACAGATACATTCCTGCACCCTCACCTGCATGGTTTCCAGAAGCTTCTGTCGCTCCAGTTCCCATGTCTGGCTGTGGACCTCAGAAGGGACTTGTTCCCCAACATATTTTCTTAGATTCTCAACCAGGGTCACCTGAGCCTCCAAGTCTTCCTGGGTCTTGCTAGGGTTGGGGTGGGAATGGGACAGCCATCAGTGGGGCGCCCTGCAGATCCACCACATCACTAATTGCTGGGCTCCCGTCGGCGTCCGCCCACCTACCTCAGCTGCTTCCGAAGCAGCTCGGCCTCCCTCTGAGCCTCGGCCAGCTCCTTGGCTTCCCCTGCTCTTCTGGTTTCCAGACTACTCAGAGACTTCTCCAAGCCCTCAGCCTTGCTGGTCAAACTGGAAAGAGCCTCCTCGTGAGCCTGTGTCAAAGAGGACAGCTGCGGAAAGAAGAGGGGGCTCAGCAGAGGCTCGACCCCACACGGAGGCCTTCCTTGTTCCCTTCACTCCCACTTTCTGTGACCTTAGAGAATGACCCAACCAATCAGCCAACTGTGCACAGCAAATGGAGAGCTGGCAACTCACTCTCCGCAGCTGCCCCACAACCCATCAGGAGTTCTTGTCCGATCTCCCCCAAAACATATCTTCACCTCTCTGTCTCCGTCTCCACTGCCACCAACCCTCATCTTTTGCCTGGGCAACAGCGACCATCTCCTAACTAGTCTTTACAAACCCTCAGTGGCTTCTCACAGCATTCACAACAAAACCCAGGTGTCTCTCCACACCTGCAGGCCAGGGGACCCGGCCTCTGCCTACCTCCTGAGCTCACCCTGGAGGCTCTCCCACTGCTCCCCGCTCCGGCCACGGGGAGTCTGCTGAGAACCAGACAGCGGCCCCTCCTTGCTCCACAGACCCCAGGCAATAGCCCCTCCTCAGGGTGGCTTCACTGGGCCCTCTAATACCGTCCCTCCCCACCCTACTCTGCCCCATCAGCTGTTCACGTCCTCCTGAGCACTTAGCACTGACCATATCTTGCTTATGTGTATGTGTTACTATCTGTCGGACCACACTGGAAGGAAAGCTCCAGGAAAGGAGGAATTTTGTGTCTTTTGCTCATGGCACCTCAAAGGGTTGCAGGGGTGTCAGAGCCACCAAGAGTCATGGGATGGACTGGAAAGGAGGGCAAAGTGCCCACCCTGCTTCCTGGTCTGCCTCCTCTAGCCCTGTCTCCATACAACAATAAAATTAATTTGGGGGACATAAATGACAAAATTTTTTAGACATAAAATACAAATCTAATCATGTTATTTCCCTGCTTAAAACCTTTCAACAGGCCGGGCGCAGTGGCTCATTCCTGTAATTCCAGCACTTTGGGAGGCCGAGGTGGGTGGATCACAAGGTCAGGAGATCGAGATCATCCTGGCTAACACGGTGAAACCCCGTCTCTATTAAAATACAAAAAATTAGCTGGGCGTGGTGGCGGGCGCCTGTAGTCCCAGCTACTCGGAAGAATGACATGAACCCGGGAGGCGGAGCTTGCAGTGAGCCAAGATCGCGCCACTGCACTCCAGCCTGGGCGACAGAGCGAGACTCCATCTCAAAAAAAAAAAAAAAAAACAACCTTTCAACGGTTGCTTATTACTTGAAAAAACAATTTTTTTTTGTTTGTTTTTTTGGAGATGGAGTTTCACTTTGTTGCCTAGACTGGAGTGCAATGGCACGATCTCAGCTCACTGCAAACGCTGCCTCCCAGGTTCAAGCGATTCTCCTGCCTCACCCTCCCGAGTAGCTGAGATTACAGGCATGAGCCACCACGCCCAGCTAATTTTTGTATTTTTAGTAGAGATGAGGTTTTACCATGTTGGCCAGGCTGGTCTCGAACTCCTGACCTCAAGTGATCCACCCGCCTCAGCTTCCCAAAGTGCTAGGATTACACATGTGAGCAACCATGCCCAGCCCTAATTTCTTCCATAAAATAGAGATGGGGGTCTCGCTTTGTTGCCCAGGCTGGTCTCAAACTCCTGGGCTCAAATGATCCTTCCACCTTGGCCTCCCAAAGTGCTAGGATTACAGGTATGAGCCACTGTGCCCAGCCTGCTCATTGCTCTTATGGGAAAGTAGCAAGTTCTGAAGTGGCCAAAGCCTTGTGCCCTGGGTCCTGGGCTCTGCAGCACACTCAGTGCCCCTCATCTCTGTGCCCCAGCCTTCTGGCCTCCTGTCCCCGCCTTCACCTGTTGTCCCACCAAGTGTCTTCCAGCTACCACTGGACTTCACACGCCTCTTCACTGGCCAACTCCTATTCAGCACAAACGGTAGCTTGTTGTTTTTTTAGTCTCGCTCTGCTGCCCAGGCTGGAGTGTGATGTCAGCTCACTGTAACCTCTGTCTCCCAGGTTCAAGCAATTCTCCTGCCTCAGCCTCCCAAGAAGCTGGGGGATTACAGGCGCCCACGACTATACCCGGCTAATTTTTGTATTTTTTTGTAGAGTTCTTCATGTTGGCCAGGTTGGTCTTTAACTCCTGGCCTCAAGTGATCCGCCCACCTCGGCCTCCCAAAGTGCTGGGATTACAGGCATGAGCCACTGTGCCTGGCCTAGCTTCTTGTTTCTAAGTTTCTTTCATAAATCTCCTTTGTCCATTTTCTGATTGGATTGCTGGTCTTTCCCTTACCAATTTCTAGGCACACATTTTATATTAGGGATATTACCCTTTTCTTGTGATCTGAGCTATAAATATAGCTTTTTTTTTTCTTTTTGGCTATTCCTAATGTTCATGTTATAAAGTCAATGGATCAATTTTTTCCTTTATGGCTTCTAGATTTTGGATTTTGACTCACAGGTAGAAAGGCCTTGCCCACTACAAGGTTATAAAGGAATTCTCCCTTGTTTTCTCCCAGTTCCTTTTTTATTTTTTGAGACAGAGTCTTGCTCTGTCGCCCAGGCTGGAGTGCAATGGCACAGTCTCGGCTCACTGCAACCTCCACTGCCCAGGTTCAAGTGATTCTCCTGCCTCGGCCTCCCAAGTAGCTGGGATTACAGGTGCGCACCACCATGCCTGGTGAATTTTTGTATTTTTAGTAGAGACAGGGTTTCGCCATGTTGGCCAGGCTGGTCTTGAACTCCTGACCTTGTGATCTGCCTGCTTCGGCCTCCCAAAATGCTGGGATTACAGGCGTGAGCCACTGCGCCCAGGGCTATGGTTTCTTTCCTTGACATGTCAACTGGTTACAGTGGCCTTCCCTGAACCCCAGACTAAGTTAGTGCTTTCTAGTCCTTCTCCTTCAAGGCATTCCTCCTGATTGCAATTAATTATGATTAAATTAAATGTGGATGTGTATATCCCCCACGAGGCTGTCAGTTCCATCCACGAAGGCAGGACTCAGGCTAATTTGGTCACTGAGTCTTAGAGATGGCAGAGTAAGTACTGAGTTTGAGGACTGAATAATCTCTCTCTCCCAGTCCACCATAGCCCCCTTATACCCCCCTTCCTCACTGCCCTCCACAATACCCCTGATGAATTGGTACCTGGAGTAAAGTAGGGAGGCAAACTATTTCCTACTAGAAAGGGAAGCAGGGCTTCAAGTGGTGGGAGGCCACCTGAGTCTTGGGGGAAAAGTGCAACCTGAATTAAGATAAAAGTACCCAAATTCTCCATCTTTCTAGCCCATGTGTGTTTATTTTCACCAAAGGTCTCATCACTCTACTACTCACTACTCATGGAGGGTCTTTTCTGCAATACCTGTTCTTTGCTTGGAAGCTACTGCCCAGCTCTCCGTTATGAATTTGAATCCTTTCTACCCCTGCATTCACCTGCTCTTGGTGCAGCCTCTGAACCTCTTCCAGCTCCCGCTGCCTCCCCTCTTCCAAGTTCTTCCGGACAACCTCAGCCCCAGCCAAAGCAGCACGCAGGCCCTCAGCCTCAGCTCGGCCGGCCTTCTCCGCCCGTGCCAGAGCCTCTAGCTCCATGGCCTGGGCCTCTAGCCTCATCTTCTGCTGCAGCGAGGTCTCCCGCAGGAGCCAGACCTCCTCCTCCAGCCACCGCAGCTCTTGCAGCTGCCGAACGATCACCTCAGCCTGCTGGCTCAGGGCCTGTGACCCCTCCAGCCCCCAGGACCTTCAAAGACAGGTTAGTGCAGGTGAGACTTGTCTCCAGTGCTGGAAGGATAGTTGAGGGCATAAACATAGCCAGGAGAAGGAAAAGAGGACCCCTCTGCTTCCGTGTGGGGAGGTGAAGGGGGTG